>NC_000010.11:89385519-89688549 GCF_000001405.40 Homo sapiens | reverse complement strand
CTCGGACTTGGGGGCAGGTTTGCCCAGACCTGGCCACTGCAGAAAAAAATCTAACTAATAAAGGTAGAAGGATAGAGAGAAATAGAAAATGACCACTAGGCAGACACCACAATGATAATTATAGCAGAAAGGATATATAGATGGATGCTAAAATCTGTGAGTGAAAGTTTGAGTTGAAACAGACTGCATAGTCTCAAAGCATTTTCTCCAGACATTTATTAACTATCCAGAGAAAAATAAGAACATTACAATGGAGAAACTCAGCAAAAACCTCCTTAATCAAGTGGTAGGTCAACATCACTAGTAATACTAGAATCATGAATCGCATTATATGATGCACACATCCCATTACATGAGAACGCAGTATCATTTCTGTGGCATTCTTGTCAAAAATGCATAACCTCAGTCCAATCAGAAGAAAACTTGTCGGGCACAGTTGTGCATGCCTGTAATCCAGTACTTTGGGAGGCTGAGGCAGGAGGATCGCTTGAGGCCAGGAATTTGAGACCAGCCTGGGTAATGTGGCAAGACTTCATCTCTACTAAAAATAAAAATAACTAGCAGGGAGTGATAATGCATTCCTGTAGTCCCAGCTACTCAGGAGGCTGAAGTGGGAGGATCACTTGAGCCCAGGAGTTCGAGGTTACAGTGAACTATAATCACATCACTGCACCCATCCTGGGTGACAGAGCAAGACCCTGTCTCTAAAAAATAAAGAAAAGGAAAGAAAATACAATTTGAGGGATGTTCAACAAAATAACTGATCAGTACTCTTCAGATGTATCAAGGTCGTGAAAGAGCAGGAAGGACTAAGAAGCTGTTACAGTCTACAGAAGACTGAGAAGAAATAACTAAATGCAATGTAGGATTCTGGAACAGAAAAGGGACACTGGTGGAAAAACCGACAAAATTCAAATAAGGGCTTATAGTATAATAAGTAATATTATACCAATGTGTATTTCCTGGTTCTAATAATAGTACTGTGGTTATGTAACATGCTAACATTTAGGGGAGCTGTGTGCAGGGTGTATGGAAACCCACTAAACTATTTTTGCATCTTTTTCATAAACTTAAAGATTGTTCACAGTAAAAAATTAAATGATGTTTTGAAAATAAAGAGCCCTTCAGCCACCCCATCTGAAGGGAATGCCTCCTTCCAAGCCACTGTTTTCTACAGGTTCAGGCTCCAGCCGTGATATGCAAGCCCATCTCACTCCACACCTCTCATCCTCCAGCCTTCCCTAGGGTCATCCTTCTCAATTTATTATGCAGAATGACTTGTCTCCACCACTAACTAACAAAGGCCAACCTTTGTACATCAAAAACTCATTAATATGTTGAAACACGGGATGGTGTAGTCCAAGTCTTTCCTTTAGCAGCCCAGAGGAACCAGCAGAGGCTTCATAATTTTAGGCTTTCCTTTCTCCATTTCCCAGGCCCTGAGAAGAGAAGATCAGAATAAAGATTGGTTTCCTCATTGATGTGAATTTTGTCACAACCACCATCTTTGGAATTCAGATGTTACTATGGTCAGTTTGGGTTTAAATAACACTTCTGTTTTCTCTATGTTACACTCCTAAGGTTGTTAGGATCCTATGAGCCTATTTAATTGTTTTCTTTAAATGATGGCATATCTAAAAATTATCTTTATACTTTGAGAATATTGTTGGATTATCTTAAAAGCCTCCATTCCTTTGTTAAGTAATCCATTTTTGTTTTACTTTGTTTTCTTTTCAGAAGTATTAAGATATTTCTCTTTAGTTTTCTGAAACTTTACCATTAACTGTCAAGGTATGATCTGGAGTCTTTCAGTTTGTGTTTGTATTTATTTTAAATAGCTCATGGGCCCTTTCACTGGCAGTTTTATTTCTTTGATTGATAATAAGGTATTTTAAGGCTGGGCACAGTGGCTCACACCTGTAATCCCAGCAGTTTGGGAGGCCGAGGCGGGCGGATCATGCGGTCAGGAGTTGGTGACCAGCCTGGCCAACATGGTGAAACCCTGTCTCTACTAAAAATATAAAAATTAGCTGGGCATGGTGGTGCGTGCCTATATTCCCAGCTACTGGGGAGTGGGGCAGAAGAATGGCTTGAACCCAGGAGGTGGAGGTTGCAGTGAGCCGAGATTGTGCCACTGCACTCCAGCCTGGGTGACAAGTAAGACTCTGTATCAAAAAAAAAAAAGTATTTTATTCTGTTATTCTTCGTATATTCCCTCTCTTGTCCATTCCCACCATTCTCTCCTTCTGGAACTCCTCTGCAATTTTCATCAAATTTGTGGTGATTCTTGGTTGCGTCCTTAGGTTTACATTTTTAGTACCTGCTGATCTGCCTGTCTGTCTGTCTGTGAGTGCTTATCTGTGTATTGTGTTCTGCTTCCTGTGGTTACAGAGGCGAGGTAGGACATACCACCAAGCTAAGGGGGTCATCAGCTCATCTTCTGGGCATGGGAACCCCCACTTTCTTTTGGTGGTATATGCCCACTGAGTACTCCCGGCTTGTAATACACAAGTGTTCTCATTCACCGGGTATTGCTTTTGCTGCTTGCTGCATAGCACAAGTGGAAGGATGAAGGGAGGAACAGCCTAATTGTTCCTACTATTGTAACATTACAAAAATCACACTGAATATTGATTCGGGACTGCCTCTTGGTCCCCATATCTGCTTTGCCCAAGCTTGGAAAGGAAGAAACCTGGGCAAATATGTATTTGTTTATATTATCAACTTGATCCAATACTTCTGTAGAAGTGTTCAAACATTTTTAACAGATATACTACTTTTCAAACAAAATGTTATGTAGAGGATCAATATATTAGGTAAGAGCAAAACTGATCTGCTTGAAGCAGAGGAGGCAGCCCTGAACATGAACCGCTGGTCTCCCCTCTGTTCACTGCAGCTCCTGAGACCCTCCATGGAATCCTAGAACTCTGCAGGGCAGTTTAAAAACCACTGATAGGTTCTTAAGAAGTGGTAGTTATCATTATTATTACTATGAAAATGTTGCCCCTCATCCTTCCCTAGCCCAAGGCCAGCTATAAGCCCCGATACCAGCTTCTGCCGTTTGTCCTGCCAGTCCCATCTTGCAGAGAGAATGATAGAAAAGCCTGGGCACAGTGGCTCACGCCTGTAATCCCAACACTTTGGGAGGCCAAGGCAGGTGGATCACTTGAGGTCAGGAGTTCAAGACCAGCCTGGCCAACATGGTGAGACCCTGTCTCTACTAAAAATACAAAAATTAGTCAGGCGAGGTGGCGGGCACCTGTAATCCCAGCTACTCTGGAGGATGGAGCACCAGAAACGCTTAAACCCAGGAGGCAGAGGTTGCAGTGAGCTGAGATCGTGCCACTGCACTGTTGCGTGGGCAACAGAGCGAGACTCTGTCTCTCAAAAAAAAAAAAAAAAAAAGAATAAACAACTGAGCTTCTACTAAATATGCCTAAGCACCATCCCAGGAACTTACATGCTACCTCACTTAAGCCTCACAATGACCTATGAGGCAAGTGTTTTTATCTACAGGATAAGATGAAAAAATAGAGGCTCAAACAAGCATAGCAGAAATACATACAAATTCAAATGTGTAAGAAATGTACAGATATTTTATTTTCTTAAGTTTAATTAAAATCAACTACTAGCATGATTACATTGGAATGGCAGGAAATGACATCTCAGCCATTTGAGGGCTTCCCTCACAAGACATGACTCAGGATTCTAGGATCTTGCCCAATGTGCCAAAGCATGGAGAGTGCCTGTCCTGTCATCTCTCTTCCGTCTGCATGAGTATCTGCGGGATGCCCAGAAAAGCTTACTCTAGATGGGGCTGCTCCATGGCTTCTGTCTGACCTACAATGCCAAAAATATTTGAGAGGTTAGGAGAACACAGTATCTCAAGCTATACCTCAACACATAGCCCTCCTGTCTGAGCTTTCTCTTCTGGCCACTATACCAAGGGTATTCAAGATCACAGGAATCCTGTCATCCTCACACACCCCCTTTTTAGTGATAGGGAGGTATTTGTCTCATCCTTCTTGTTGCTCTCAACGTGTCTTTCTCCTCTTCTGGGAACACCTAGCAGAATCTAGAAGAGTTTGAACCATTACATAATAAAAGCTTCTCCATGATAACTTCTGCTTTCCTTGTGCAAAAAAACCTTGGGGGAAGAAAATACCAAGAGTCTCGCCTAGAAAAAAGGTAGTGAGCACAGGATATGGAGAATATGAAGAATTATTTATCTCAATACACCTTCCTGCCACAAAAATTAATCCAATGCCCCCACAGTAGTATGAGGCAGAACTAAAATTCAAAATCACTCCTTCAGTTATGCACACTACCTAAATAGAAAACTCATGTGAAGGTTGAGCTCCAGCTGTCGCTGGGCAGGTGCTCCTAGACAGGGAAAAGCAGCAGCTGCAGATTCTAGCTGAGAGCTGCCCTGTGACCACTCTGATTGAGATCACGGTTGGGCAAGATACACACACTTGAGTCTTCGGGTTTGCAGTTCAAACCTAGAGCTGTCTCATCTACAGCAGGACATTCAATCATCTTACACGAGATAAATGCAGTGTTTCCGAAGGACAGAATCTAAATTATTCTGATCTTGGAATTTCCACATAGTTCATGGTTATGTAAAGATGTGCTTGCCAGAAGCACAATGACAGCACTATTAAAGAGCACTTAAATGGAAGAAGTTTAGGCACCTTCTCAAATTGTAATATTAATACTTGCACAGGGGTTAGGGGCGCCAACCCCCTACACAGTCAAAAATCCACACAAAACTTTTGACTCCCCCAAAATTTAACTACTAATAGCCTACTGTTGACTGCCTTACTGATAACATAAACACTTGATTAATACATATCTTGTATGTTGTATATATACAAACGTACAAAATATATACTGTATTCTTACAATAAAGTAAGCTAGAGAAAATAAAATATTAAGAAAATCACAAGGAAGAAATGTATTTACTATTTATTAAGTGGAACTGGATCATCATAAAGGTCTTCACCTTCATCATCTTTACACCGAGCAAGCTGAAGAGGAGGAGGAGGAGGAGAGGTTGGTCTTGCTGTCCCAGGGGCAGCAGAGATGGAATAAAATCCACATATAAGTGGACCCAAACAATTCAAACTCATGTTGTTTAAGCGTCTACTGTATATCCCTTTGAACAATAATTTTCATATTTCCAGGTAGAAGACTTATTTTAATACTGTTTCAAACAATCAAGAAGCTCATTTTGTTCTAAATTAACTTTTTTGCAGTATAATATGAATTTGTTCTTACTCAGAAACAAAATTTTAAATAGCAAAGGAGTCAAGTCATTGAGAAAACAGAGCCACTTAATTTTAAATCTGTCTTTATTTTTGTTTACAGTAGTATTTTTATATTGACCTCAACTAATAAAAACACATTAAAAATAAAAAATGCAGGATGGAGGAGGTGATGTGGGTCCTCTGAACAGCCAAAAGAGAAGTAATAAAGTTGAGGTTTTCATAAGTGAGCCTTTGGACCCACAGTATTTTGTTTACCCCAGTCCATTTTTTTCTCTCAGTAAACATTTTAGATTTGTTATGGGGTATGACAAAAAACAAAGCAAAGGTAGAAAGAATAACTCTCCAAAGACACACCACCCAAAGACTACCACTGTTAATATTTTGATCTATTAAATATATTTCTTTTGGAGTCTTTTCCTACTTTTTTTTTTTTTTTTTTTTGTCTTTTTGAGACAGAGTCTCGCTCTGTCACCAAGGCTGGAGTGCAGTGGTGCAATCTCAACTCACTGCAACCTCCACCTCCTGGGTTCAAGCGATTCTCCTGCCTCAGCCTCCCAAGTAGCTAGTATTACTAATTTTTTGTATTTTTAGTAGAGAAGGGGTTTCACCGTGTTAGCCAGGATGGTCTCGATCTCCTGACCTCATGGTCTGCCAGCCTCGGCCTCCCAAAGTGCTTGGATTACAGGTGTAAGCCACCGCATTGGTCCCTCCTATATATATTTTCAAATATTGACTATTGTTAATATTGTCTGTTTCCTTTTTTCTTCTTCTTTTTTAAGATGAAGTCTCCCTCTGTTGCCCAGGCCAGAGTGCAGTGGCATGATCTCAGCTCACTGCAACCTCTGCCTCCCAGGTTCAAGTGATTCTCATGCCTCAGCCTCCCCAATAGCTGAGATGACAGGTGGGCACCACCATGCCTGGCTAATTTTTGTATTTTTAGTAGAGACAGCGTTTCACCATGTTGGTCAGGCTGGTCTGGAACTCCTGACCTTAGGTGATCCACCCACCTTGACCTCCCAAAGTACGAGATTATAGGCATTAGCCATGGCACCCGGCCTGTTTCTTTTATAGTCATGTTCAAACAGTATTTATGTAGTATTCTGTTTCTTCCTTTTTACTTATTATTTCCCCCATTTAATAAATAGACTCTTCATAATCCTTTTTAATGGGTAATAATCGTTCATGTGGCTACATTATTTACTTAACCAGTTCCCTATTGTTGTATACAGAAAGAATTGTCTTCCAGAAAATTCATTCCTGTGCTTTGCCTCTCAAATTAGCATTGGTGTATGTGGCTAAGTGCCAGGAGTTTCTGGATACAAGATAATAAGTATCTTCTTGCTGGGCGCAGTGGCTCACGCCTGTAATCCCAGCACTTTGGGAGGCCGAGGCAGGCGGATCACGAGGTCAGGAGATCAAGACCATCCTGGCTAATACAGTGAAACCCTGTCTCTACTAAAAATACAAAAAATTAGCCAGGCGTGGTGGTGGGAGCCTGTAGTCCCAGTTACTTGGGAGGCTGAGGCAGGAGAATGGCAGGAACCCGGGAGGCGGAGCTTGCAGTAAGCCGAGATCACGCCACTGCACTCCAGCCTGGGTGACAGAGCGAAACTCCGTCTCAAAAAATAAATAAATAAATATCTTCTCAGGCTCACAAATTTTTCACAAAATTGGAAGCAGAGATTCATCTAAAATAGACCCAATTCTGATATATTATGAAATAGAAATGTGTATGAATTTTTATGATAAACCAGGAAAATAATTTTAAAAATTAAATGTGGTTGAAAACTATTTTGTGGATATATTTGTGAATTATAGATACAACCTGTGTGGAGAGAACTGTGTAGGGTCTTTTGTGATACTTAATTTTACATCTTTTGTAGGTACACAAAAGAAAGCAATGTCTGTATGATTACATAAGAAAACAAACAAAACCTTGCCTTGCTTTCACTGAAGGATTCTAGAACTGTGTATCTTCACTCCTGCTCTATTTTGTCTATCCTTCAATTGTATTTTAGATAATAAAACAAGAAACTCTTTCTTGTTCAATATTTTGGCATTGTTTTCCTTATTTTTTCTCTTTTTGCATTATTTGAAATGAGTTTTATTCCTTTTCTGTATCGTTTCCTTTTTTTATTGGAAACATTTTTTAGGTTTAAAATTGATTTATAAAGGGGCTTTTATAACTTCTTTTTCCATATTAAAATTTCATTGTGATTAAGAAGACACAACATAAAATTTACCACCTTAACCATTTTTAAGTGTACAGTTCAGTAGTGTTAAGCATATACACATCATTGTAGAACAGATCTCCAGAACTTTTTCATCTTGCAAATCCATTATACCCATGAAATAATAAGTCTCCACTTCCACTTCTCCACCTACCAGCCACTTCCCTGGCTGGCCTCTGGTAATAACCATTCTACTTTCTGCTTCTGTGAGTGTACTTCATATAAATGGACTCACAATGATTGTCTTCTTAAATCACTTAGCTTAATTCACTTAGCAAAATTACCTCTGGACTCATCCATGTTGTAGCACATGACAAGATTTCCTTCTGTTTTATAATATTCCATTGTGTGTATCTTCCACATTTTTCTATCCATTCACCTGTTTTACAGTTGGGCTGCTTCCACCTCTTCACTGTCATGAATAATGCTGTTATGAACATGAGTGTGGAAATATCTCTGAAATTCTGCTTTTAATTATTTTGGATATATATTCGGAGATGGAATTACCCAATCATATGGTGGTTTATTTTTAATTTTTTGAGGAAACTACCTACTGTTTCCCACAGTGGTATAACCCTTTTTTAAAAAGAGAGATATCAAAGGAATAATTCTGCTGGTAGAGGGTTCTGTTGGACCAACACTCCAGATTGACAGAGGTGGGAATTCACTTCCTCAGCTTCCATTGCTCTCATTCCTTTCCCTGACAAAGCCCTGGTTTTCTTTAGGTGTCCACTCTTCCTTCACAAGGCCTGTGACTCAAAGGAATTTAACCTCATCGCCAGCTTTAGGAATGTACCTTGCTTACTCTTAACCACTCATGGTAATCCCACCACCTTACCAGTGACTGGTTTTGAAACTCAGACTTCATTTATTTCATATATGAGTTTCCCCTGGGGAGTGTTATTGGTAGAGGCGTGGGCATGTGACTTAAGTTGACCCAGTCAGACTGAAGGGAAAGGTTTCTGTAGTATGGTTAGGTAAAAGGTTTTTTCTTCTGTAGTATATGAACAAAGAAACGTGTGTACCTATTTGCTGCTGAAAGCCCTTGCTTACCAGTTAGGGCCTTAATGTGGAGACAAACCTGATACACCCAAGAGAATATCAAAGAAATGGAATGGAGCCCTTATAGCATTGGGCCTGGAACCCTTCTGAGCTCTGGATGGTCTGTTAGTAAACTTCATTGTTTAAGCTAGTTTGAGCTGAGTTTTCTGTTACTTGCAGCCCAAAGCATCCTACCTGATATAATTCTCCCCTGCTGTTCAGGACACTTGGGGGAAAGTTTTAGAATTATTTATATTACAACTCTGAGGTCTAACAATAGCTACTGCTGCATTTCCTCTTTACATATTGGCTGGTCAATGTTGTCTTTCAACAGCCAACCTGGGGATGTAACTCCTCAGGATATTTTTAAATCCTGAGAGAAGGTTTCCATTCCGTTGCTGAAGGAGGGATGAGGAAATTTCTTCTTGCCAGGAGATAGTATGTGACTAGATCTAATCTAGAGGAGTAGAGGTTGTACCTCGGTGGTGGCTTTGGAAGGGATAGAATGCAGGGCCACTGCTAGCCCATACAATTCTTTTATGTCAATTTTTTAAAGCTTCTTCCCAAGACATTACTTTCACATGACAGCAAACTGTCATAATATATTAATTTTATTAGAACAAAACATTTTTCTTTCATTTTCCAGAAACTTTGCATAATGAACATACAAATGTATGCTATCTAGGGTGTAAATAGCTGTCTCTCAGATCTGCCACCATTGAACATGGCACCCTATTAGAGGGAGATAGAACACAAAATGCAGAGCAGATGAGAAAGCTGCTGGAGATACACTTAGAGTCCATTTACTTTTAGTTCAGACATAATTTTAATAAGTAAACAAGTCAACTAGGAGATAAGTTTTTTTATCTTTTTATTTTGAAATAATTTCAGACTTACAAAAAAGATGCAAAAAAACCCATCAGCAAAGAAAGCATAAAACAGTTATCATATATTTTTCACCCTACATAATAGTACAATTATAAAAACCAGGAAGTTAACTTCGATATCACACTATTAACTAATATACAGGCCTTACTAAAATTTTACTAATTGTCACACTAGTGTTCTTTTTATGGACCTAGATCCAATCCAGGATTATGTATTGCGCTTAGTGGTCACATTTTCTTAGTCTCTTTCTAAGACATTCCCTCATTTATTCTTTGCCTTTCATGACACTGACCCTTGAAGACAGACCTAACTAGTTGTTTTGTAGAATGTCCCTTAAGGTGGGTGTGTCTGGTGTCCTCACAATTAAATTCAGGTTACACATTTTCTATAAGAATACCATGTTAAGTGATGCCGTGCCCTTCTCAGCGCATCATTTCCGGAATCACATGATGTTGGTATGTCTCATTACTAGTGATGTTAAGGTTCATTACTTGGTTATGGTGATGTGTGCCTGATTTCTCCACTGTAAAGTTACTCTTATTCTCTTTGTAATTAATAAGTATCATGTGTGGAGATACTTTGAAAATATGCATATAATCTGTTTCTCATCCTACTTTTCCCACTAGTTTTAGAATTCATTGATGATTCTTACCTACAACAATTATTATTGTGGTATAGGTCAAATAGTGAGACCAAGATTTGAAATTTAGAATAAAGTGTGGAAAGAGTCCTCAGAAGTAGGTGTTAGGCATCTTGCAAGCTGTTGGTATAATATGGTGACCAAGAGCAGGAGTTTTGCTATCAGACAGATCCAAATTCAAATATTGGCTTCACTGTATAGTTGCTATGTAATCTTAAGTACATTAACTTCTCTGAGCATCAGTTCCCTATTAGTAGGGTAGGGATTATGAGTCTACATTATGGAGTTTTCATGATGAACATAGTGAATATTTTGTACAATGTCTGGCACATAGTAAATTATCAGTAAATTTTTAGTTATTATGATATGAAAATGATTATTGTTATTGTAGCAATCTTCAGCATAAAGAAAACCCAAAATTACTTTCTTAGCATATTATATAAAAAAATCCTTTCTCTTTTTTTTTTAATTTTTAACTTTTTATGAAGATTACCTAGGAAGAATATACTTCTGATGTACCAGCTAAATGGGCAAGAAACCAGATTGGATGTGCATGCATGTGCACACACACACACACACACACACACACACACACACATTATATGCCCAGCATTTTGAATATTATGACAAGGGAGAGAGACTAGCTGAGATAGAAGTCATCATATAAATAATATTTTGGATTATTGAGCCCTGTGACAGATACTGCTGGTTGTTTTTCTTTGTTTTTTGCCCAGTAGCCAATCTCTCATTGATAGTATTAAAACTCTGCCATCCAGGTGAATGGAAGTGTACCCAGCTAAAAAAAAATCCTAATTTCCCAAGTTCCCTTGCAACCAATGATGGATAGTATGGCTGATAAGCAGAAGTCTACTAGGTGTGACTTCTAAGAAAGCTACTGAATTTTGATAAGGAAAGCACACTCACCTGACCTATGTCATTTAACCTTCACTCTTCTCCCTTCTTCCTGCCTAGAGCTCAGAAGCAATGCTTGTAGATGCAACAGCCACCTTCTTATCAAAGAACTGGAAGTTCCACATTAAAGATGGCAGAGCAGGAAGATAAAAGCAGGTTGATTCCTTGAGCAGCTGTTAATTCTCTTTTTATAAGTGAGGAAACTGAGGATCAGGGACATTGATTATCCCTGGTCAGTTACTGCTTAAACAACAGAAGTTACTGCTTAAACAACAGAGTACTGAGGTTCAAATCCATGTGTATATTACTTCAAAGTTATTTATTTTTTACTATATTTCAAAGTTTCCTAAAAGGATGGACATATTTAGAACCCTTTCTCACCACATTTACAGATTGTGATGGCAAAGCAACCTGTGATGGACAAAACAAAGTATCAATGTCTTTGACTCAGAACTACAAATATTTCTTACATGTTCTCTTTATTAAATACTAACAACTCCAGCCAGATTAACAAAAATGACCACACAGTTCTCTGGCATTCATCTTCTATTCATGCCAGTAAAAAATGGCTTCAGTGATAAGCAACTCGTGATGAGTGTCACCAACAAGTAGTTGCCACCCAAAGAACATATACAAGAAAATGGCCTAAGAGAGAGGTCACAAAGGGATGATAAATGTGGATTGGTTACCATGTATGTTTACTAACTTGCTTGAGCTCATATAAATATCACTAATAATTAAGGTTTCTTGCCGCTCTTTTAAAATTCTGGACCTGAATTCTTAGGTGGCAACAATTAACCAGAGCTGCTCCCTCCCAGTACACCATCCCATTCTATGCTCCTTCTCTGATTCTAAGCTAGAGTATTTGTTTCCATCTATCATCATGTTTTTCTATTGTTTTTCTTGTAATAGAAAAATATTCTATCTCTATCAAGTATTTGATCTCTACCTAAAATAAAAATAGATGGCTAGAGCTGCCTGTTTCTTACACCTGGCCCACTAAGGCATTTCAGCCACCTGCCAGAAGGCATAGAATTTGAACAGACACTCAGATGTATGCTTCCTAAATCTGTTTGGAGGACAATAATTCTTCCAGCTCATTCACAGACCCCCATTTCACATACCTTACTTCAGCAAGCCTCCGAAGCAACTACTGAAGTGAATATTATTATTCTCATTGGGATCCAAGAGGTTAGCTGATTTTTCTGAGATCTTGTTCTTGTGTAATAGCTGTGTTGTTAGAATTTTGATTGCTGTTCTGTTGATTAACAAAACTTATCTCTGAATATCTGTTTTGGGAAAACAGGAATGAGTAGGATAGGTAGACTAATGGACCTTTGTCTTACCTAACTTGTCTTACCTAACATTATCACTTCTTCATTACCTTCTTCCTTTCTTATAAGTTAGCTAACATTATTGAACACTATGTACCAGGCACTGTATTAATTGCTTTACATACATTGATTAATTTAATCATAATAACACTCTGAAGTATGTTGAAGGATAAGTTTTTTAAGAGGAATCTTGATTCACACACAAATATAAAATAAGCATGTGTCTATGATTTTATGTCAATGACTAAATCAGTAAGATATTACAGTCAGTTTAAATGAGGATCCAAAGAGCAGACAAATAAAGTAACCCATCAGGAATGCTAAAATGAATTTACTTTATGGTTACAAAACTGATAGCCATAGGACAATAATCAATGGTATACCACTAGTTCTTTGTGGGTTATTTTTATTTGTTTTAGAGATGAGGTCTCTCACCCTGTTGCCCAGGCTGGTCTCTAACACCTGGATTTAAGGAATCCACCCACCTAAGCCTCCTGAGTGACTGGGATTACAGGGTTGGGCCCCCACAATTTGCATTCCTTTGAATAAGAACTATTTGTATTACTCTGTTTTTTGCAATTTATAGAGTCATAAAGTAGCTCAAAGACAATGCAATGCAGAGATAATCCAGAAGTATAAGCTAGATAGGACATCCACTAATCTTTTTTTCGTTCTCTTTTCAAAGTATTTCACAGATTTTCCTGAGTACTTTTACTGTTATTCCCCTTTTACAGGTGAGGAAATTGTTAAGTAAATTTTCCAAGGTCCCATAACCAGTAAGTGGTAGAGACATATGTGAACACAAGTCTAACTGAATCTGAAAAAATAATTCAGTTTATTGAATCAGTTTTCCTCTTGGAGGTGGAGCTTGCAGTGAGCCGAGATCGCACCACTGCACTCCAGCCTGGGCGGCAGAGCGAGACTCTGTGTCAAAAAAAAAAACAAACAAACAAAAAAAAAATTCAATTCAAAGCAAGTTTAGGTAAGAAAAAAACCCTTTTTTCCTCTACAATTTTAGGTTCATTGGCTGGGGCCCTGCAAATTAGACTGACAAAAGACAGATTAACAAGAGAAAAACAAATTTATTTACACATTTATTTATTAACACTCATCAGTGATGAGTAACTCAAAGGGGTGGTTAGAACTTGGTGCTTATCTAGCATCTTCACAAAAGAACAATAAACCTATAGAGAAGTGACAAGACAAAGGAAAGGGGCTTGCAGTTCCTAGGGGAACAAATTGTGCGAAGGAGAATATATGGGAAAACTAATGGAAGATGAAAGTTGTTGTAGCAAGGTTTGTAATATAGATTTCTCTGGTGCCATTCTGGGCTGCTAAGAGTCTAGAGTTTGGTGATTAAGTATATCCTGCCCTACTTGGTAGAGCAGGTCAGGGCAGAGAGTTTTTCTTGTCTGCTTTTTTTCTCAACTGCCTGCAGCTCAAAATGAATCCCTATACCACAGTAGCATATTTTGGGTGGCATTCTCTCTATAGATATTATAAACTGGCAACCTGAATTCAGGCCAAGGAAATTTTTTTTTACCAGCGCAATGTTTAAGTGGTATAAATTAGTTATGAACTTTTATCAATACCTACTGCTGTGCAACAAATTACCTATAAACTTAGTGGTTTCACCAGCCTAGAAACATAGCAAGACCCTGTCTCTACAAAAAATAAAATATTAGCCAGGTGTGGTGGGACACACTTGTGGTTCCAGGTACTTGTGGGGCTGAGGTGGGAGGATCACTTGAGCCCGGGAGATAGGAGGCTGCAGTGAGCTATGAACACACCACTGCATTCCAGCCTGGGTGAGAGAGTGAGACCCTGTCTCTAAAAAAAATAATAATTTATAAACAAATAAAAAACTTCGTGGTTTAACATGACAATAAAAATCAATTATTTCACAGTGTTGTAACTGGGTGGTGCTGGCTCAGGGTGTCCCATGAGGTGGCAGACGTGAAATTGGCTGGGAACTGAATAATACAGCAAATCTGTGAGTGAGACTGCCTTGAGTTTCAGTTCTGGCTCTGCCACTTACTAGCCATGTGACCTTATACAAGTACCTTAACCATTTTAAGCTCTTAATTTTCTCATTTGTAAAATAAGGATAACAGTAGAACTTACCTCGTAAGACTGTTGTGATCATTAAACGAAATAACATCATTAAATACGTAACATAGTGTGTTGCAGACAGAAGGCACGCAGTATATATTTTCATTGTTCACAGAGATTCTATGCTGTACAATGATTTGTTTATTTCCTTATACACCTCACAGGTAGGGAGGGTACTTGTGTTTTTCTTCAACTTAAAAATCAGGAAACTGGCTGGGTGCAATGCCCCATGCCTGTAATACCAGCACTGTGGGAGGCCGAGGTGGGTGGATCACTTGAGGCCAGGAGTTCCAGAGCAGCCTGACCAACATGGCGAAACCCTTCTCTACTAAAAATACAAAAATTAGTTGGGTGTGGTGGTGCATGCCTGTAATCCCAGCACTTTGGGAGGTCGAGGTGGGTAGATTACTTGAGGCCAGGAGTTCCAGATCAGCCTGACCAACATGGCGAAACCCCTTTTCCACTAAAAGTACAAAAATTAGCCAAGTGTGGTGGTGCATGCCTGTAATCCCAGCTACTTGGGAGGCTGAGGCAGGAGAATCTCTTCAACCTGGGAGGCGGAGGTTGCAGTGAGCCGAGATCACACCACTGCACTTTAGTCTGGGTGACAGAGCGAGACTCTGTCTCAAAAAAAAAAAAAGAAATCAGGAAACTGAGACTCAGGGGAGTTAAGGTACTTGCCCAAAGCAGCCACTTTTTAAGTGACTAAGGTAAGGCATGTCATCTGCACCAAGCTTAGAGTTCTTGCCATTTCTGTCAGTCAGGGATCAGGAAGTAGAGACCACTGCAGATATTAACACACTGAATTGTTACATTGACTTAATACATTGAATTATTTGCATACAATTCCTCTTATTAATGTTGGGGGAATTCTGCTTTCAATATTTTGAGTAACTAGGAGCAATGTGTGGACACTGGCACCCCACAACAACTAGATCCCAGATACAACACACTGTGAAGAATTCCTTATCTCAAGAAAGGTTGGAAAGGTCTCTAGCAATGCTCCTAAGTTAACAAATGAAAGCTGACCCCACAGCAGGTAGGGGGCAGCAACTGAGATATCTAGCAGTGGAGTTCTGGCAGAGTGAGATTGTAAAATTCATTTTAGAAATCATTTGACATGATCTTTTTTTTTTTTGGAGGCAGAGTCTTGCTCTGTCTCACAGGCTGGAGTGCAGTGGCACAATCTCGGCTCACTGCAAACCTCTGCCTCCTGGGTTCAAGAAATTCTCCTGCCTCAGCATCCTGAGTAACTGGGATTACAGGCATGCACCACCATGCCCAGCTAATTTTTGTATTTTTAGTAGAGACGGGGTTTCACCATGTTAGTCAGGCTGGTCTTGAACTTCTGATCTCATGATCCGCCCGCCTCGGCCTCCCAGACTGCTGGGATTACAGGTGTGAGCCACCATGCCTGGCGACATGAGCTTATAATATTGAACTTTCACATATCTTGGGATACAGCAGCTGCACTCCTGTATACTAAAAGTGACTTTTATACATGCATAGAACCTATTTCCAATAATGTTCACAGAAGCATTGTTGATAACACAACACTCGGATAAATGCTGATTAACCACATATTGGGGTAAGAATTATGGTTTGTTTGTGTAATGGAATATTATACTGTAGTAAAAATAAATGAATTTCAGCTATATGCAACACCATGGACACAAGAATGGATCTGAATAATAGTGAATGAAAAAGACAAATCCCAGAAGATGGCATAGTATGATACCGTCTTTGTAAAGTACAGAAACAAAATTTAAACAATATTTTGTTTAGGATTACATACATATAAGATAAAACTGTAGAGTAAAAGAAAGGGAACTCAATATTGGCTTATCTTTGAGGTAGGGTAGGGAGATGGGCTGAAGGAAGAGCACATAGACAGGACATACATAAGTTATTGGCCATGTTTTGGTTATTGAGTTCAAGGTGGGTTCATGGATGTTAATTATGGATGTTAATTGCATCACTATAAACACAGAAATAAAAATAAATACATAAATAGAAGTAGGAAATAAAAAATATATATTTTATTAGAAGGACTGAAAGACTAGGCTCTCAGTGGAGTTTCCAGAAATCACTTCCAGAGCCCTTACCTAATTGACCACATGGGGGATCTCTACATGGGAGGCCAAGACAACTGAATTCAAGAACACTCCATTGTATCTGTGAGCTAAATATTGGAAATCACAAAGCCACTGCAATTGCCACTAAATCTTGATACCCAGAAAGCTGAAAAATGGACACTGGAGGTTGTGCTGCAGAAAAAATTCTCTGCTTTTTATAATGCATTTACCAGTAGAAAGCAGCCAGAGGGTAAGATGGCCTTTGCCTCATTTCCTCCCTCCAGATTTCATTTGGGTAACTGGCAGAACCGAATTAGCAGACCCAACTTAGCCCCCAGAACTCTAGTGGCAAGGAGCCTAATAGTAAGTTTTAGCTTCCCAGCCTTGGAAGTATAGAAATGAATACTAGAAAGGTGAAATGGAAATTGAGCAAGCCAATTAATAGTATCTGTGGCAGAGACTGCTGTGTTTTCATCAAACCTATTTCATTTTCTTCTCGGACATAAAATTAAATTTCCCATTCTCCCATGATGTTAGTAGTGCCACGTGATAGACTCTAGCAAGTATACAGAAGTGATATGCTACTCACAGGCCTGGCTCCTGAAACATGCCATATGATCATGTTCTCTGTCCTCTCCCAGCTGCTGGCTGCATGTTGGTGAACCTTAGGAGTCATGCATTAAAGATGGTGGGGCCTCTGTTAGCTTAGTCTCTGCTTGACTGCAGGGAGCAGAGGTCCCTCTCTCCACCCCACCCCCCTACATTGGACAGTAGAGTGGGAACTGAACTTTATGTGTGTATTGTGTTAAGCCACTGAGATATGGAGATTGTTTTTATACAACTAGCACTACTATTATGACTAAAACCACAAATGGGACCTTGAAGTAGGTTGCTCCTAAAACAAAAACCTAAAATAGATGCCACTGGCTTAGCATACCAGTTGTGGGAAGAAAGGAAACTAATGCCAGAGGCAGCAAAGGCAGCAATCCATGCTATGCAGCAGTAAAACATTTGGCAAAAATTCTCGCTTATAGTAACTTAATAGATGGGCCATATGTTTACTAATGTCAGCTCCAAGAGAAGCAGTTGGAAAGAACCAAACTGTTAGTGTGTATTGGCTACTACTGGCTGGCCAGTATAGGCAGTGTACAAAGATAAATGAAAGAAAATAAGAAAATTACATAAATTTGGAGTCTTAAAGTAGACTACTACTTCTAGATCCCAAATAGAAGGAAATAAGATTGGGCAAACTCTGAGAAACCAAGGTCTGCTAGGTCACTGCCTTAGGGCAAAGATCACATTAAAGTTGTGGCCTTCCCACTCAGTCCTAACAGAATCAAGGTGGCTGCCAGTAGGTAGGCTGTCTCTTGGGAGAGGCATGGGAAAAAAGACATAAAGAAGATGAAGAGCTATGTCAGGAAAGTATTTGGGATGTTGTTTGTGGCACAGGATGTCTAGAAAAAAGTCAATGAGAAGCCTGTTAAGTTTCTGAGGAAATTTTATTTCCAAAGAAAATGTAAGTCTGGGACAAAGAATAGTCAAGGCATAAAACAACCACCACCCTTGGGCTCTCAGCTTTCCATGAGAAGGAAGTTGACTCCAAAATCTACATATCCCATAGATAGCTTACTCCCTATCACCCACTTCGGATATCACCACAGAGGATAATGGCAATGAAGAGAATTCCGAAAGAGTGGAGCCAGGGACCACAGAAAAATGGGCAAAATAATTTCTGCCATAGAACAGAAACAGTCCAAGTAAATTTCCTAATGCTTCTTGGTCAAGGAAACTTCACAATGCCTACCAGACTGCTCTAGACAAGTGATGGCTTTGTGTCTTTGATCTTTCCCCTTTCCAAATGAGACACTGCAGTTCTTTGTCTCTGCTTACCATTGTATATTTGGTGATGGGAAAGGAGCAGGAGGTAGAAAGCTCTTCTTTTTAGTTTATAAATTACTCAACCAGAAAGAACCATATCTATACCAGATGGACATGCATCCCAGGGCTTTTAGCTGAACACAACAACTGGGAATAATCTCCAGGGGAGTTTGGTGGGGGAGTGTACTCTATTTATGAGAGGAAGAATAAAATAATAATTTATTGACCAAAAGGGCAAGCTGTGGTAGAGACTGGCCATATGTTTTCCAAAATCATTTCTTTTCCCTCCTAGGCATTTGAACTACACTTCTCAGCCTCTCCTACAATTAAGGACCATGTGATT
The DNA here is from genome assembly GCF_000001405.40 of Homo sapiens. NCBI lineage: Eukaryota > Metazoa > Chordata > Mammalia > Primates > Hominidae > Homo > Homo sapiens. The sequence continues at coordinate 89,669,825 of NC_000010.11, read as the reverse complement.
GAGTTCTGGCCAATTAGATGTGGGAAAGGTTGATGTATGATACTTCCAGACCTGGTCCCAAAAACATCCCACACAAACCTCTATGCTCTCTTTTGCTCCTCATCTGCTAGCTAGATGTCAACACATAAGGTCCCTAAATAACTGCATGGTGCAGAAACCCTCAGCTGACCACACTGAACAGTTTGTGAGCAACTAATAAATCTCTTACTATACTAATTTAACATGAAAAATTGTACAAGAGAAAATGGCCAGCTAAATACTTATTTAAGTTTCCAGACCTATAAATGTCTTATTTCAGCTATTAGATGATTGCACTTCAGCCTATTTGAAAAATACATTTTCATTTTCTAACAGTTGCATTTCTGACACAAATATACCCACTCATATTAGAATAATGGATGTCATATCTAAATGTGCCTAAGGGTTAGACCAGAAAGGGATGCCAAGTGAAGTGGTTAAAGCCTTAAAACTATCTTCAGGTATGTTCGTAGGTTTAATCTTGATATTTGGATCTGTGGCTCCACCCAAATCTCATAAGGAATTGTAATCCCCAATGTTGGAGGTGGGGCCTGGTGGGAGGTGATTGGATCATGGAGGTGGATCCGTCGTGAATGGTTTAGCACCATCACCTTGGTGGTGTTGTCATGATAGTGAGTTCTCACGATAGCTGGTTGTTTGAAAGTGTGTAGCACCTTCCCCTTCTCTCTCTCTTCCTCCTTTTCTGGCCATGTGAAGTGCTGGCTCTCCCTTCACCTTCCGCCATGACTAAGTTCCCTAAGGCTTCCCCAGAAGCTGATGCCACCGTGCTTCCTGTACAGCCTGTGAAACCATGAATCAGTTAAACCTCTTTTCTTTATAAATTACCCAGTCTCAGGTATTTCTTTATAGCAGTGTGAGAACAGACTAATAAACATCCTGAGTCAACATTATAAATGGTCTGTCATTCAAGGTCCAGCCAGGAGAACAGAAACCACCCTGGGTATTCAGGGGACAGGGAATGTGATGAAGGAAGAAGCAGACAAGCTAATTAGATGACAGCAACCCAGACATTAGCAACAGCAGGAAGCTGTTGGTCTGGCAAGGCAAGGGGTAAAGGTGATATAATCAGAGCCCAGGAGTTAGGAAGGCAGAGTCAGAGCAGACATGTCCTGTAGGTGCTAGAGACTCCAGAAGAAGGGTAGCAGCTGTTGGAGATGCTGTCCAAAGCAGTGAGGGAAGGAGAGAAAAACTTTGCTGTTCTCTCACCAATGCTCTTCTCTCACTGGCTAACGCCAACTGGAAGACAGCTGTCACTGGACCCTGAAAAACACAGCCTGCAAGAGTCAGCTCTCCTTCCTTACAGAGCAGGGTACAGTAAGGACAGGCAAAGGGTCTGAGCACACATCAGCTTAGGACCAGCAGAAACTGGTAAAGACAGTAAGACACTCTATTAAGTAATATCAAAGCTCAAGTATTAGAGCAACTTAAAAGAGTATTACAATCAAAAGTGGGGTATTTTACATTTTTCTTGCATTTTAGAGGTCCTGTTCTAGTTTGGGGATTTAAGTTATCACTTTTTTTCATTTTTATTCTAGGCCATGGAAGAGCCAGCATGTGGGGAAACTTCTTTATTCTGCTATCCAAATATAAAATATATACAGAAGTAGCTCCTTTGTCCCTTAACCTTAGTAAGCAAATTTGATTAAGCATTTGAACGCTATAGAGGTGCAAGGTGGGAGAAATTCTGCCTCTGCTACTTGGCAGCTCTATGATATTGGGCAAGCCATTCATACCACATTTATATTCCTTATATCCAAAATGGACATAATAATACCTTCTTACTTATCTCACTGGGTTATTAGAATGATCATAGTGTTTAGGTGGTTGGTTGTTTCAAGGAGGTAATAATGTATGTGAAAATAATTGGTATATGGAAAAGCATTAAATAATAGTGCTGAAACATTATACATATTAACATGCCTTTAAATCTGTCTCCCTACCATTCCATCATTTATTTTGGGGGTCAGTTTTACTGAGATATAATTAATGTATTAATATAAGTGTACAGCTTAATGAGTTTTGACAAATGTATACAGATATATGACTACTACCACAATCATGATATAGAATATATCAATGGCTCCCCAAATTTCCTCATGCCCCTTTGCATTTTTATACTTTAAAAGTCAATATATACCCAAGAGTGGTTAAAACATACCTTCCCAAAAACTTGTGCGTAAATATTCTTAGTAGCATTATGTATGATAGCCCCAAAGTGGAAACAACCCAAATAGCCATCAACTGATAAATGGATAAATAAAATATATATTCATGCAGTGGAATATAATTCAGCCACGAAAGGAATGAAGTACCAATGTCTGCTACAACATGGATGAACCTTGAAAACACTATGTTAAGTAAAAGAAGCCAGTCACAAAAGACCACACATTGTATGACTCCATTTTTATGAAAGGTCTGGAATAGGCAAATCTATAGAGACAGAAAGTAGTGTTTGCCTCACATTGGGGGCTAGGGAATAATGATGAATGACTGCTAATGGATGTGGAATTTCTTTTGGGGGTAATGAAAATGTTCTAAAATTGATTGTGGTGATGGTTGCAAAACTCTGTGAATATAATAAAACCATTGAGTTAATACCATTTAAATGTGTGAATTGTATGTTACATGGATTATATCTCCATTAAGCTGTTAATTTAAAAAGTTAAACAATTAAAGAAAATCTAAAAGGCAAAATTTCAAACAATATTTCATTGTAATTTTGCTATGCTAGTTTTCTCTTCAAAGTTATAAGATATAGTCATGAAGATTTTTATCTACAATCTTAATATCCTAAGAATCAAACTATTTTGATTATTTTTTGTCCCTTCCTCACCTCATCTTTGAATATATTTGCTTGGTTTGTAGTCATAATGGTGCAAACATGATTAGGGTGCTTTCATCAGTTAACATTAGATCATGAACATTTTCCCATAGTGTTATGAAGCCTTTATAATAATCATTTTAGAGATCATATGACATTCCCTCTAACTTACCACTTTCCTCCATCTGCTCAGACACCCAAGCCAGAAACCTGAGTTATGCCTAAGTTTCTCCTGCCACTGATTTACTTCAGAACAACATACTCTCTCACCTAGATTACTGCAAATGTTTCCTTACTGGTGCCCTTGCTTTTTGGTGGTCTTCTATCAATCTGTCAAACAGCATGCAGCAGCTACACATCATATAGCAGCCAGGCCTAAAACATGTTTCTTCAATGACTCCCAACCAACTACCCATTAGAGGCCAAACCGCTTCTAATGGTTCACACAGCCCTTTGGATATGGGCTCTTGCCTACACTTTCAGTCTCATCACTGTCCTCTGCATTCCCTCCCCAGTGTATATTTCTTGTGTTCCCTGAAAAGCACACAGTGTAGTGTATTCTCTGCCCAGAATAACTCTCCCACTCCTCCTTCTGCTATTTAGTTGGCAAACTCCTACTTACCCTTTAACATTTAGTGTAAACATCACCTCCTATGGGAAGCATCTCCTCTCCTCCACAGAAAAAGGGAGGTGCTCCCACATCCACACTCCTAGATACCTTTGTACATGTCTCCATTTTGTTCTGTACTTCCCATGCATGCTCCATGCTTATCTTTCTCACCAGAGTAGAAATTATGGTCTATTCAACTTGTTATTTCCAGCACTTCAGCATCTGGCACATAGTAGGTCCCAGTAAATGTTATTTCAATAATTTAATGACTACCACTAATTCAGCATTGTTTTCTAGCCACTGTTCACATTGCTTTTCACAGATTATCTCACTTAGTCTTCTAAACAATCCCATAAGGTAGATACTGTTATCATCACTATTTTAAAGATGAGGAAACTGAGGCACAGATTAGGTAACTTGCCCCAAATCATTGCACAGCTAGGAAGTGAGTGGCACAACCAGGATGTGAACTCATGCAGGGTGATTCTAACACTGGAGTTCATGTTCATAATCACTACACTACATAAAAAAACTTGAATGTATAACCCATTATCTTATTGCCTAATACATAAGCTACTTGTACTCTCTCTCTCTTTCTCTCTCTCTCTCCTCCCAGCCACCCCACTTTTCTTCTTTTGAATTTTTTTGAATTTGGCTTAAGATAAATTCCCAGGAGTAGAGCTTAAAGAGGTATTTACAAGATGAGGACATTTTTCTGGATCTTCATAGGTCCAATGAGAACTTTACTTAACAAAATGTAGTGCATGCCAAAGAAGGGAAAGTTTCAAGGCCATCACCCATCCCAGGCTGATATGGTATGATCGGGCAAGTTGGATCAAGAACTCTGAAGACAGCTGCAGAACTAGTGCAAGAAGGTACAGACTGCTGTGAACTAGGCTTGGCCAGCAGTTGGCGTAGCTTCACAATACAGCTTTTAATCTAATTTTAGGATGAAAGAATGGAAAGCCCTTCTATGTTGCTGCTTCTTAAAAATCCCCAAATATTAATTTAGTGGCTAAACTGCAGCACCAGTTTTCACAGTAACATTTTTTATGCCATAAAATAGGTTAATCTAAACAGTATGACTATACATTTTTGAAGCCGCCCACCATGTAATTCTGGCTATCCTGAAATTGCTATGCTACGAGGAAGCCCAAGCTACCTGAGCAGAGATACCATGTGGAGAGAATGATAACCAGCTAGCCTGAGCTGCCCAGCCATTTCAACCTAGATGCCAGGCATGGAAATCATGAAGCCACCTTGTACATTTCAGCTTCAGTAGCTATGACGTGAAGAAAACTGTGAAACCTAACTGATAGCCAGAATTAAGGCCTCCGTATTTGCCTTAGTTCATTCGGAGTGCTATAACAAAATACCATAGATTGGGTGGCTTAAAAGCTCACAGTTCCAGAGGCTGAAAGTCGAAGATCAGGTTGCCAGCATAATCAGGTTTTGATGACAGCCCTCTTCTTTCTAAGCTGCAGATTGCTGACTTCTCCCTGTGTCCTCACATGGTGGAAGGAGCAGGATCTCTCTGGGGTTTCTTCTATAAGGACACTAATCCCATTCACAAGGGCTCTACCCTTATGACCTAATCACCTCCCAAATGCTCTATATCCTAATACCATTACGCTGGGGGTTAGGATTTCAACATGAGAATATTGGGGGGCACATTCAAACCATAGCAGATATGTGGTCCCAGTTAAACCATTCCAACCATTTATATCCTTTTGAGCCATCTCAGTCATCCCAGTCATCATGGAACAGACATGGGCTATTCCTTCTGAGCCCTGTTTGAATTCCAGACCCATAAAGTAGGGAGTGTAATAAACGTTGTTTAATGCCACTAAGAAATAAAATAAGTTCTTCTCCTACCCTAGCAACATAATTTGTTACTATGTTACAAAACAGTTGCTCACCAGTGGCATTGACTTTGATGCAGTCACGTGTATGACCTCTCCAGAGCCGCAGCAAGGATGGCAGCTGAAGGCTTATCCTGGCAGAGTTTTCTTCAGCTGCTTCAACCCAGAGGACCACAAGTGATCTATGAAAGCTGGTGTTTCTCCAACTGCCAGAGGGTGCTCTAGCTATTCAGGATGTTTGCCTGATACCCCCAACTACCAGCCTGTCTGGGATGGTGATGAGAGCTCTGGCTCTAATAGTAGCTTAATCTGGGTTCAAATCCCAGCTCTACCACCTAAATTAGTTGCATGATTCCAGGCAGCTTAGTGAACTTGGGGTACCTGAATTTTGTCATCTTTAAAATGAGGATAACAACATCTAACATTGTAAGTTTGTAATTAGGATTAAATGAGCCTTACTTACTTAGCATTTTAAAATAATGATAGAGTGCCTGTAGTCCCAGCCACCTGACATGCTGAGGCAGGAGGATCTCTTGGGCCCAGGAGTTCGAGGCTGCAGTGGCACCACTGCACCCCAGTGTGAGCAACAGAGTGAGACCCTGTCTCTAAAAAAAAAATAAAAATAATGATAGCTAATGTTTACTGAGTATCTCACGAATGACTTTATATTCCTTATCACTATCATCAATACAATATTATGCTGATGGCTTCCAAATGTATACTGATTGTTCAGGCCTCTCATAATCTCCAGTTTCACATAATTAATTGTCTAATTGACATAGTCACTGGGATATCCAATTGACACTTGATGGTTACCTTTTCTATTTTGTTGCTAAAACCTGAAAACAAGAAATCATCCTTGACTTTTCCGTTTTCTTAATCTTCCACGTTCATTTAATAATTTGTTAATTTTACTTTCAAAATAGATTTCAAAACTGTTCACTTCTGTGCATCTCCCATCATCTCTCCTCTGAACAGCTGCCTCCTCTCTGGTCTCTCTATGCTTTCCCTTTAGCCCCTGCCCCAGTCCATTCTCTATGGAGCAGCCAGAGTTATTTTTCTAAACATAAATAAATCAATTCCTGTCATCTGTCTACTTCATAACTGTCAGCAGTTTCTTGTAACGCTTTGGATAAAATCCAAACTGCTTACCATGGACCACAATGTCCCAAGCCTTCAAGCCTCTGCCTATGCCTTAACCTGATCTCACCCCACTCATCTTCCTCATGATGCTCCAGTCACATGGGCCTTCTGCACGTTCCCAGTTCATTCCTATCCCTTTTGACTGTGGTGTCATCTAGCTTACTCTTCACCTCGATAGCTCCTTTTCATATTTTGGATCTTAGCTCTATCACTTATGAACAGCCTTACCTGCAAATAAACCCCATCTAAGAGTGGCTTAAACACAGGAAAGTTTGTCTGTCTCTTATAAAATTTCCAGAAGTAGGCATCCTAGGGCTGGCACAGCAGCTCCATGAGACCATAGGGACTTAGCTTCTTCCCACCTTTCAGTTCTATCATCCTTCAGGTATTGACCTCATGTCGTAGTCTGTTTTCTGCTGGTATAACAGACTACCACAGACTGGGTAATTTATAAAGTAAGGAAATTTATTTCTCACAGTTACAGAGGCTAGGAATTCCAAGAGCATACACCAGCATCTGGTGAGGGCCTTTGTGCTGTGTCATAACATGGCAGAAGGGCAAATGAGCACATGAGACAGAGCACGAGGGGTGGACTCCCTTTTATGACAACCCTCTGTCATAACTAAGCTACTTCCATGATAATATTAATCCATTCATGAGAGCAGTAGGCCCCATCTCCCAACACTGTTGCATTGGGGATTAAGATTTCAACACATAAACTTTTAGGGGATGCAGTCAACTCATATAGCCTCATATGCCTGACTTCATACTTGCTGCCTTATGATCACAAGACAGCTACTGCACTGTTAAAGCAGAAGGGGGAGAGCAGAGGGATAAAACCCACTTTTTATTTAACTTTGTATTATGCAGGATTTCAAATATTAAAAAATAGAATAGTATAGAGAGCCCCCCATGGATACACCACACAACTACAATAATTATCAACTTGTGGCCAATCTTGCTTTATCTATTATCCACCCCCACTTGACTCTCCCTCTCTTCTCATTATTATGAAGGAAGATCTAGACATTCTATCATTGTTTTCCAAAGTGTGTCACTACCTATTCTAAAAGATAAAGCTTTCCCTTTTTCAATATACTATTATCACACAAAAAATAGCAATTCCTGGCTGGGCGCAGTGGCTCATGCCTGTAATCCCAGGTGGGAGGCCAAGGTGGGTGGATCACCTGAGGTCAGGAGTTCGACACCAGCCTGGCCAACATGGTGAAACCGCATCTCTACTAAAAATACAGAAATTACCCCGACGTGGTGGTGCATGCCCATAGTCCCAGCTACTTGGGAGGCTGAGGCAGGAGAATCGCTTCAACCCCGGAGGTGGAGGTTGCAGTGAGCCGAGATAAGTGCTACTGCACTCCAGCCTAGGTGAGAGAATGAGACTCTGTCTCAAAAAAAAAAAAAAAAAATAGCAATTTCTTAATATCATCATATTTCCAATTATTCCACAATAATTCAAATTTCTAATTATTCAATAAAAGCAATATTTTTTTTACAGTTTAAAGTATCCAAATACTTGCAAATAAGACACTTGCAATGGACATGTCCTTGAAGTCCCTTTTAATCCACAGGATCCCCCTTCATCTCTTTTCCTTTCCTCTTATTTTTTGAAGAAACTAGGTCATTTGTCCTGTAGAGTTTCCCACAATCTGGATTTTTCTGATTGCATCCCTATGGTGTCCTCTGTGTATCTTGTAAGTTAATAGTTGAATCTACAAGTTTGATTAGATTCAGATGTTTTATTGTTCCTTTTTTCTTCTTGGCAAGACTACTTCATAGGAGGTATTATGTTCTGCTATCCAGAGGTGCCTAATGAGTGGTTGTCTCTCTTTTTGTGACATTAACAGCTTTTGATGATTAATGTCTAAATCCATTAATTCCTTATGTTATAAAATGATAATGTTTTAAGTCTATCATTCCTTCTTCAGTTGTTAGCTGGAATACTTTTATAAAGAGAAACTTTCCCATTCTATTTTTAAGTGACCCAATAGGTACAAACAATAAAGGAAAGATTAATGCTTCATACTTTCCCTTAGTTTACCAGTTTTCTTTGAGACAGAGTTTCGCCCTTGTTGCTCAGGCTAGAATGCAATGGTGCGATCTTGGCTCACCACAACCTCTGCCTCCTGGGTTCAAGCAATTCTCCTGCCTCAGCCTCTTGAGTAGCAGGGATTACAGGCAGGTATCACCATGCCCAGCTAATTTTGTATTTTTAGTGGAGGCGGAGTTTCTCCATGTTGGTCAGGCTGGTCCCAAACTCCCAACCTCAGGTGATCCACCCGACTCAGCCTCTCAAAGTGCTGGGATTACAGGCATGAGCCACCGTGCCCAGCCACCAGTTTTCAAAACAGTGAATTGATTCACTAGCATCCTCCAGTGGTAACCAATCAGACTTTTAAAAAATTATCTTTGTGAACTCATTGATTTAAACATATTTGATGTGTTTTAATGCACTGCAGTTATTAGCCTTATTGATATTCAAATAGTCCAATTTTGGCCATTGGGAGTGTCCTCAAGTTGATTTATCAGTTCCTTTTTTATGAGAAAACCCAAAACTTTCCGGAAACATCACTTGGACAGTTTCTTCTCTTATCTCACTGGCCTGAGTTGTGTCAAATGGCCACCCTGAGCTGGAAGATGGCAATGGATGGAGTTTGGATCATTCATACTCTCCTCAAAGAAGTTTTCTCCTGATGCCCCACCTAAAGAATGCACCCCCTATTATTCTGCAGAATGATATCCTGTTTATTTGCTTTATACTACTAATCATAAACTGTAGTTACTGTATTTGTTCATTTGTTAAGGGTCTGACTCTCTCAGTGGGTTGTAAGCTTCATGATGTTTCCCTAGCACAACATTCACAGGTGCTCATAAAATTTACTTAATAAATATATGTCGAATTAATAAAATAAATAAGGTAGAGACCATTTTATTCCTATTGTGTCCACTCTCCAATACAGCATCCATTATTTACATGTTGCTATTTAAATTTAAATGTAAATTCATTAAAATAAAAAATTAAAAATCCAGTTCATTACTCTCATTAGCTATATTTCACGTACTTGAAAGCTATGTGTGGCTAGTGACTATCACATTGCACAGTGTAGATACGATGTATTTCCCCCATCAGAGAATACTATTGGATAATGCTGGAGAGAAGAAACTGGCTATTAGATAAATCAACTTAATTAAGGTCATAGTTACTAAGATTACACAGCCACTAAGAGAAGGAGCTGGATTCAAACCTACGTCTGAGTGACTTCAGAAATAGAACTCATAACACCATAACATAGTTATCACTGTTGTTATTACTTGATTAGTCCTGCTTTCAATTTCAGCCTCTCTAGGGGAATTTATAGAGAGATTCAAGCCTCATTACCACATAGGTTAACTGACTATCTCAGTTTGCCTGGGTTGAGGAAGTTCCCAGGATGCAGAAAAGTCTCAGCAAACCATGCTACCTAATTATCAAAATCTTTATTGAGGTTTGTGGCAGGTAAATAGATGGGTTCACTCAACTCCATTTCGACCACTTTCAATATGCCCTGTTGCATGCTAGAAGTGAGAAAGTTGAAGTCTTTCCCCAGATTTCCTTACAGCTTCGGTCCTGTACATGGGCTAGCTCTGCCAAGCAGATGCACTTGGGCAACATCTGGAAGGCCTGATTGAGGAGGAGGCTGCACTTCTGCTGCTTTGTCTGGAAGGCAGTGCAGTGGCAGCAGAGGTCTCAGTGTCCTGTCCTTAATATCATGGACTTGGAGAGGCAGAATATGGGGCATGCGTTTTGCGTGTATAGATTTGACCCGAGATGGTCAGTCCTGAAGCCAGCAACAGGAGCAGTGACTCCCTGATTTCTTGTTTTATGATTGTAACAGAAGTAGCTACTCCCTTAGTAAGATGATTCTGTTGTGGAAAGAATACCACCCAAGAGAGTCATTACTGGGAGCCAAGCCAGTAATGGCTGTTTTTAGCTTTTCCAGCGATTTTACTCACCCAATTTCCCATATTGATTCATTTTATGCTAAAACGAGTTAAAGTGGTGAGATATAGTGATATAAGAAATGTGTATTTGGTTTATTCTCCCAGTTCCTGACACAGAGCTCCTAATCCTTTGGAATTTCCCGAGTGATAGGAGTGTCTTTTGTTCTAATGGAGCGAGTCTTGGTGGACTCCTGGATGGAGACTGGTCACCAGAAAGACTAAGCCATAATTAGAAACTTTGAACTTTCCAACTCACCCCCCATCCTTTGGGGAAAGCTGGAGATTGGGTTAATTGATCATGTCTACCTGATGAAGTTTGGTGAGCTTCCAGGTTGCTGAACATGTGGAGATGTCTAGATGGTGGTAAACCTGAAGAGATCATAGGAGCTTTGCTTTCCTTCCCATATACTTTGCCCAGTGTATCTCTTCATCTGGCTGTCCATCTGTATTCTTTATAATGTCCTTTAAAATGACTGGTAAGTATAAATAAATTGCTTTCCTGAGTTCTGAAAGCCATCCTAGCAATCAGACCTGAGGAATTTGTAGCTGGTTGGCGAGAAGTACAAGTCACAACCTGGGACTTATGATTGGCATTTGAAGTGGGGCACAATCTTGTGGGCCTGAGCCCTTAACCTGTTGGATCTGATGTTATCTCCAGGTAGCCAGTGTAAGAACTGAACTGTAGGACACCCAGTTGGTGTCCACTGGAGAATTGCTTGGTGTGTGGGGAAAAGTCCCCACATATATTAGTCACAGGATTGTTCTATGTTGTGTTGTGTATGAGAGGAGAAGGAGGAAGTTTGTTTTTTCCCTTACAAGTGGGTTTTTATTATTATATGCAGCTGATGACCACTTACTATTCAGAGGGGATTTCATCTGGGAAACAAGACAGCTATAAGAAACCTGAATGAAATATGAATATCTAGCATACTAGGCCCCTGATACAAGATTCTCCTTATCACTGCTATCATTCTTTAAGAACTGTGCATAGATCCTATTCACCAGAATCCTGAAAATACTTGAAATTTGATTTCAAAAAGTTGACTATATGTGTATACACACACAAATACACACAAATACTCCTCGACTTGCAGTGGGGTCATGTCCCAATAAACCCATCATAAGTTGAAAATATCATAAGTGAAAAATGTATTTGCCACCTAACCTACCGAACATCATAGCTTAACCTAGTCTACCTTACATGTGCTCAGAACACTTACATGAGCCTATAGTTGGGCAAAATCATCTAACACAAAGCCTATTTTGTACTAAAGTGTAGAATATCCCACGTAATTTATAGAACATTGTACTAAAAGTAAAAAACAAAGGTTGTATGAGTACTTGAAATATAGTTTCTACTGAATGCCTACCACTTTTTCAGCATTGTAAAGTTGAAAAATTGTAAGTTGAATTATTGGAAGTTAGGAACTATGTATACAAAATAGAAAACATTATATTAATAGTTGGAAAAAAATTTTAAGGGCAAAAAGTCTCTTTCAGAAACAAAAATAAGATAATAGGTTGAAGAATATCAATAAGAAATAAAGGAACCTAGTAATTTTTATGAAAGGTAATGCTATGCAGGCAATGGAATATTATACCAGGCATTTGCAACCATGGTGTAAAGTCTGCAGGTAAAGGGAGATACACTGTCTTTTGGGAGGTACTACAGCTGAGTTATGGAATGTATAGGTGTAAAGGGGAAAAAAACCCTGATTTTCTCTCTACTCTCATACTCACCACACAGAACACTTTTGTGACCAGATGTGTGGGAGTTTTCCCCACATACCAAGCAATTCTCCAGTAGATACCAACTGAGTGTCCTACATTTATACGTAGAGATAGTGTCAGATTCCAAAGGTTGAAGACTCAGTCCCATAGGACTACTCCCACTTCAGATAGCCATTGCAAGTCAAGTCCTAAGTTGTGACTTGTGCTTCTGAATAAGCAGCTGTATTAGTCTGTTCTTACATTGCTATAAAGACATACCTGAGACTGGGTAATTTATAAAGAAAAGAGGTTTAGTTGGCTCACAGTTCTGTGGGCTGTACAAGCTTTCTGGGGAAGTGTCAGGAAACTTACAATCAGGCAGAGGGTGAAGGGGAACCAGGCACATATTTACGTGGCTGGAAAAAAGGGGAGTGCTACATATTTTTAAACAAGCAGCACCAGGGGGATGGTGCTAAACCCATAGATCCAATTACCTCCCACCAAGTCTCTCCTCCAACACTGAGGATTACAATTCAACATGAGATTTGGGTGGGGGCACAAAGCCAAACCATGTCATTCCACCCCTGCCCCTCCCAAATCTCATGTCCTTCTCACATTTCAAAACACAATTATGGCTTCCCAATAGACCCTCGAAATCTTAACTCATTCCAGCATTATCTCAAAAGTCCAAGTCCAAAGTTTCACCTGAGATTAGGCAAGTCCCTTCTGCCTATGAGCCTGTAAAATCAAAAACAAGTTAGTTATTTCCAAGATACAATGGCAGTACAGGCATTAGGTAAATGTTCCCATTCCAAAAAGGAGAAATTGGCCAAAACAAGGGAGCTACAGGCTCTGTGCAAGTCCAGAATCCTGCAGGGTAGTCATTAAATCTCAAAGCTCCAAAATAATCTCCTTTGACTCCATGTCTCACATCCAGGACACACTGATGCATGGGATGGGCTCCCAAGGCCTTGGGCAGCTCTGTACCTTTGGCTTTGCAGGGTACAGCCCTTGTGGCTGCTTTCACAGACTGGCAATGAGTGCCTGTGCCTTTTCGAGTTGCATGGTGCAAGCTGTTGGTGGATCTACCATTCTGGGGTCTGGAGGATGGTGGCCCTCTTCTCACAGCTCCACTAGGCAGTGCCCCAGTGGGGACTCTATATGGGGACTCCAACCCCACATCTCCCCTTGCACTGCCCTAGTCAAGGTTCTCCATGAGGGCTCCACCTCTGTACCAGACTTCTTCTGCTTGGACATCCAGGCATTTCCAAACATCCTCTGAAATCTAGGCAGAGGTTTCCAGGCATCAATTCTTGCCCTCTGTGCTTAATAACACATAGAAGACACCAAGACTTGCAGCTTGCACCCTTTGGAGAAGTGGCCTGAGCTGTACCTTGGCCTCTTTTAGCCATGGTTGGAGCTGGAGCAGCTGTGATGGAGGATACCATGTACCAAGGCTGCATAGAGCACTGGGACCCTGGGCCTGGCCCACGAAACCACTCTTCCCTACTAGGCCTCCAGGCCTGTGATGGAAGGGGCTGCCTTGAAGGTCTCTGAAATGCCATGGAGGCATTATCCCCTTTGTCTTGGCTATTAACATTCAGTTCCTCTTTACTTATGCAAATTTCTGCAGCTGGCTTGAATTCCTCCCCAGAAAATGGGTTTTTTTTTTCTACCACATGATCAGGCTGCAAATTTTCCAAAATTTGCATGAATATAAGCATATGCTGTTAGAAGCAGCCAGGCCACATGTTAAACACATTGCCGTTTAGAAATTTCTTCCACCAGATAACCTAAATCATCTCTCTCAAGTTCAAAGTTCCACAGATCTTTAGGGCAGGGCACAATACCTCCAACCTCTTTGTTAATGAGTAACAAAATGACCTTTGCTCCAAATAAGTTCCCAATAAATTCCTCATCTCCATCTGAGACCATCTCAGCCTGGACTTCACTGTCCATATCACTATCAATATTTTGGTCACAACTTAACAAGTCTCTAGGGAGTTCCAAACCTTCCCTCATCTTCCTGTCTTCTTCTGAGCACTCCAAACTGTATCAACCTCTGCCCGCTACCTAGTTCCAAAGTTGCTTCCACATTTTCAGGTATCTTTATACCAATTGCCCTCTTCTCTGGTACCAATTTTCTGTATTAGTTCATTCTCACATTGCTATAAAGACATACTGGAGACTGAGTAATTTATTTTAAAAAGAGGCTTAATCAGCTCATGGTTCTGAGGCTTCTGCTTCTAGGGAGGCCTCAGGAAATTTACAACCATGGCAAAAAGTGAAGGGGAAGCAGGCATAGCTTCACATGGCTGGCAGGTTGCAGGGGAGGTGCTACATACTTTTAAACAAGCAGCACTAGGGGGATGATCCTAAACCATTAGAAACTGACCCCATGATCCAACCACCTCTCACCAGGCCCCTCCACCAACACTGGGGATTACAATTTGACATGAGATTTGGGTGAGGACACAAAGCCAAACCATATCACCAGCTATATATTAAGGTTCCCATGACTCCTCACCTTGGGTTCAGTAATTTGCTAGGAGAGCTCACGGAACTTAGAGAAATACTTTACTTACATTTACCAGTTGATTACAAAGGATATTACAAAGGATACAGATGAACAACCTGATGAAGGGATATCTTGATACAGTTAGGATATTTGTCCCTGCCCAAATCTCATCTTGAATTGTAATCCCCAGTGCTGGAGATGGGGCCTGATGGGAGGTGTTTGTATCCTGGGGGCGGATCCCTCATGGTTTAGTGCTGTCTTCATGACAGTGAGTTCTCGTGAGATCTGGTCATTTAAAAGTTTGTAGCACCTCCCTCCCAATTCTCTCTCTCCTGCTTGCTCCTGCTGTTGCCATGATGTGCCTGAGCCCCCTTCACCTTCTGCCATGATTGAAAGCTTCCTCAGGCCTCCCCAGATGCCGAGCAGATGCCAGCACCATGCTTCCTGTAAAGCCTGCAGAACCATGAACCAATTAAAACTCTTTCCTTTATAAATTACCCAGTCTCAAGTGTTTCCTTATAGCAATGCAAGAATGAACTAATACATACATAGAGCAAGGCATGGATGGGCGACTACCCTCCCAGCACCTTTATGTGTTCAGCAACCTGGGAGTTCATTAAATTGCATTATTCAAGAGTTCTAGAGAGCTTAATCTCTAGCCCCCACCCCTTTCCTGGAGGTTGGTGGGTGAGGCTGAAATTTCCAACCCTCTAATTCCCTAATCACTTGATTTTTCTGATGTCTGGCCCTATCCTGAGTCTATCACAGGGGGCCCACCACAAGTCAACTTATTAGCATAAAGTCAGGTATGATAAAAAGAGGCCATTATGAATAACAAAACACTCCTTTTTTTCCCCACACTCCGGGAAATTTTGAGTGTTTCAGGATCTCTGACAGGAATTGGGACAAAGACCAAATATATTTTGTTTTATACCACAGTAAGTTCTGGAGCCATCCAGACCTGTGTTCAAATGTCAGTGACACTATTATCCACTGTGTGAACTTGGATAAGCTAATGAGCCTCTATAAGCTCCAGTTCCCTAATCTGGAATATGAGGATAATAATAGTACCCAATTCACATGGCTATTGTGATACTTATTTTAAAAAAATGATATTTATAGTGTGCTTAGGACAGTATATGGCACATGAGGATTTAATACATGTTAGATAATATGACTGTTATAATTTTGCTAAACTCAGCTCCATTCTTGAAATTATGTCCAATACTTGGGGTCATTCTGATTACAGCCTATCAAATTTCTAGGCAGCCATGCACCATCCCCCTCCATATCATAATTAGTAGGTGCTCAAAAAATATTAGTGCCTAACAGGAAGTTTATTCACGTGGGGTGCGTTTCACTCCTGCACACACAGTTATTACTGGTAGTGGCAGCTGCTGATGCTATATTTTCCCCTCTTTGTTGACCAAAATAAAACGAAAAAAAAAAATAGACAACAAGAGTATCTTGGGTATGTGTTTGAAGAAAGTACTCCATCACGAGAGAGAAAGAATCGTAAAGAGAAAGGGATTACTCTCATGTGGTCAATTTGAGAAAGCGCAAGAACTGGGCTTGGCTTCAGCTTGCCCCCAGTAGAGCATTCTTTCATACATTCCCACTGACCACAAAACCCACACCACTACCTCACTGATGCTATACCTGCTAACTCCAAGGCTTTAGTCACACAAAGAACACAGCCATTCTTCTTTGCTCTCATAATGTTTAACCATGTCTTTTACTTACAGAATTTCAGAAACTGGCTTTGGGGGATCCAAAATCAAACCAAGGTTGCAGAGTGTCCTACCTGGGAAGGAATGCCGAAAATCTGATTTAAACCCTCTTTGCTGCTCCCAGATAACCAGTTGGCCCATTACTCAAGAAAAACATAGCAACGCGCTATGCTACATACCCTACCCCTCACATGCTTTGTCCAGCCCAGCCTGCATATCTTACCCCTATTGTCAATTCCAGCACTTTGTCTCATAAAAAATCCCTACCAGCTCTTTTTCAGAGAGTCACCAGAAGGTCCTTGTGCCTCTGCTGTCTCCCTTGCACTCAAGCACAAACACCAGATAAAAGCCTTGTCTGAGGAATCTGCTTGGCTCCATGTTAATTTTTATTACATGGGGAGCCTCTGGTCTGTAACAAATTATTGTGAAAGACTGATGATTAGACAAACTGGCCTAAACTTTCTCCAATGGTTTGTTCCAGTGAATAATTTTCCTTACACTTGATTTGCCCTACTGGGGGGATAGGTTCAATTCATTCTTTCAATCAACAAGTATTTATGAATTACCTACCATATTTATGATATGAGATACACTGTGAATACCTCTTCTACATCTACTCCAACCTTAATTAACTTCTATTCAATATTCAGAACTCAGTTTAAATACCACTTCCTCTGATGAAACTTATATTTAGGCCAGGTCAGCCTGGTATGTACTCTCATGGCACTAGGGGGTCTTATATTTTATGCATTTTGAAGTATGCACTAATGTCTTTGCTTTTTTGGTGAGTGTGTGCTTAAGGCCTGTCTTTTCTGTAACACAGATGAAGACAGGGACTTTGCTTTTGCTCAAGATTGTAACTCTGGTACTTATCTTCGTACTTAAGTGAGAGGCTCTGATGAATGAGTTATCAGAATCTCACTATAACACTACTCACCAAAGTACTTTTTGTTTGTGGTAACCTCTGACTGCCAGGGGCACCTACAGAAAGTATGGTGATGAAAATCTGTACCTGAAGGTAGTCTCTTGTATGAGGTAACCCCATGGTGAATCTCTGAGGAAGTTATAAACACCAATAACAAAAAAGCAGAAATGAAAAAATAAAAAAAGAAGTTCATCCTGGGTCAATATTATTCTGGTAGTCAACATTCTAATAATTCTTTTAAAACTATGTCTTGATGTGTGCCCTTTTTCCATGATCACACCATAGCTAATGTGGTTAAGCAGATAAAGACTTAGGCATGTTTGACTTTATTTTCACTTTAGCAAATAATTAGAATTTCTACCGTGAAAACATGCAATGACGTCATGGTAGAGAGGTTTTATCAGTGTGTCTTCAGAAAGTAACAATAAATTACAAGTCTGATGTAAAGTTATTAAAAACTAGGTTACAAACCCACATTGCAGACTTCCTTCTTTAATCAAGAGGAAACTATAAACCAAAAATAAAATTCTAAGCCCCTCAGCTGACTGAATGGATCCCCCTTGGCCAAAGGGATTCAAAAAAACACCTGAAAAACTAGTTCAGGCCATGATGGGAAAGAGGGGGTGAAACATGCCTCATTATACCCTCCTTCCTTTTGAGTTTAGACACAACTGACCAGAACTGACATTAAAACAGGAATCTTAAGACTGTCAAGACAAAATCTTGGTAGCAGTAAGACAACAGATTCCAATCTGACTCTGGTATAACATCACGTGACAGCCAGTGGGCCCTGAAGGAAATCAAATTATTTTACCTCAAATTATATTTCTTTACATATTTTGAAACGGCCCTGCCAAGCTGTCACTTGTGGGTGAAAAAATTATGTTCTGTAAAGATTCCCTTATTAGGTCTTTTCCAGAAAGTCTGACAATTTTTAAGGTCCAATAAAAGACATTCACATCTATTCTCGCTGAAGCCTGGAGGCTTCATATACATGATAAGAACGTTGGTTTCCACAAAGCACCCCCTTACCTTAATTTAAGCTGACATCAACTCTTGGGGCGGAGCTTAACTCTGTCAACAAACTGCCAATCAGGAAATCTTTGAATCCACTTATGACCTGGAAGCTCCTGCTTCTAGATGTTCCACCTCTCTGGGCCAAACCAATGTATACCTTGCATGTATTGATTTATGTCTTTGCCTGTAACTTCTGACTCCCTAAAATGTATAAAATGAAGCTGTACCCCAACCACCTTGGGTATATGTTCTCAGGGCCTCCTGAGGCTGTATGGGCAATGGTCCTTAACCTTGGCAAAATAATCCTCTAAAATTGAGACATGTCTCAAATACTTTTTGGTTTACAAAACCTTTCCCAGAATCCCCCAGGCTTTCCCTCATATTTCATTGGCCAGACAGTTCCTAAGTCAATCACAAACTTAGACCAATCAAAACTGCTCTCCTGAGACTGGGCCCGCTTCCCCAGGGAGTTTTACTGTCCATGGTCAACAAAAACTGGGACCTCTGAGCCAGGAACTAGGAACCTACTTTGAAGACAATCCCCACTGTCTGCTCCTATTCTACTCTGCAGCCTCAGCTTCTTCATCTCTACAATGAGGGGAAATTGCATCCTTCACTGACTCCACACACACTTTTTCAGCTCCCATTTTGTGTCCAGTACTGCGTTGAGTCCTGGGGATTCAAAGATTCCGTTCTTCTTGTTTGGGTAGCTGAGACCTATCAGAAGTGCTTCAGGGGCCAGGTATTTAAATTTATACATCTAAGTATATAAATTTATCCTACTTGCTTTCTAATTCAAACTTTTAATTTAAAACACACACACAGCTGGTCAAAATGAACACATTTTGGCTGGGGGGAGTGGGGGGATTTGGTTTCTTGTTTGCAGGTCCTTGAGGATTCCCCTGCCAAAAAAATTGCAATGAAACGTGTTAAGTGTAGTATTAGACTGAGATAGGCAAAGAGTGATATGGCTTACACCAGAGAGGCACCCAACCCAGCCTGGGAGTGATGCAGCTCAGGATGGAATGGGGATATGCTTAGATCTGCATGTTGAAACCACATCCCCAGCTGCACGACCTGGAAACATAGAAATCAGCCCAGCCACACCTCTCCCTTACCCTCCCATTGACCAAGTCCTATAGATTCTAAAATAATTCTTGAATCCACCCAGTGCTCTTATTCCAACTGCTGTGTCCTTCACTCAGTCCCTTATCACTTCTTACCTGTTTTTTTCCAGTAGTCTTCTTGGTCTCCCTGACTAGGGATCTCCTTCCCCAATCTCCTTTCTGAGGCTGCTGCTGAGGATCCTCCCACAATGAAAATCTAGTAGTTCTTATGCTGCCTAAAACTCTTCAGTAGTTTCCAATGGCCCTCAGTTAAAAGTCCAAACTCGTTCCTATGGGATAGAAAGCCATTTGAGATTTGGATCCTATTCAATTGAAACCACCTTTGCAAGAAATATAACAGTGAGAAAATTATGATAGTGAAAGAGATCTGATCTAACCAACTGCCATCTTGCCTTTACCCTCCAAACTGTCTTTAATCATTCCTGGGCTTGAGCCAAGCTAACTTTGGGAGACGTTTAGTTTATAGTTTAAATGATAGTAGCCCTTCCCCAAAACTAAACCATCTTTATAGGTTAGGCAGATAAGAGAAGCCTGAATTCTGCTAAAGTGTAGACATAAATGATTACTAGTCATTATTCCAGAAGTCACAAGATTTACAACTTTCACAAATACTCCTGCAGATAACATTACTATTGTAGAACCTAAGATTGGCCTTTTGAGATGTCTTTTCAGGGTTTTGCATTTTTGACAACCAGTGGCTCCACGTGGACCTGCCAACCCATCCTGTGGCCCCTCCCAGAGGCAGACTCAGCACATATGCAGAAGGACCATTTTCCACACTCCTATGATTGCATCCCCAGCCAATCAGCAGCACTCCATTCCCTGGACTGCCAAACTATCCTTGAAAAACCACAGCCTCTGAATTTTCAGGGTGACTGATTTGAGTAATAAAACCCCAGTCTCCTGTTCAGCTGGCTCTGCATGAATTAACTCTTTCTCTTTTGCAATTCCCCTGTCTTGATAAATCGGCTGTATCTGGGCAGCAGGTAAAATGAGCCTGTTGGTTGGTTACATAAACTTTTCAGCCATTACTGCTCACCTTCTCCCTTCTCAGGCTGCTCTTCAGCCTTGTGGAACTCCTGGCAGTTTCCCAAAAATGCCAGGTTGTTTCAAATGCACCCACAGAGTCTTGGCTCCTTCAGTTCTGAGTAGATTCTTTTAAACCTTCCCTCCCTATTCACCTGAAGAAAGGCCAATATTATTCAAAATTCAGTTTAAGGGTCATTTCCTCCCTGAAACCTGTTTTAGCTTCCACCTCAGCACCACTCCCCCATAAACCCCCACCCCTGACTCTGTCATTGCTCACTCTCTGGGGTCTTCTGGAGTTACCTCCCGCAGCATAGATGGCATACTTTGCTTCCTTCATTGTTTCTCCAAGCCATGATGATCATCTGCATCAAATCCCCTGTTTTTGAAAAAGTTATTTTTTTAATTTTAAAAATATTTATTATCATCTTCGTTATCATCATCATCACCTACTGATGAATCAGTCTATGGGAACTGGACCCAGAATCTGTGCTTACAAAATATCCTGGGTTGCAAGTTACACTGCATGTTCATTTTTTGCAAAATACCTTGAGCTTTATAAGATATGCATACTTTTCTGTATGTATGTTAGTTTTAATACAAATTTAAAAAGGAAAAATTCCCTAGGTTATTCTTACATAACACTGATGCTGGAGAATCACTGACTTTTCTCTCTCTACTGAATTGTAAGCCCTTTGAGGGCAGTGAAGCCATCTATTTTGTCTTTGTATTCCCAGCATGCTTTAGTGCCTACAACATAGTACACACAATAAATGATTATTAAATAAATGAATAAGACCCAAGGGAGTGCACTGGTTTGTGGGTTCCCTTCTCCCTCACTCTCTTCCAAACATTTGTTGCATGCCCCTCCTGGAGGACATGACAGCTCACGCCTCAAAGTTACACCTCCTACACACACCCCTGAATAAACCTGTGAGATGCCACCTGGCTTCTTCCCTACCATACGCTGGGTGTAACTGATCCAAGCACCCAGCCTGACAAGGGTAGGAGAAAGGAAGCAGGTGGAGGACGTTCTGTCCCAGTACCAGTACTTTTGCCCTGCCTGGGTCTGAGCCACCTGGCTCAGGCCTTCCTCAGCAGGCCTGGGAATCCAGCTAGAAAAAATATGTCCTTGGAGATATTGCAATGCTAAAGCTTCTATTTGCATCTCTGATGTAATTTGCTTCCTAAGCCACTCAGCTCAATTATGTGGGAATTTGAAAATGATATATTTGAATATTTAGGAGTGGCTGGTGATTTTTAGCAAATTTACAGTAGAAAGTGAGGGGGACTCTGTGTGAAATATCATCTAAGTCAGGGGTGTCCAATCTTTTGGCTTCCATGAGCCACACTGGAAGAGGAAGAATTGTCTTGGGCCACACATAAAATACACTAACACTAATGATAGCTAATGAGCTAAAAAAAAAAAAGTCACAAAAATAAATCTCATGTTTATGAATTTGTGTTGGGCCGTATTCAAAGCCGTCCTGAGCCGCATGCAGGCTGTGGGCCACAGGCTAGACAAGCTTGATATAAGTCATTTATCCAGTCACAAATAATTACCAAGTGCCTCCTAGGGATAGAGTGATGAACAAGTCATCTGCCTTAAAGATGCTTACAGTGAAGTGGGGTAAGATGGGCAATCAAATAATAATAATGTCTTTTTCTAGCACTTACAATGTGCTGGACACTTTACATATGTTAACCTTAAATAATGAGATTTAGAGAACATGATTAAGTATGAAGTTTGAGTGCAAAGCTTGAGGATAGCCACCTGGAAACACTAACTCCAAATGAGTGGGATCAGTGCTCCAAAGTGGAGAAGTTAAGATTTCACTTATACTGGCAGAGATGGAGAAGTTCCAGCAGAATTACATTTTCCATACAAGACCAATGCATATGCCACAGCGATTTGATTGGTTGCAGACTGCTGCATTCCAAGGAAGATTATTACTCTGTGAGGAGAGGCAGTGATCCAAGGGATTAGTATCTCTGGCCCTGCTCGGTCTTCCTAATTATTTACAAGGAAAAAAGGCAAGCCCAGGCATGGTGGCTCATTCCTATAATTCCAATACTTTGGGAGGCCAAGGTGGGAGGATCGCTTGAGCCCAGGAGTTGGAGGCTACAGTAAGCTACGACTGTGCCACTGCACTCCAGCCTGGGTGAAGGAGTGAGACCTTGTCTTAAAAAAAAAAAAAAAAAAAGCAGAAGTTGTAGCTGCATAGCCACATTTCTCTCAAGTCTCACAAAAAAGTTCCAATAGCTTGAAGTTTGAATTAATTTTACGCATGTGTTATGCATTTCATCAGTCTAACAACTCAGTGATGTCCTATTATTCTCAAGTTACAAATGAGGGAACAGATGCATGGTATAGTTACAAAATGATAAGGAGTCATAAACAGAGTACAAGGAGTAGGAAGAGGGTATGGCAGGGAGACCTAATGTAGCCCTAAGGGTCAGGGAACATTTCTCTAAATATGAGAAGTTAAAGAGGAGATCTAAAGTTGGAGTCTAGTAGACAAAAGAGGTCTTAGAGAAGAGACTTCTCTAAGGCAATGGAAACAGCAGAATGTTGTTTAAGGAATTGAAGGCAGCACAGGGAGCCCCTGATGAGGCAGGAGAGGTAGGGAGGGGCCAGATCACCTGGGTTTTTTTCTCTGTCTTTAAATAGCATAAGGTTAGGGAAGCTAAGAGAGTTGAGATTTGGAGTTTAGTCCCACCTTTGCTCTTAATAACCTCAGCCATCTGTCTGCAGCTCAGTTTCCTGATACGAAAAAAGTATGCAAGAGTGGATAGACCAGAGTGCTCCAGTGGCCCCCATGGTTCTCAAGCTCTGATTCTAGGTAAGGCTCTGCTGGAAGGAATTGCCAGATGCAAGCCCTAGATGCTGCTGAATGCACTGAAGCCCAGGGGCCCAGCAACCCAGTAGCCAGCCAGCACCTGCCAGACTCTGACTCCTCTGTAGATTAATTGCAAATCACGGAGAATATCACAAAATAAATCACACAATAAATACGGCTGTAAGCATGGTTTGTTCCCCTGTCGAAACAAAGGGTGAACTGCTAATCATAATAGCGTAATAAGGAAAACTAGCTTTCTGAGCATTTACTGTGTGCCAGGATTGTACCAGGTACTTTTAGTAGATTTTCTCACAACAGCCCCATTATGGATAGGAAAGTGAGGCCTCAAGAGATTGCATAACTTTGGGAAGGTATTCACCACCCAAATTAGTCCTGCATAGTGAGCATGGACAGTCCCGTTTCCTATTGCTAGAAGTGTTACCTTGAGCATTAACGTTATCTGGGTTTGCTCAGTGGCTGAGTTGGAATTTGAACCCAGTGCTAACTCCAAAGCTCGTAGTGCTGGTCACCACGTGATGCCGCCTTCCCTTCTTAGAAGAGGCAACTCCTTACTCTATAAATAACATGACATTGTCTTTTGAAGTCCTTTCTGGGTGAGGAAAGTGCTTTTTATAGCATGGAATTGCTCCTGTTTACTTGATCTCTTTCAGCACCGATTAATCCTGCCTACAGTTTTGTCCTTCACTGTCCTTACACTGTATTCCTAGGTTTCCTCCCTGCAAAAGACAACTCCATGAGACCACATGGTGTTTGAGTGTGTGTGCGTGCCAGCAAAGAAATTTCACTCCCCTCCCTCCCCAAGTCTGCCAACTTTTCTATAAATAATTGTTCTCCCTCCCCTCAGGCCTCTAAGTAGTTTGGTCACTTAACCAAACGCACAGGCACACACGCGCGCGCGCGTAAGCACACACTCACAAAGCGGGGAGGGTAACGTGAATGACCTTGCAAAGGTATCTTGCTCACTGGGGACAGGATTAGCAAACCTGACACCTCTGCAAATAATTGTCTTCCTCCCGTATTCCTCCTGAAACGGTTCGCTCCTTTCGCTGTCTCTCCCAGACCCATCTGGTTTTCACATCGCCATACAAAGCCCAACCCGCCCATCTCCTCTCTGCAAGCCCAGAGAACTTGATTCCCCATGTTGAAACTCGTCGGTGGCGGTGGCGGGCAGGACTGGGCATGCTCAGTGGCGGGGACCAGTCTGGGAGGCGAGGAAGCCGCGTTTGAAGTCGCGCGGCCTGGGGATCAGGGGAAGGCGGGCGGCGGGAGCCCCGGCTGGGGGTGCGCGGGGATCCCCGATTCCGCGCCCGGGGCTGGCGTGCTCCAGGCCGGCGCCGTGGGGCCGGCGCGCGGGGGGCAGGGCGCAGAGGAGGTGGGGGAGTCGGCAGGAGGAGGGGAGGAGCGCCGGGTTCGCCATCCCCAGGCGCCGGCTCTGCGGCTGCTGAATCGGAAGCCGCAGGGAGGATCCGGGGAAATAAAGACGCCGGAGAATGACCTCCAGCGAGGCCGCCTGAGCCGGGGCCCGCGCACAGCCCCGCCAGCCCCCGGCATGGGCGACCGCAGCGGGCAGCAGGAGCGCTCGGTCCCGCACTCTCCAGGGGCCCCCGTGGGCACCAGCGCCGCCGCTGTGAACGGGCTGCTGCACAACGGCTTCCATCCGCCGCCAGTCCAGCCGCCGCACGTCTGCAGCCGGGGTCCAGTGGGCGGCAGCGACGCGGCGCCCCAGCGCCTCCCGCTCCTGCCGGAGCTGCAGCCGCAGCCACTGCTCCCTCAGCATGACTCCCCGGCCAAGAAATGCCGGCTGCGGAGGAGGATGGACTCGGGGAGAAAGAACAGGCCGCGTAAGTCCCGCTGGGAGGGGAGCGCGGGCGCAAGGCAGACGCAGCGTGCGGGGCCCGGGACTGGGAGCGGCTGAGGCAGGCGCCGCAGCACGCCCCGTGCGCCCCCGCGTCTGCGGTCGAG
The DNA here is from genome assembly GCF_000001405.40 of Homo sapiens. NCBI lineage: Eukaryota > Metazoa > Chordata > Mammalia > Primates > Hominidae > Homo > Homo sapiens. The sequence continues at coordinate 89,644,478 of NC_000010.11, read as the reverse complement.
GGACTGCACAGAGTAGGTTCCCGGGACTGATTCTTTTCCTAGGGGACATCAAGCACTACAGGTCTTTGCCTGAGCCTGCCCTTTGCTCGCTTCTATCAGTAGAACGAGGATTGGACACGAAGCTTGAGCGGGTCCCTAGGTCAAGGATATATAATAAGCGAACGCTCTGTCCGCCCTTCTAATTGGTGGCTGGGAAAACGCAGGTGTGTGAACATTTGCTGGGGTCCAGGAGTGAGGATAAAGTGGGCGGCACACCGAGGGTGCTCTCTCCTTTCTCACCCCTCTCGCTTCTCTGAGCGCGTCCTACTGGGGTTGCCTGCCCTTTGAATCACAGAGTAGCCAGCAGCGTCTCGGGTCTATTGGAGAGCGCAAGTCTGGAGGCGTGGAGTTTAACTACCCCCCAAAATCACAGCCTATTAGAAGCTGTTTCTTCACGGCCAATGAGAGGGTTTTTTGGGAGGGACACACCCACTGATACCATGTGGGCCGGAACTATGTGGACCAATGAGGATTGGAGGTGGATTTTTTTTTTCAACGAAGGGGGAGGTTGAGTTGAGGGTTTGTAATTGTAATGTACACCGGAGAAAGCCGAAGTGCATTATTTCACAATCTAAAGCTTGTATATATAATGGTAGTTTGTAAAGTGTACCTTCCCCACAGGACGCTGTGGGATGTAAATTTGTAGGTCGAGTTTACAGCTGGTTTTTCTTGACTGAAGCTCATTCAACTGGTTACTTCTTTGTGGGTGTCTTTAATGAAGCTTATAAATGGCAAAAAGCAAAGTAAGTACAGTAAATGCTAATAAATGACTGCATTTGCATAGAGGTTATGCTGTTCGATATAGGGAAATTGTTAAGTAGGTTTTGGATTTCTGTGAAAGTTTAATGTTTGGCAAATAACACCTTCACTTTTCCCTGTTTCTATGTCTTTTTGACTCTTAGCTTTTCTGTATTGGATTAAGGTTTCTAAGACCTTGGAAAGCCCTTTGACATGACTGTGGGTGACTCTGGTACTTGTATTTTGTGGGTTTGAAATGTTAAATTTGTAGGTTAAGATTTTGTGTGGAACTTTAAAGCCAAACAGCAGATTTGGCTACAGTTGTAAGGTGTAAGGTTGTAATCTAGCACCTGAATTTTTATTTGCTTTTGTTTTTGATACTTGTTAGAAAATGACTTTCATTAGTATTAATATTTTAAAAGTCAGGACTTAATATTGATTACCTGTGATTTATAAACCTGTTTCACTTATTTTGAAGCTATACTTCAGTTATTTCTCTTATCTACATTGACAGATTGTACTAGAGTTTGCAATGAAAATAGCTAAAATATAATGAAAGGGAGCTTCTAGCTTAATCTTCTATGTTTAATTGAGGATATAACACCTCTTGAAATAACTTCTGAGGAATTGAAAATACACCCTCTAGGAATATCTTGAAGACAGAGAAAAACTAACCTGAGCCTTAACTTGTGCTTGCAAACCCACAGAAATTATTTTAAAATACAAGAAAATGTAACTATCTGCCTGTGTGCTTTGTATCAGAAATTAAAGTGGTTTATGTTTCTTACAGAATAAAAATCCTAGTTGTTTTAAGTTTCATGACCACGATTGTTACTTATAATTTTTAAAAAACGGTTCGTCAAAATTGGATTTACATTATTTACCATGTTTTCTTCTCTCAGATTTGAACAATCATGTCTGAAATAAATTTTACATGTTCCTAGGAGTCACATCTGGCCTTTTCACTACCAAAATTTCTTAGTTAAAAATGGCTTAACTTAATATCTTTGTGCCTTGCCTATTGACATTCACATATCTTTATAAAAAGAATATTGTCCAATCAGTTGATATTTAGTTACTCTAAGAGGAATTAGGTACTCTAAGAGGAATATTTAGGTACTCTGTGAGTATTTACATACTCTAAGCTTATTCCTATTTGCTGATGACTGACAGATTTTACAGGAACGATTTTTGCAAAGAGTAGTTGTGTGCTTTAAACGCAAACTTTAGTGTGTGCTGGTGGCGAAGCATCAAGCTAGACACATAATTATTTCCTCCTGGTCAGTTACAACAGTTTGGCCTCTGTCCCAACAAGATGTGTGTTAAGATAGCCAGTGTTAACACTTGTAAATGCACCTGGAATGCATGTGTGGATAGGTGTGTTTCTATTTTGTAGTATTGTAGGTAAAGGACAATACACATTAAAATACTTCATGTTTGAAAATGATGGATGGAATAAAACAGATCAGTATTTTTAGATTATTTAACAAATTTTAATCTGACCTCTCAGTGCCGAGACTATTCACCATCCTACAATCTAAAAGTCAGACCAGTGGCAGGTTAATTTTGCTAAACCAGGAAAGGAGAATGTTGTCCACTCTTTTCATCTAAAGTGCCATCACCTCACTCTACTTATTCTTGGAAGGCTTTTCTTAGACTATCTACTTACTATCAGGTTTCCTTAGGTACTTTACCCACCTCTGCTACTTAGCAGCAGTGTGATCTTAACCAAGTTACCAAGTCACATCTTGAACTGCTGGAGCTAGGCTAGGTGATCTCCAAGTGCTGTTTCCTGTACCTTCAGAATTCTATGACACTTCAGAGCTGACAGTTCTTCCTACTAGATGATACTAGTTATCTGCTGTGCCACTGATTTAACATTTAATTGTGAATGGACTTTTTTGCCTTGTGCTGATTTTTTTTTATTTTATTTATTTATTTATTTATTTATTTATTTATTTATTTATTTTGAGACGGATTCTCGCTCTGTCGCCGAGGCTGGAGTGCAGTGGCACGATCTTGGCTCACTGCAAGCTCCGCCTCCTGGCTTCACGCCATTCTCCTGCCTCAGCCTCCCAAGTAGCTGGGACTACAGGCGCCCACCACCACGCCCAGCTAATTTTTTGTATGTGAGTATCATCTGAAGGGCTCAAGGGCATGTGCTACCTTATGTGTGGCAACAGGCAGGAATAATGAGTAGATGCATGCAGTCAGCCTTCTGGTCGGAGGTTCTGACTTCTCAAATCATCCAGATAGCAGAAAATGAGTGAGAGTTCATTATGCAGGTAGCATACTGGTGGGTACAGACTGAAAAACCCCAAATCTGTTACCAGTTTTAGCCATCATTGTGAAAGTATAAGGCTTTAATTTCCTAAATATTGGGATGTTTAGCTTTGGAACTTGGACTTTACATTACCCTTGAATTGGGCTAATTAGAAAAACCAGTATAAAAAAGATAAATAAGGAAAATTTTCTGGTTGTATCTGCATAGAGTATGGATGCATACAGTATTTTTAACAATTAATTTTAACATAATCAATACTTCTACATGGATAAGAGACATTGCAAGTTCAAAAACAAAAGACTAAAAGGGAAAGCAGGAGCACACTCTAGTATTGCTACCTTCTAGAGTGTGGTCAAATTCCCAAGTTTGTCAATTAAGCTATGAATTGTACAATACACATTTGAATTGATGATTAATAATTTAAGGCCCAAGTGTCCAGTGTCCAACTGGTTAAGGATCAGGATTCTATTAAGCATACAAACACTGCTTTTCCTCCAAAAGACCAGTAAGTGAGTTTCAACATTAATATAATACAAAGCATATTTTATTTGGCATGGTGACCAAAGACAGGAACAGTGTTGTTGGTTCTTGATATGTGAGACATTTAACAAGTGACTAAAAACCTTTCATGGTTTTGGAGACAGAATAAGTAGGGGAAACAAATAAGTATTGGTTTTAACTGACAGGCTGTTTTGTCTGTGTGGGATAGCCTGCATTTTAATATTTTGTGTGTATATATGTTAAGTATGAGCCAATTATCATGAAAATTAATCAGGGCTTGACTTCTAATATATTTAACTACATATGCTTTAGGTTTAATAGGTAAGCCAGTATTCATCTTGGGACCTTGGGATGACAAGTATTTAGTGTATCCACTGTGGCATACAGAATTTCTAAGTAGACCTTTTCTCTAGATAGTGCAGCTGTCAAGCTTGGTATCTCTTTACTTAATTTATGACACCTTTTAAATGCCTAGAGTTGTTGGGTAATCGTGTGTGTGTTTGTGTGTGTGTGTGTGTGTGTGTATTCTCTCCTTGAGAGTACATTTGAGAGTAGTAGATGATTCAAAGGGGCAAAGAAATATTATTTAAAGAGAATTACATCAAAACAATGACCTGAACCTCTAACAGATTTCTCTGTTGTTAGGAAAGAAGGTGGAAAAAGTCATGACAGTAGCTTCGATTTACCCAGTAATGAAAGTAGCTATTATTGAGTGACATCTCTGTGTCCATTGTTCTGTATGTGCTTTTACAAAAGCATGCAGTTCCCACTCCTACTCTCTATTTTAAAGATGGGCAAAGAGAGGCTCAAAGAAGTAAAGCAACCTGTCCAAAGACCTGTTATCAGTGAATGACAGGGCCAAAATTGTAACCCAAGTCTATCTTCCTTGCCAACTGGCTTTGTTTTCTATCACAATAAGCCTATTATTTATGTTGGGAAAAAAAAGTGTGTTCTGTAAAACTTTCGGAAAAGATAGGTCCATGTAATCTGTACACCTTTGGCAAAATGCTCATCCATGTGTCTGTGGAGGTAACAGTGGCCAACATTGAGGAGCACTTACTATGTGCTAGGCACTAAGTTAGACACATGGATTCTCTCATCAAATACTCCCAGCAGCCTGTGAGATAGGGGCTGTCATTCTCTTCCTTTTACAAATGAGGAAACTGAGGGCTCAGGACTCAGGGTAAAACTATTTAAGATTTTGACTTTGCTGGGCAGGGCCCTAGTGGGTTCCATGAAGCAAGTGTGGGTAGGGTTCTGTGGTGTAAAGAGCTTTGTTGCCACCAGGCCTGGATTCAGGTCCGCATTTCCTACTTACTAGCAATGAAGCCTTAGGTGAGATTCTTAACTTCCTCAAGGCTCACTGTTGAATAGAGATAATGGTGGCCATCTTATCAGTTGTAGTAAGAACCCAATGTGGAAAATGTATATCAAGTATAGTACCATGCCTGGACCCTAGTACATGCATAGTAAAAGATATCTTACTATTTACCACGGTTTGAATGTGTCCCCCAGAACTCATGTGTTGGAAATGTAATCTCCAATGCAACAGTGTTAGAAGGTGGGGCTTAATGGGGGATGTTTAGGTCATGAGGGCTTCACCCTCATGTATGGGTTAATGCCAATTGTAAAAGGACTTGAGGCTGCAAGTTCAATCTCTTGCCCTTTCTCAAGCATGCTCTTTTGCCTTTCTGCCATGGGATGATGCAGCAAGAAGGCCTTCACCAGATGCAGTCCCTCGATCTTGGACTTCTCAGCCTCCAGAACTGTAAGCCAAATAAATTTCTGTTCATTATTAATTACCCAGTCACAGGTATTCTATTATAGCAACACAAACTGGACAAAGACAGAAAACTGGTACTGAGAAATGGGGCTGTTGCTATAACAAATACCTGAAAATGTGAAAGCGGTTTTGGAACTGGGTAACAGGTAGAGGCTGGAAGAATGTGGGGAAGCAGGCTATGAAAAGCCTATGTTGCTATGAAAAGCCTATGTTGCTATGAACAGAGCATTAAATGTGGTTCTGGTGAAGGCTGAGAAGAGGAGGAGAGCTGTAGTAAAAGTCTAAATCTCCTTAGAGATTACTTATGTGATGGTGATGAGAATGTTGGTAGAAATAAGAGCAATAAAGGCAATTCTGATGAGATCTCAGATGGAAAAGAGGAATAAGGTATTGGAAAGTGGAGTAAGGACCAGCCTTGTTATGAAGTGGCAAGGAATTTGGTTGAATTGTGTCTACACCCTAGGCTTTATGGAAGGCAGAATGTAAGAGCAATAAACTACGATATTTGATGGAAGAAATTTCTAAGCAAAATATTAACTGCATACAGGAAAATAAGAGAGAAATGACTTAAAGATAAAATTTATAATTAAAAAGGAAACAGAATTTAGGGATTTGAAGGATTCTCATCCTGGCCATGTGGTAGAGAATGAAAGAACATTTTCAGGAGAGAAGACCAAGGGTGTGGGCAAGCAACCAGTTGATAAGGAGATCAGTAGGGATAGAAGGAAGCCAGAGGCTGTTCATTAGGACAATGGAAGAATGACTCTGAAGGCATTTTGGAAATTACTGGTGCTGTCCCTCCCATCACAGGCACAGGGTGCCATGACCTCGGAGAAGGAAATACAGTCATGCCCCACATATAGACCTTTTCACCAAGGAAGGAGCACATATACAAAGGTAGTCCTATAAGATTATAATGGAACTGAAAAATTCTTATTGCCCAGTGGTATCATAACCATTGAACATCATAACTCAATGTGTTGCTCATCTGTTTTTGATGATGATGGTATAAACCTACTGGCTGCTAGTCATATAAAAATATAGCACACACAATTATGTATAATACATAATACCTTCTAGTGGGACAAGATGTGGGTGTGGAAGACCGTGATATTGATGACCCTGACTTTGTGTAGACCTAGGTTAATGTGTGTGTTTGCATCTTTGTTTTTAACAAATAAGTTTAAAAAGTAAAAAAAAAAACTAAAAAATTTTAAAAATAGAAAAAAGCTTGTAGAATGAGAATATAAAGAAAATATTTTTGTACACCTATACAATATGTTTGTGTTTTAAGCCAAGTGTTATTACAAGAGTCAAAAAATTTTTAAAATTAGAAAGTTTATAAAGTAAAACTGTTATAGTAAGCTAAGTATAATTGATTACTGAAGAAATAAATTTCTTTTTATAAATTTAGAGTAGCCTAAGTGAACAATGTTTGTAAAGTCTACAGTGTGTACAGTGATGTCCTAGGCCTTCACATTTACTCACCACTCACTCACCCAGAGCAACTGTCAGTCCTGGAAGCTCTTGTATGTGCCCTATACAGGTATGCCACGTTTTGTCTTTTAGACTGTACTTTTACTGTACCTTTTCTATGTTTAGGTATGTTTAGATACACAAATACTAACCATTGTTACAATTGCCTATAGTACTAAGCACAGTAACATGCTGTACAGGTTTACAGCTTAGGAACAATAGGGTTTACCATATAGCCTAGGTCTGTAGTAGGCTATAGCGTCTAGGGTTGTGTAAGTACACTCTATGCTGTTTGCACAATGACAGAATTGCCTAATGACACTTCTTTTCTCTGAAAATACCCGTCATTAAGTGACGTATGACTGTATATCAAAAGAGAGAACTAGTGTGCCCTCTGGATCTTGGAGTTCACTTCTCAGGGCTGCCTGAAGTCTCTGCTTGCCACATTTCATTACAGTGCTTCTTGCTCACCCCACCTGTGGCTCAACGGTGCTCAGGTGGGCCGGGTGCGGTGGCTGACGCCTGTAATCCCAGCACTTTGGGAGGCCGAGGCTGGTGGATCAGAAGGTCAGGAGATCGAGACCATCCTGGCTAACACGGTGGAACCCCGTCTCTACTAAAAATACAAAATAGCCAGGCGTGGTGGCGGGCGCCTGTAGTCCCAGGTACTCGGGAGGCTGAGGCAGGAGAATGGCATGAACCCGGGAGGCGGAGCTTGCAGTGAGTCGAGATCGCGCCACTGCACTGTAGCCTGGGCGACAGGGAGAGACTCTGTCTCAAAAAAAAAAAAGAGGGGTGCTCTGGTGTGGCTCAGGCCACAGCTTTGGAATGTGCAAGCAGCAAATCTTGGTGGCATCCATGTGGTGTTAAGTCTACAGACATGCAGAGTACACGACTTGTGGAGGCAGGCTGGGTGCGGTGGCTCATGCCTGTAATCCCAGCACTTTGGGAGGCCAAGGCAGGCGGATCACGAGGTCAGGAGATCGAGACCATCCTGGCTAACACTGTGAAACACCGTCTCTACTAAAAATACAAAAAATTAGCCAGGCATGGTGGCATGCGCCTGTAGTCCCAGCTACTCGGGAGGCTGAGGCAGCAGAATCGCTTGAACCCACGAGGTGGAGGTTGCAGTGAGCCAAGATCGCACCACTGCACTCCAGCCTGGGTGACAGAGTAAGACTCCATCTCAAAAAATAATAATATGAGGCAGGAGAATGGCGTGCACCCCGGGGGGCCGAGCCTGCAGTGAGCTGAGATCGCGCCACTGCAAGCCAACCTGCACTCCAACTCCATCTCAAAAAAAATAAAAATTAAAAATAATAATAATAATAATAATAATAACTGTGGATGCATGGCTTTCTCCAGCTAGATTCCAAAGAATGTCATAGACAGCCTGATGGCCCAGGCAGACACGTGTTGCAAGGGTGGAGCAACCCAGAGGGCCCTTACTAGGGCAGTGTGTGGCATAACTTTAGGGTAGGAGCTACCGCAGAGAGTCTCCTAGAGCAATGCCTAGTAAAGCCTAAGGAGTGGGCTCACACCAACACCCCAGAACTCTAGACCTACCAGCATGAAATACTAGCCAGGAGAGCCACAGGCACCTGACACCAACCTGTGAGAGCTGCTGCATGGGTAGCACCAAACAAAGCTGTAGGGGTAGGCCTGCCTACCTGAGGCCTTGGGGGCCCAACTGCTGCTCCAGTGTTCCCAGATGGTAGGATGTGGAGTCAAGGAAGATTACTCTGGAGCCTTAAGATTTAGTGTTGTTTGCCCTGTTGGGTTTTGGATTGACTTAAGACTATCCCTTTCTTCTTGCCTATTTGTGTCTTTTGGAATGGGAATGTCTATCCTTTGCCTATTCCACCATTGTATTTTGGAAGTAAGTAACTTGTTTGATTTCACAGGCTTACAGCTAGAGGGAAGTGTCCCTCAAGATGAATCCTGCCTTGAATCTCATCCATATCTGATTCAGATGAGACTGTGTACATTGAACTTCTGAGCTGATGCTGGAAAGTTATGACTTTTGGGGCTATTGCATGACATGAATGTGTCTTTTATGTGAGAAGAACATGAATTTGGGGAGCCAGGGTGGAATGCTGTGGTTTAAATGTGTCCCCCAGAAAGCACGTGTTGAAAATCCCCAGTGTAACAGTGTTGGGAGATGAGGCCTAATGGGAGGCATTTAGGTCATGAGGGCACCATCCCCATGAATGATTAATGCCATTATAAAAGGGTTTGAGGCTGTGAGTTCACTCTTTTGCTCTCTTGTGCACACATGCTCTTTTGCCCTTTTATGCTTCTATCATGGGATGATGCAGCAGGAAGGTCCTTGCCATATGCAGCCCCCCAATCTTGGCCTTACTAGCCTCTAGAATTGTGAGCCCGATAAATTTCTGTTCATTACAAATTACCCAGTCTGAAGTGTTCTGTTATAGCAGCACAAAATGGACTAAGACACTATTAATACCAGTCTTATTTATATTAATAGAGGACATTTTATCTCTCTCTCTCTCTATATATATATATATATTTGCTAAATGATCAACCATGTAGACATTTAATATTAATATCATTGCTGTTATTTAATTACAGAGGCTTCCAAGACTCTGAAATACCAGGATTTCCACAAACTCATCTTGCCCTGACTGGGAATCTTTCGGAGATTGGATTTCAGAGTATTCCCCAACCTGATCGGATATCACCTCCTCAATGGAAGCTTCCCTAATACCCTCTGATGTTTCTAGAAGCAGGACACATGGCTTGTGTCATAAGTCTTGACCTGATTATCATAGATTGCCTCACCAAGTTTAGCATACCCTGTCTGAGAGTGATGCTGGCAAATTAGTGAATAAGAGGACTGTGGAATTTATTTGATTGCTAATCTTGTGTCAGGACATGGTTATTTTTTAAAAAAGAAGTGTCCTCTTTTGATCTTAACTGTTTGATATCTCAGCCCTTGAGTGAGGCAGTTATATGCAAAGGAGATGAGAAGGATGAGAAAAGTGAGTACTTTTCCTTCATAAAAGCCACATGAATTGAACAAGACTTCAGAATTCAGAAGAACTACATCAAGTTCTTGGGTCATTTTTTTAACCCATTCTCCAAGAATTGAAAAAATGACCTTGCAAATATGTGCAAGACTCTGGAATCTTCCTTTGGCAGATGATGAATGAGATGAATATTTCCAGGTGCTTGCCTTCAGCACCAGCACATGTACATTCTAGTACTCTTGGCCTTGATCCTACACTGAATCTGAGGGTGCAAGGACTTTAGATAGAGGCTCAGGACAGACTGGACCTGTATGAACTTCTGAATTGTAGCTAGCCTGGGCAGCCAGTTACTTGGATCCCTCTGGGGCTTCTGGACAAACAACTCTTTTATAGCCCAAGGTAGATGGTCAGGGGCGACCAGAGAGAGCAATAGATTCGTTGACTTCAAGCTTAACATGAGTTAGCAGTATGGTGAGGCTTCCAGCAAAATGTAAGCACTCAATAAATGTTAGCTATTATTACTGTGGTGGTGTTAGATGTTCTTCCTTATACTAACTCAAAATCTGTCTCCCTATAACTTCTACCCCATGGTCCTTGACAATTCAGTATATCTAATTCATCTTCTACATAACAGCTCACGAGGTATTTAAAGATAGCTATCTTATCTTGACTCTTTTTTTGGGTTCTCCTCTTTGAAGAACCAAGACCAATATTCTTGCCTGCCAGATTCTACCCATGTGACCCAGTGCAGGTTGTATTGGGTTGCTGACAAGTATTTAAGCAAGATTGGAGGATGACTTCTTGGGGTAGTCATAAAGGAGATCAAGTAAGTATTGACCTGGGTTGCCTTGAACTCTGAGATTTAATGATTCCCATTAAACCTACAGGGACTAACCAGTTTTTAATTTATTTGGGCTAGGCACTGTGCTAGACTCTGCATGTGATATTTGGTTTCATGTGACTTTAAGCTAGAGTGTAACCTGAAGCCAGCTGTGTGGCTTGATTTCTTCACTCAGATGCTGTAATAGCTCCAGAAATCACTAAACCCTGTGTGTGAGTCAGTACTTGAACATTAGTGGAACCTGTTTACTATTCATACTCTCCCAACTACCTATGTTTGATTTAAAAAAAAAAATTAAAGGGCTGTTAATGTTTTTAGGGTGTTCCATACTAGGAAGTTAGTGTACATTTGACTAAGGAGATAATCAGATCTTCTTACCTTTTATGGAAGGTCTTATCCTTTTTTGTGGAAGGTTTTTACTTTGAGAAAGGGTCCCAAAGTGATTTATTCTTTGGGGTGATCATGTAATATTTCATTAACACTTTTAAAGAGTGGTAGGGGTACCATTAATTATGCTAGGACCACAGATATAGGCTGGGATTATCCTAGCAAACCAGGCATCTCAGCGTTGTGCTAAAGCCAACTTATACAGGCTATGGGTGTTGTTTATACACATGACTTCCCAACTCTGCATTTCAGTATCCTTATGCTGATAACTTGAAACTGGCCATCATGGATATATATATATATACACCGTGGAAACTGGCAAACACTGAAAATCAGGGCTTTATTTTCAGAGAACCAGTTGTTAAACATTTACCAGTACACAGTGACTGGGACACAGTTCACAGAAGAAGCTCAGAGAAAAGTCCCAGCAGGTATCAGTAATACTAATTGAATTATTGATGCATTTGAGGTAGAGAAGGGGAGTAAAGGTCAACATGTCCTTTGCTAAGTAGGACAATGTCTGAAGATGAGAAGTTTGATGAGGGAGGCTTATTCTCAGGAAAGAAAGTATTCTACAAATACTTCAGGGGTCACTGTGGTTGGTATGAGGGTAGAATTTCTTTGGAATCACATCGTTATTTTCCTCCCTTCCTGCCTCCTAAATTCCTACTGTAAATGTAGTTGGGCTTAGTGCTGGATTACCCAGCAGGTAGACCAAGCAGGTGTTAACAATTCCATCAATGCTAGCAGAAGAAAATAATACATGTGCTTTTATGTGTATGGATATGTAGACATGCATGCACTTAAGTATTAATCATGGGAAAATTATAAATTTGGACTTACACTTATTTCATAATTCATTATTGTTTTTGTTTTTTAATGACTTCAGTTATTTTGAGTTATTTGTTCATTGTGGATTGAGGAACACCAAATTTTTTTTTTCTTAAATAGATATAAACCTGGCCTTAGTTGAGGCTTGTACCTTTCTAGGGTGATTTATAATTTATTTATTGCTGCTGAAATGTCAGGGTGGAGTTGCCAGAATATTTTCATTATATGTTTATGGTTAGGATAAGTAGACTGAAGTTTGTCCTAGCTAAAGGGAAAACAGTTTGATATATTTGGTTCCATAAGCAGGATCTGTGTGGCAAAAAAGGGACTTCCCAAATTCAGACTCATGGTTTTTATTCCAAAAGTCACTGTGTTCCACTTGTCCTCTTATTGTCCTGAGTGAGCGTTTTGGAAAGTGTTGGGATTTTAACAACTTTTTCTGCATTTTAAACATTATACAAAACTAGAGAATATAGCATAATGAACTGCCAAGTACTTATCACTCAGCTTCTATAATTATCAAATCATGTCCAATTTTATAATATTGAAGCAGACCTCAGAAATCATATGTTTAGTATTAAATGTTTTTGTCTTTATTTCCAAAAGAAAAGAACCCTTTTTAAAAAAAAAAACACACACACACACACACACAATCTGTTATTTGCTGTAAAAGTTAGCAGTGTATTATATCCAGTTGAGACTATTGTGTTTTATGATGCACAATTAGATAAATTCAGTTATCTAACCACAATTAAAATTGTTACATCTCATTTGTAGGTGGATAATTGAAAACCTGATTTGTGTTGCCCCTGGAGAATCCTTTCATTTGCCCATACCTGTTATTGTTTGTTTATGATTAATTTTTTACCATTTCTTCATGGTCTGAGATTTGAAACCTCATTCTTGAAATAGTCCTGTGCCAAAAAGCTGCTTTGGAATCACCCAGTATCACTGGACTAAGAGTGATTAGTATCTCCTACATAATTTTTGTCTGGAAATATAGATTAAGAACTAAAGAACAGTATTAAAAGAATTCCACCCCTCTCCTTTCCTCTGAAGTCATTTGGATGGTGCCAGTGGGAGCAGGCAAGCTAGCTCTCCTGAAGACAATTAGGGTATAGGACTGGCCTCAGGCCTAGAAATCTGGAGTTGCTGGATTCAGGATTGAACCAAGGGTTTAAAGAAGGGGTGTTGCTAAAATTTGTAATTTCAGGCAATCTTTAGACCTAGGACTCTGTATTTTAATTTAGCCACAAGAGGAAAGAAAAAGATCCTGAATCCGTATCACTCAATTTATTAACATTCCTGGGATCAAACTAGTTAAACATCAGTGAATTTCTGTCTGTGTAAACTGCCAGAACTGGTTTACTTTTGTCAGCTTTATGAAAATGTGCTTCAGATTCATTTTATACATCGTTGCCTTCTTTGACAAGGGAGTCTCATTTAACATATTCTAATAATTTAGGGACATCATTAATATCAACTTTTATACTGGGTTGTAATACAGGAAAGTCTTAGGTAATGGTGTACAGGCATTTGGGTTTGTTCATTCATGGATATGTGTTGTGTAACAGCTATATACAGCATGTAAAAAAAAATGTTTGTTTAGAGATGCAGTTTTGCTGTGTTCCCCAGGCTAATCTCCAACTCTTGGGCTCAAGCAAACCTCCTGCCTCAGCTTCCTGAGTAGTTGAGACTACAGGGATGCGCCAGCCTATCCAGCTTGGGTGTAACTTTTAGAGGGTCCAAATGTTTAATTCAAAAATCTTAATTTTTTTTTAACTATTTAAAAGCTATAATTTACAAAGCACATTAGAGGCCGGGCGCAGTGGCTCAGGCCTGTAATTCCAGCACTTCGGAAGGCCGAGGCGGGCGGATCACGAGGTCAGGAGATCGAGACCATCCTGGCTAACACAGTGAAACTCAGTCTCTACTAAAAATACAAAAAATTAGCCGGGCGAGGTGACGGGTGCCTGTAGTCTCAGCTACTCGGGAGGCTGAGGCAGGAGAAAGGTGTGAACCCGGGAGGCAGAGCTTGCAGTACACCAAGATCGCGCCGCTGCACTCCAGCCTGGGTGACAGAGCGAGACTCCGTCTCAAAAAAAAAAACAAAAAAACTGCACATTAGAGATCACCTAATGTTTGAGGGAGTTCTCTGAGCCTCAATTTTGTAATCTGTAAAATGGGAATAATAATAGTGCCAACTTCATTGGGTTATGAGAACTGAATTAAATAATGCATGGAAAGCTGCTAGCACAGCGCCTGACACATAGTATGTCCTAAATGTTAATTGATATAATGTTGCTGCTGCTGCTGGATTAACTCATTTTTCACAGTCGTTGGAATAAACTTCTTCTGAATTCTTATAAATAAACTATTTATTGGCAAGTTTGTAGCTCTAAAGTCTTAACGTTTGGCCGGTATATATCTGTCCACATCAGATTGCATAAGATAATATATACCACTTCAGCACACGTGTACCACACTCAATTAAATTTTAGTCAAGGCTTAGACATATTTTCTTGGCAAACCCTCTCACCCTCACCCTGGCTTAGGTCAGTTACATAACAAGTAAATGGGTAACCTGTCAAGTCCTGGTAATGCTGTCTTAGAGTTTTAGCACTAATCAAAAGGTTTGGATGTTTTTTGTTTGATTTTTATATGTGTTGCAAGCAAAGTGAGTTGTTAGGTATTTTTAGTATTCAGCAAGAAGCTGAAACATTTTCAGTAAATCTTTTCAAACTACTGAATCAGTTTTGATTCAGGAAATCCCTGAGTTTGCAAGGGAAGCTGTTCAAAAGAACAGTTATGATTTGCAGCTGCTGTCTCTGAATCAAACTTTTCTTCAAATTGTGTAATCCAAATAAAGTACAGAAATAAATGGGTGAAGTTCGTGAAGCTGCAGCTATCATCCGTAAGGGACAGTTTCCAGCCTTTATGTTGAACAAGCATCACTGTTCTCATTAATTAACTTTACATTAGATGTGATGTGATTTGTAAAATGAGACAGTGCAAATAAGACGTCACTTTTATCTCTTTCATATCTGGGATTCAGAATTAAGATGGAACTTTTAAAAGTTCCAATGCTAAAGAATTTGAAAAAATCTCACTCTTCATGGTGTGGAAGAACACTATGCCCCAAAACTAAATGATCCCAGGCGAATAAAATATTTTGAATGTTCATATTTATATTTTATAAAGTTTTAATCCCTTTTCTCAGTCAGATATTACATCTAGCTGTGCCTTTGATAAAAATTATTATAGTAAAAAAAAATTCACTTGTAACTACAATGCCTGTCACTTCTAACTACAATGCCTATAACCTCAGGGGATGCCAGTGATAACCCCGAAGGCAGCTGAGCACTGGAAGGAAGCAAACACTTCTGAGCAATCAAAATCAGTGTTGGGAAGTAGATAAAGTCAGAGGTGCTCATGCATCTTACACTTGAGAGTACTTCCTGTGATCTCCCTCAGAATCTATGTACTCTTCTTTTTTAATTTTATTTTTTAAATTGACAAATAATAACTATACATGCAGTTTTAACAGACTTGCTTTCCTGGTTTCTCTGCATTCGGACACAGCAGGTTCTGGATAGATATATTGCAGTAACACTGACAGCAGTGAGAAATTAACAGCTTTAGCCCAAAAGCAAGACATAGAAAACTATAATAGAGACAAAAGAAGATTCAAACCATAGCAGCCTGGGAAGCGCATGTTTACATGATTCCTGAGGACATCAATGTACAGTGAGCACAATAATTGATTGTCATTTGACTGTGAATCATCAAGAAGACCTCAAATTTCATTCAGTCTGTTTTGTTTAAGAGTATGGAGAAGTGGGTTGTGCATTTTAGAAAGATTATCTTTAAGAACTGGTATAATTGGCATTTATGTTTTAAAAATGTATCTTGAAATGAGAAAATTAAGATATAATTCACATTCACCATGTATTTCATCCATTTAGAGTATGCAATTCTATGGTTTTTAGTGTATTCATAGAGTTGTACAACTATCACAATTAACTTTATAATATTTTATCCCCTCCCAGAAAATTATTAGCAGTCACTCCTCTTTTTCCCCCACAATCCCCAACCCTAGGCAACTAATCTATTTTCTGTCTCTAGAGTTTTGCTTATTCTGGACATTTCAAATGAGTGAAATCATATCATACGTGATCTTTTCTGATTGGCGGCTTTACTTAGCATAGTGTTTTCAGGATTCATCCATGTTGTAGTATGTATTAGTATTTTGTCCTTTTTTGTGGCCAGATAATATTTTATTGGGTGGATTTATCACATTATTTATCCATGTTCATCAGTTGATTAACATTTGGGTCGTTTCTACTTTTTGGCTATTGTGAATAATGCAGCTATAAACATTCATGTAAGGTTTTTGTGTGGACATGAGTTTTCACTTCTCTTGGGTATATACACCTAGTACTAGAATTGCTAGATCATATAGTAACTCTTTGTTTAACCTCTTGCAGAACTGCCAGTTTTCCAAAGTGACTGTACTATTTAGCATTTCCACTAGTGGTGTGAGGTTTCCTATTTCTCCACTTCCTCATAATACTTGTTTTCAATTTTTTAAAACTTGTAACCATCTTAGTGGGTTTTAAGTCGTATCTCATTGTGGTTTTGATGTGCATTTCCCTAATAGCCAATGATGTTGAGCATCTTTTCATTTGCCTGTTATGGGCCAGAGCTCTTATATCCTCCAACACTAATATCTTATTATTTTAAAACTTGTATAAGTTTTAGTCTCATATCTAGTGAAATTATAAGTTTCTTTGATGGCTAGGGAATGTCAGACTTGACTTTGTGATAGTTACTATGCTTAGGAGGGTGCCCTACATAGAGCTACCATTAGTAAATATTAAAGGATTGTTTTAATTAAGTCATGTCTGATTTTAGGACAATGTGGATTTCACTCACAGCAGAGTTTTCACTCCTTCCCAGACTGCTCTTAATTACTGACCAGTTTTTGTGTACTAGAATTTAAGTGCCAAGGGGGCTGGCTCATTGCCGCATCCTGACTGTTTAGCAGAGTGCCTCACACCGTCTAGGAACAAAATAAATACCTGTTCAATCAGTGAATGAATAAGCCTGTACGATTTTCCTTCAGTATCCATTGTATTGGTTCCAGGACCCCCATGGGTACCAAAATCCTCAGTTGCCCAAGTCCCTGTATAAAATGGCGTAGTATTTGCATGTAATCTACGCATATCATCCCATATACTTTAAATCATCTCTAGATGATTTAATACCTAATACAATACCTACACATCACTTTATTCACATGGATTCTTTATAGCACCAGCACGTGGCAAATTTAAGTTTTGCTTTTTGGAACTTCGTGGAATTTTTTTTTTTTTTTCAAATATTTTCAGTCTGCAGTTGGTTCAATCCGTGATTGGAACCACAGATATGAAGGAGTGACTGTAGTTGGTCTCAGATTATTTAAAGCAAGTGTTTATTTCAGCTTGTGTTGCCATGTGAGCAGTTGGCATACCTTTCCTCAGTCCTCTGCCCCCCAGCTCAACTTCAAAGATTTGCCAGACTTTCATAGTTAAGAAATAAATGAACAAGGCCCATTTCTGGTAGACCTGTTGTTCCGCCTGGTTATGTCACCCAGCAATGCTGTTCTCCCTGAAGCCTCTTTAATTAACCATGCTCTGGTATTAAATTGATAACAGTATCCTTAGAGTATGCAAGCACGCTCTGGTGACTTGTCAAGACAGAAAGCTAAACCTCTTGGTGGTTTAAATGGGGATTTGTTTAAGCAGGTAATAAGATTACCATCTTGAGCCTTAGTGCCGGGCATTAGAAGGTTGAAGGAGCCATTCCTGGGTGGATGCTGTGCTCAGCTCTGGTTGCTGAAATGATCACATTGGAGACAGCCACACAGATGCGTGGTGGTCATGTCCCTTGGCACACCTGCATGGTCAAAACTGTGGACTCTTCTTTTTTGTCCAGGGACTACTTCTGATGAAGAAAGTGGCATAATTAAAGCTGAGGACCTCACGCCTGTAATCCCGCCACTTTGGGAGGCTGAGGCGGGTGGATCACGAGGTCAGGAGATCGAGACCATCCTGGCTAACACGGTGAAACCCCGTCTTTACTAAAAATACAAAATATTAGCCAGGCATGGTAGTGGGTGCCTGTAGTCCCAGCTACTTGGGAGGCTGAAGCAAGAGAATGGCATTAACCTGGGAGGCGGAGCTTGCAGTGAGCCGAGATCACGCAGCTGCACTCCAGCCTGGGCGACAGAGCAAGACTCCGTCTCAAAAAAAAAAAAAAAAAAATGCTGAGGACCACACAGAAAGTTGATACTTATACTCATCTTCTATTGCCTCTAGATTGGGCAGAACTGACAGCTTCTTGGTGAGAAATAGGAGTGATGACCATAGCTGTCTGTAAGTGTATTTTCCTCCCACCTCCTCTGCACAGCGTGAGAACTTAACTGTGGAATGGGAAACAAATTTCATCTGCCTACCATTTCCTCTCCTTAACCCCTGAAGCAGAAATACACAGCTTGACTGTAGGCATGAAGGGGAGAAGGTGAGCTCACTGGTCCCTAGAGTGACGCTCATCTTTCTCTCTGATTTTCTTGTAAGGGTGACATGGAGAGGTTTCAGGACCTTGGGAAAGAAACCACTCTCACTGAGCTACTCAGGGACTTAACGAAAAGACTGAAGGAAAAAAAATTTTATTAACCTCATGGATTTGACATTTTTGGGTCTCCTCATCTCTAGCTTCATCTTATTCCTGCTTCCTCCTGGCCCAGATCCAAGCTAAGAATACACTTCATGGTGCTACCAGAATGACATGGCTTCCTTTGCCCCTGCAAGAGCTTTTTTTTTTTCTTTTTTTTTATCTTAACCTACAAAATAAAATAAAAGCAACAGAGCTTTCATGTTGGTGTTTCTATTTGTTGTTCTAATTTCACATGGTTGTCTGTGTCAAGGTCAGCCGCGTGGGTTGCAAATCAAAGAATGTCTGTCTGCGTGACCTAAATACATGAGTACTGTTGCTAGAGCTAACCTCTTTATGGAGGAATGTATGCTTACTTTTAAGATGGCAGTCAGGGGGAGAGAGGAGCCCATCTAGGGAATTTAATTATATGTGGAATGTTTCTAAACCACAGCCATGGGGTTTAGTCATGGCTGGATAATACCTAGTACTTCAAAAGCTGCATTTAAAATTTGAAAATCACCTATTACACTCATGTTATAAATTGCCAATAAATAATTTCATTAACAAGCAATTAGATGTGTCTGGGAATGGCAACACCTGCCAGTTGGTGGCTGTGCATTGCCCTCAGCTGTCTGCCTCAGAGTTCTGTGCTCAGTTTCAAGCAAGAGCCACTCCTACAAACTCCAGTTTCTCACTTTTAAAACATAGTCCAAGCTGGCCGTGGTGGCTCATGCCTGTAATTCCAGCACTTTGGGAGGCTGAGGAGGAGAATCTCTTGAGCCCAGGAGTTCAAGGCCAGCCTGGGCAACATGGCTAAACCCCATCTCTACCAAAAAATGTAAAAATTAGCCAGAAGTGGTAGAGTGCACACTTATAGTCCTAGCTACTCAGGATACTGAGGTGGGAGGATCACTTGAGCCTGGGAAGTTGAGGCTGCAGTGAGCTGTGATGACACCACTACACTCCAGCCTGGGCAACAGTGAGGCCCCATCTCAAGAAAACAAAGAAATGTAGTCCAGCTACTTACAGTATTCATTTTGATTCAACTAGAATAGTAGTTCTGAACTTGACTAGTGAGAATTACAGGGACCCCTTGTTGAAAACATTTTCTGGGACGTGACTCCTATCCCACTGAATCAGAATCTCTAGGTGATGTCCTGGGAGTCTGTATTTTTAACAAGTGCCTTAGGTGATTTTTATGATTAGGCAAATTTGAGAAACCATGTTGTTAAATGTGGCCAGTCACTAAAAAAAATAAATATAACTAAAACTTTGACTTTAAAATTTAGTTGCACTAAATAGTAAAATTTAAGTTGCTTTATGGAAATGTGATTGTAAACAAGTCACAGAGACCAGGTTCACATTGCAAATGCAAAGTGGATGGTGGTATGGTATCATGTCAGTTTTAACCTGAAGATGGGTGTAGAGCAAAATGTAGAGGATACCTTTTATGGGCCTAGGTACTTTTGCCTTCATGGGCCCCCTTCCTCCATAAAAAATAAATAAAAGTTATATTTTATTATTGTTGGTGTAAAGATGAATGTATTAATATTATATAGTAAATTGTATTTTCCTTAACCTAAATGTTCATATATTTTCTTCTGATTTTAAAATAAATTATTTTCATGGGTGCCTAAAAGTATGGCAGGTCCTAGCCACTGTGCCTCTTGCACCTAACAGATGGGTTAACCCCGAGCAGCAGAGGTGATGAAATTCAGACTTGAGTCTCTATGTGACTCCGGTGATAATACTTCTACATGCCTCAGAAGTTCTGAAAGGAATTCTTGCTGTTCTCTTTTTCCCTCTCAAATATTAGAATATGATCAGCCCGTGTCTGGGCGAGAGGAGAAAGCTGATAGGAATCTGGGGCTGTGCCAGTGGAAGAAAGATTATTGTCACACAAGGTTGTGACAGTACACTGTCCCACAGCGATTCCATCCCACAAACATACATGTGTCCTCTTCAGCGTATTTTCAATTGCTAAGTTTAACATACAGTTTTTGCCCTGGCCGTGGTGCAGGTGAGTGAATCAGCCTCTTCCCACCCTGAGGGAACCCTTGTGGTATCAAGCGTCTAACAGGCTGAATAACTTTGCTCTTGGGAGTTGGGCTTACTCCTGCCATTCTTGATGGCTTGCGTTCAGTGGATTTTGATAATTGGTTTGATATGGGCAGGCTGTTGCATGAGAAGAGAAGGAACTGTTGTTGAGTTAGGGAATGAAAGCATATTATTTTCTATGGGCAGGACCACAGACCTGCTATCTGTTCACTGAAGCAAAGTTAAAATAATTTCATTTTCTTTTGCATCATTACAGAGAAGTTTTTAAGAATTTAAAAATAGCTCTGATTATGAAGTTCAAGTGTGTTGATTATTTAAAAAAAAAAAAATTGGGCCAGGCACGGTGGCTCATGCCTGTAATCCAGCATTTTGGGAGGCCAGGATGGGAGAATCGCGAGGTCAGAAGATCGAGACCATCCTGGCTAACATGGTGAAACCTCGTCTCCACTAAAAATACAAAAAAAAATTAGCCAGGCATGGTGGTGGGTGCCTGTAGTCCCAGCTACTCGGGAGGCTAAGGCAGGAGAATGGCGTTAACCCAGGAGGCGGAGCTTGCAGTGAGCCGAGATTGCGCCACTGCACTCCAGCCTGGGCCACAGAGCAAGTCTGCATCTCAAAAACAAAAACAAAACAAAACAAAAAAATAAGAAAAGTGTCAGAAAAGCCAGAGGAAGAAAAAAACATCACCCCAATCCATGATCCAGCTATTAACATTTTGGCCTAAAGTTTCTAGTTTTGTGTGTGTGTGTCCAAATAGCCATTTAATTTTTAGACAAAATTATAACCGCCTGAAATGTACCATTTAATCCCTGCCCTTTTCACCTAACGATAGATAATGAACATTTGTCTCACATCATTAAATGATGTCCTACAAAGTGATTTTAATGGTTAAATTAAATCACTTTGTGTTAATGAATAATTATTTGATTATTTGTTTAATTAGCCCTCTGTTGTTGTACAATAAATTAGTTTTCTTATTATAAATACAACTTCAATGTTTTAAGTTTTTTTTTTTTTTGGAATGGAGTCTCGCTCTGTCACCCAGGCTAGATTGCAGTGGCACGACCTCAGCTCACTGCAAGCTCCGCCTCCCAGGTTCACACCATTCTCCTGCCTCAGCCTCCTGAGTAGCTGGGATTACAGGCACCAGCCACCATGCCCGGCAAATGTTTTTTGTATTTTTAGTAGAGACGGGGTTTCACCATGTTGGCCAGGCTGGTCTCAATCTCCTGACCTCGTGATCCGCCCACCTCGGCCTCCTAAAGTGCTGGGATTACAGGCATGAGCAACCACGTCTGGCCTATTTTAAGTATTTTTTTAAAGCTAAATTTTTGGATGCACACATAATTTCTTTTAGGGTAAAATAGAACCAACATATCAAAGGGTATAGGAATCTGGAGCTTTTTAATATGTATTTCCAAATAAACCCATAGAAAGATTATACCAGTTTACATTCCCAGTGGTAGCATATGAGCTTGTACCCTTGCCAACACTGGGTAATTACCTTATAACTAAAATTCAAACTAAGGAAATCTGGTACACATTAATTTGAAAGAACCCATGACTCAAATTTCTTTTCATAGAGTAATGTTCAACAGATTGCTCTGTGTGTGATAATTATGGGTTTCTTTACAGTATTAGGGAAACACTTTTATTAAATTTTATATTCACTACTTTCTTCAAGGTCCTTAAATAGTCATTAAGTTTTCAACTGTGTTTCATGCTATTAAAAGTATGGTTTTGGAGGTCTTTGCATATGATTATTTAGGATGATAGAATGTGAGAACTAGACAGAACTTTAGTGATAGGTTAATCTACCTCCATTTAAAGACTAGTAAATGGGCCAGATGCAGCGGCTCATGCCTGTAATCCCAGCACTTTGGGAGGCCAAGGCAGGTGGATCACTTGAGGTCAGGAGTTCAAGACCAGTCTGGCCAACATGGCAAAATCCCGTCTCTACTAAAACTACAAAAATTAGCAAGGCGTGGTGACACACCCCTGTAATCCCAGCTACTCAGGAGGCTGAGACAGGAGAATTGCTTGAATACAGGAGGTTGAGGTTGCAGTGAGCCGAGATTGTGCCACTGCACTCTAGCCTGAGCAGCAGAGTGAGGCTCCATCCCCCTAAAAGTAAAAATAAAGACAAGTAAATAGCTCAAGTAAGAAACTTGCCCACACAAATTCTGACTGTTGGGACATTCTCGGTTGTAAGCAACAGACACCTCACCTCAGACCAGCCTACCAAAATGGGGATTTATTGGTTCATGAAACTGAAAATGGGCTCAGATACCTATTGTGACTAACCTTGGACAATTCCTTGATCTTTCTAAGTCTTGGTTTTCTTATTTGTAAACAGGATGTTAGACTCAACCTAACGTTCCTTCCACCTCTTAACATTAAATGTTTCTGTGAATATATTATCAAATAATTTTGTTATACTATCAACCAAATTTGTACATTGTGAAAGGAAGGTTAGTTCTCAGAGACAGGAAATTTTTAAAGAGATAATTCATTACACAATTGGATTTAACAAGGATTTTTTTTTTTTTTATGAGACAGAGTTTGTGCTCTTATTGCCCAGGCTGGAGTGCAATGGCACGATCTCGGCTCACTGCAACCTCCACCTCCCGGGTTCAAGCAATTCTCCTGCCTCAGCCTCCTGTGTAGCTAGGATTACAGGCATGTGCCACAACACCAGGCTAATTTTGTATTTTTAGTAGAGACAGGGTTTCTCAGTGTTGGTCAGGTTGGTCTCGAACTTCTGACCTCAGATGATCCACCCATCTCAGCCTCCCAAAGTGCTGGGATTACAGGCGTGAACCACCGCACCCGGCCTTAACAAGGAATTTTTTAAAACTTGTGGACGTCCTTAGGCAACTTGAACATAATTAATATTCATTTGGTGTAAAATATCTTTGAAGTGTATCGGGGAAACCAGCCCCAATATTTCAATGTAAGTTCTTTTCTGTTTTCCCTAAGTGTTGGCCGGTCTGAGAAATAAAGAGAAAGAGTACAAAGAGACAAATTTTACAGCTGGGCCTCTGGCAGTGACATCACATATTGGCAGGTTCTGTGATGCCCCCTGAGCTACAAAACCAGCAAGTTTTTATTAGGGGTTTCAAAAGGGGAAGGGGGTACGAACAGGGAGTAATTCACAAAGATCACATGCTTGAAAGGGCAATAAAAGATCACAAGGGCAGAGAGGCAAAGCAAGATCACAAGGCCAGGGCGAAATTAGAATTACTGATGAGGTTCCATGTCCTGCTGGGCATGCATTGTCATTGGTAAACATCTTAACAGGAAATAGGGTTCGAGAGCAGACAACAGGTCTGACTAGAATTCGCCAGGCTGGAATTTCCTAATCCTAGCAAGCCTGAGGGCGCTGCAGGAGACCACGGTGTATTTCATCCCTTATCTTCAACTGCATAAGGCAGACACTCCCAGAGCGGCCATTTTAGAGACCTCCCCCTGGGAATGCATTCCTTTCCCAGGGTTATTCCTTGCTGGGAAAATAATTCAGTGATATTTCTCCTATTTGCTTTCTGCAAGAAGAGAAATATGACTCTGTTCTGCCCAGCCCTGCAGGCAGTTTGGCCTTACGGTTATCTCCCTTGTTCCCTGAAAATCGCTGTTATCCTGTTCCTTTTTAGGATGTCCAGATTTCATATTGTTCAAACACACATGTTTTATAAACAATTTGTGCAGTTAACGCAATCAACACAGGGTCCTGAGGGGATATACATCCTCAGTTTACGAAGATGACGAGATTAAGAGATTAAAGACGCATAGGAAATTATAAGAGTATTGATTGGGGAAGTGATAAATGTCCATGAAATCTTCACAATTTATGTTCAGAGATTGCAGTAAAGACAAGCATAAGAAATTATAAAAGTACTAATTTCAGGAACTAATAAATGTCCATGAAATCTTCCCAATTTATGTTCTTCTGCTGCAGGGTCCCTCCATTCAGGGTCCCTGACTTCCCGCAACAGAAGTGTTTAAAGCTTTTTTTCTGTTGCTCACATGATCTTTAAACATTTTCCCCCTTGTTGATTTGCTTAACAAATCTTTACAAATATTGGAAAAAGAAATTTCAGTCCTGCTGCACCCTATTCATAGTAATTACACCTAACTCCAACTTGGTAGAACCTTGAGAGAATTGTTACTCTCCATGGCAGCAACTGGCTGCTGAGTCAGATCCATGCCCACAGAAGCTCATCTTGAGCCCTTGGGTGCCTGATTTACATTCAGGAAGACATTGGCATTAGGGAATCTCACCAGGAACACTCGCCAGGAACACTTGTGCCTCACCAGGAACACTTCTTAAGGCTCTGCAGCTGGTTATAGAGAAACTCAGATTTTACATTTAGTTTATACTGTGAAATCAAGAGGAGGTTGATTTTCTCATGCCATGCTCCCTTAGCTTTTTAAAATTGTTTCCTCGATTGATAGAAAATCTTTTCAGTTTTTTTCACCTCATGTCTTTGCTCATTTAGGCTATTTGGAGTTCACTGTGTATACTTGATAGCTACTGCAGGAAGCCTAAATGACCCCCAGAGAGTATTCTAGAATTCTGAAAAAGCCTTCAAGAAATAGGCTTTGTTTAAAACATCAACTGCCAATAAAGTTTTAAAATGTTTTTGCCACAATATTTGAAATGCAGATTTATTTCAGTTTTAACTACTACCAGATAGACAATCTTGGTTTGTATTTTAAGAAATTTTTAGACAGAAATAAATATAACAGGACCTATATACCTTTTTAACACTCAGCTACCACATGTTTGTCTGTGATCATGACAGTTCCTATATATAGTTCTGCTAGAGAGGGAATTTTTCCAGCTTTAAAAACCGCGAAGGATTTTGATTTAGGGGTATATTAGTCAGCATAGGCAAGGTTATTCTGTAGTAACAAATAACCCTCAAATCTCTCTGGCTTAAAACAACAAAAGTTTATTTCTTACAACACAAGTTCATTGAAAGGTGGCTGGAAGCTCCATTCTGATTCATCTTTACTTTGAGACCCAGGTGATAGAACAATTGTCTTAATTTTTGCTGGTTAAGGTAACAGAAAGAATCTGGAAGGGTCTCACACTAGCCAAGTATTCTCATTCTAGGCAAGTATTCTTGCCTGAAAGTGACGTACACCATTTCCATTCACAACTTACCAGCCAGGTTAGGAACATTGCCCAGCTCAAGTATAAAATGGCCAAGAGTTGCATTCTGACCCCATGGGCCTGGAAGAAAGAGACCAGAAATATTTGGCCAGCTGCACTAGTGACACAGGTTGCTCTTCTGGTTACCGGATATTTGTCTCACTCTCCCTCTTACAGGCAAAATACATTCATTCCTTCCCCAAAGGAGACTGCCCCAAAGTCTCACCCAGCACAGTATCTGGATGATGCCTAATTTAGGCTGTTACTCAGGTGATGATATAAAGTCATTTCTACATCAACTCTGGATGTGGTTCCTCTTGATCTAGAGACTTCTGAACTAAAAGTGGCAAGTTATCTGCTCTTCATCACCACCCCCCCACACATTGTATATTAGTATATAATGGTGAAACAAAGATTGGAAAACTTAATCTATACTCCCATTCAGAAAGGGGGTGAATGGGAGATACCCAGCAGTCACTGGTGCTCAGTCATTCTAAAATGCTGAAGCAATTCTGAAATCCCTCTGGGCCCCCTGCCTTGTAGGTGGAGAAGGGTCCTTTAGGGTCCTGATTCTTCTCCCTGGAAGAGCCTTCCCAGTCCATTGTTCTCTTCAGCCCTTGGCTCCACCCCTTGAGAGATATCTTTTATTTCCTAGTAGACTCTCTGATTGCATCTAAAGTGAACACTGAGAATATGCCTGCGTTGGAGCCTGAACAGCCTTCTCAGCTGCTTCCTGACTTTAGAGAGTTGAGGGCTCCAGAGGTTTTTTAGGTCTTGAACAGTTTTCCCAGCTGTTTTAGGTGTGAGATTGCAGTTTCTTTGGCAGTACAATTATTTTTCAAAAGAAAATCGGTTTCTCATCTATTTTATTCCAATTTATTTCCATATACCAAGAATTAAGCCCTCAATTCCTTCTAGGCATACTTGTATTTGCTTATTCCTTTGTATTTGTGCTTCCATGCCTTTATTTATTAATGGCTTTGTTGAGACTGCTACAAGTTTAGCATGTTTTCCCTTAAGCTATTCTAATTGAAAGATTTAACCAAGAAGCCACAGTGTCAACTGTATCTTTATTGGAGACATCTTAACCCTTTCAGAGTGTTAACAGTGGGTGTGGTAGCCATTCTATTTGTTGGGAAGGAGAAGCAGCTGCTTTTTCCAGCCATACAAGTGCAACTTAATGGACTCTATTCCCTTTTCTTTAATCTATAAACCAGAGAGAGCTCATCTCTCTCTTTTTTCATTACACCTTTTAAAATGCAGTCAATAGTAATGAATACATGCTACTAACATTAGACTTTCAAAGTCTTTCACTAGATCTGCTCATTCTTTAGGTGTATTATCTGCCTTCCAAGTTATCATACATGATCATTTTACCAAATGCTGTGCCAGTCTCCAGAATCCATTTCTTCACTCCCTGCTGCCTGGCTTCTAAGCCACTGCCACATTTTGTTGTTGTGCAGCAGCACTTCACTTTATCAGTTGGAATAGGCCAGGTTCTTTTGCAGTAACAAGCAACATCTTTTGCAGTAACAAACAACATCCAAATCTCAATGGTTGAAAAGAACAAAGGTTTCTTTTGTGCTTATGCTCTATGTTCATTGTGGGTTACCTGGAATGCTTCCCATCACCATAGCAGAGGGAAAGCTCTGGAGGGTCTCATGCCTGTAATTAAATGCCCTGTCCTGGAAGTAACAATGTATCTATCACCTTTTTCAACCCTAAAGTTTTCCTTCAACATTGTTTTTCAGTTCCTATCCAGTAAGATACTCTTTTTTTGAGATGGAGTCTCACTGTGTCCCCCAGGCTGGAGTGCAGTGGAGTGATCTCGGCTCACTGCAACCTCCGCCTCCTGAGTTCAAGCGATTCTCCTTCCTCAGCCTCCCAAGTAGCTGGAACTACAGGTGCCCACCAGCACGCCTGGCCAATTTTCGTATTTTTAGTAGAGATAGGGTTTCACTATGATGGCCAGGCTGGTCTCGAACTCCTGACATCAAAATCCGCCTGCCTGGGCCTCCCAAAGTGCTGGGATTACAGGCGTGAACCACCGCGCCTGTCTTTTTTTTTTAAGAGATGGATTTTCGCTTTGCTGCCCAGGCCAGAGTGCAGCAACTATTCACAGGCATAGTCGTAGTACACTACAACCTTGACCTCCTGAGTTCAAGAGATTCTCCTGCCTCAGCTGCTTCAGAATCTGGGACTACAGGCAAACAGCTCTAAAATGCCTTTTGAGGCATATAAATATAATTGATTCTCATAACTGTGTAGCATTCTATCATATAAATCTGTCATATTTTATTTACATATGGATGAACATCTAGTTTGTTACCATTTTTTATTATTACAAATCACTGCAGTGAACATTTTTGTGTATGTCTCCTCATGCAATGTATAGAAATTTATCTAGGAATTCCTTTTATTCTTTAAAACTTGTTGCTCAAAGATGGATGTACAGCCATTTTATCTGTAGCACTTGGTTTTATGAACATCAGTTTCACCAGAGTGAAAACCATTTTGAATGAGTGGGTCAGTTTATTTGTTTGCAAAAGTCTTCCTGTGAAGTTTGAGCCTGGTTTCCTGCTGTACGTTGTTGATGAATACTCTAGAAATATTTTAAAATGACATCTGGTTTAAGGAGGAGTAAGGGGTGAATACAGACTTCCTGTACCTAAAACCAACATCACTCCTCTTGGCAAACACAGAATAAGCTCTTATTAGTAGTTCAACTGAATTGATCAAAGCATCTGGGTATGCTGGAGTAAAGAAAACATGAGTCATGGATCATAGCTGCACTAGGATGTTCTTCCTTCCCCTTCTCTTCTGTCTCCATCCACAGCTTGTGCATGGGAAGCTTAGGTTTAGGCAGATCTTGATATCAGGAAGATGAATAAAATTGTACATTTAATATAAGACAGTGTACTGAAAAAGCAATAAATGTGACTAGAAGAGCATTAGATTTTTCATGGAGGTAAGATATAAACATAGGTAAAGAAAAGCCAATTTCTTTTGCCACTTAAACTAATACTGTAGTTCCTTTGAGAAGCTGAGGTGGGTGGATCACTTGAGTCCAGGAGTTCGAGACCAGCTTGGGCAACGTGGTGAAACCCCAGAGATAAGATAATTCTTATCTCTCCTACCTTAACCCAAACTAATGATATAACATTTAGCTGAAATTTCAAAACTCTATACTTTTTCCAATTGTTCTGTTGAGTTGCCAAGAAAAACTTTGAAATGGCTTCAGAAAGAGCAGGAGATGAAGCAGGAGGAAGGAACCAGGGTTCTGAATAACAAAAAATCTTCAGGCGTCACCTACAGTGTTTTTAAAAGTGAGACCTCTTTTCAGTTACCTGTATTTACCAACATCCAACCACATAAAAGGTTATGTGCAGGCTCTTCCTTCCAGAAATCTGATAGCAGCTGTACCTGGGTGAATTCTGCATTTCTGGTACAGAACTAGATTGTTTTCTGGGGTTTACGTAGCTTGTTTGGGTCTTGTTGTGCGGAAGTATCTCCTATTTTCCATTATTATGTAATTCTTATTTTTTTATTATCTGCTTTTACTGAAAGCTCTAAGTGTAGAATTTTCTCCATCCCTTTTCCTGGATCTCTAGCCACCAACTATACAACCTGCTCATTCTGCCACTCCTGTAAATATTAACAACTGGGGGCCTTCTATGCTTTTCTACAGGCTCATATAATCATGAACATATTAGAAATTGTGCTTCCTACCTTTCTTCTCTTCTCCCTTCCTTCCTTCTTCCTTCCTTCCTCCCTTCCTCTCCCTAAACCAAATAGGCTTAAAAAGTTGTTTACACTTCTAGGCATTTCTTGCTTTTCTTATTAACAGAAGATTGGGGAAATATTTCTAGCCTGCTGGAATACATTTCACTCTTTTTTTTTTGAGATAGGGGGTCTCACTCTGTCACCCAGGCTGGAGTGCAGTGGTGCAATCTCGGCTCGCTGCAACCTCTGCCTCCCTGGATCATGTGATCCTCCCACCTCAGCCTCTCAAGTAGCTGGGACTACAGGCGTGCACCACCACACCTGGCTAATTTTTGTATTTTGGTAGAGATGGGGTTTCGTCATGTTGCCCAGGCTGGTCTCAAACTCCTGGACTCAAGCGATCTGCCTGCCTCAGCCTCCCAAAGTGCTAGGATTACAGGTGTGAGCCACCACACCTGGCCTCACTCTCTTTTTAATAGCTGCCTAATATTCTACAGTTTGGAAGTCATCCATTTTATTGGACAGTTTTCCTGTTAAAGGGCACTCATCTTGTTTCCAATTTGCCTTGGTTTTGTTTTTGTTTTTTGATTTGAGCATGGTAAAAGATGCTGCGGTGAACATTCTTATGCCTATCCTGGAATACTTGTGCTTTTTTTATGGCCCAGGAAAGGGCTTTGCTGAGTTAAAAATGCATGTGTACTTTCAATTGTAATAGATGTTGTCAAAATATTTCCCAGCAATGTTCCAAAATACCCTTCTCCCATCCTATCCAGTGTAGGCATCTTCGCCTCTCTGATGAGAATGGATGGCAACTGCAGCACTGGTTGCATAGCCCAGGCACTTGTTAACATGCCATAGTATATTTCCAGGGAGTTTAAAACTCCACTGAAAAAGACTCTGGTCAGACTTTATGATTGGGGTTACTTGCAATTTTTCTTTTGTATTTCTTAAGGAATTCATGGAAAGTTGATAGTAGGGAAGAAATTCGAGATAATTTTAATGCAACCCATTCCTTTTACAGATAAGGAAATTAAAATCCAAAGAGGTAGAAGGAGCTACAGTGAGCTACTTACTGTCTGCTGCTTCAGGGAAGCAGATGTTCCGAATCCCAGTCTGGGGCTTTACCTATTACAACATGCTGCTCCTACACTGTGGCCCATGCTGACAGTGAGTTTTAGAGAATAAACCAACAGACTTCATCTGTGATCTGAATCAACAAATGAGGATGACCAGTTTCCAGTTTTTTCATCTCCTGCTAGGACAAGCGAGTTTCCCAACCTACACTGGTTGCAGAATTTGCTTTGTAAACGTCTGCAAAGAAAACAAGACATTTGTTAACTTGGTCTTGTCAGTGAAATTTGTTGCT
This sequence comes from Homo sapiens, assembly GCF_000001405.40. Taxonomy (NCBI): domain Eukaryota; kingdom Metazoa; phylum Chordata; class Mammalia; order Primates; family Hominidae; genus Homo; species Homo sapiens. Next base: position 89,613,610 of record NC_000010.11, on the reverse strand, counting down.
CTTAATCTTTTGAGGGCCTGGAATTTTATTTCTATAATGCTAGAGTTCCTGCTCAACAAGTGAGAAGCAGCTATCTTGGGTCATAACCAAAATAACAATAGTGAGGCAGAGGAAAGAAGATTTTGTTTACAGAAATGGTTTCCTGCTAGGCACTCCTCCCTCAGCCCTCCTGAATTGAAAGCTAAGTACTAGTAGGGGTGCCTAGAAAAAAGACCTTCTGCAGGGCCCACTGATGTTTCTGGCAGTGTGGACAATTTGACAAGGGTTCATATTGATGTTCTCTAGGGCTGAAATAAAAGAAACTTGGAAGGAAGCCATTTTTGCACCCTGAGTCTTTAAATTCAGTTTTAATATTACAGTTTTGGGTTTTGCCAATGGATTCTGTGAGGGAAATAAAAAGGAAGACTCTAACCTTTGGGTTCCCATTTGGGTTTGCTCTGTGTTCATTGCAGAGCATTTGACAGCATGGCATTAACTTTCCAGGCTGTCTCTAAATAAAGTCAGACTGTTTAGGTAGCTCACCTCTGCTCTTTTCAGCTCTTAACAATAAAGAGCTTATATAACTAAAAAAATCATCATGATGGAGATTCATTTTGTCATAGATAAGCATCACAAGCACATTAAGTATACTTTCACCTAGAGGCATGCCTTTGTGTTTCAGACCTGGCCATGGTTCCTCTGGTTTAGTAGTTTCCAAGCCTGCAGATTGCAACCACTAGGGAACTTTTAAAAGATATTCATGTCTGGATGCCATGCCTGAATTAAACAGAATATGTGCGAGAGGAGGCCAGAAATTGAATATTAAAAGCTTCTCAGCTGATTCTAAAAGGCAGCCGGATTGAGAACTTCTGAGCAGGCTATTTGGAATAGAGAGGATGTCTCTGTTTAATGCAGAAATAAATTAGATATAATGCGAGTTGTTCTTTTTAGAATTTCATGTCTGCTCATCATCTCTCATAGTCTACTTCCTCTCTCTTTCCCCTTTCTATACACTGTATAGATTAAAACAGTGGAATCACATCTTCTAAAGTCAGTTCATAAAGCAAAAATGGAATCATTGAAATGCGCCCTAGGTTAGAGACCGACATACCATCTCTTGGTACACCCAGCATGGTCAGTTTTTCCTCTAGGATTGAAGCAGATCCGTTTCTTTGGTAAAGATTCTGACAAAAATAGTTAGCAATTGGGATCCAGGATGTATGCAAAAATATATATATCTATCTTTAAATATTAGTATAACACTCAGCTTGGTGAGATACTTGAGCCCTAGGAAGCACACAGGAATTGAGACTGCCTTAGGGAACTGCAGAATCCTATTTCTCATCTCACTCAATTCTGAGTGGAGTGCAGTGGTGTGTGAGCAGAGCCTTGGGCACTCTTTTGATTGTAAAATTTTCTCTGTCTGTGCCACCTTTTAGGCACATATAGTTGAATTCAAATAAATTGAATGTTAAATGCACATGTAGATATGATACCACTGCTTTTGCTTATTTAATATTCAAAAACTGAACACTTCTTTGCACGCATAGCATTCAGCAGCACTCTTTCTTTCTGTCCTTTAGCATTCCCATGGTTTGGCATGGACATCGGTGGAACGCTGGTTAAATTGGTGTATTTCGAGCCGAAGGATATTACAGCCGAAGAGGAGCAAGAGGAAGTGGAGAACCTGAAGAGCATCCGGAAGTATTTGACTTCTAATACTGCTTATGGGAAAACTGGGATCCGAGACGTCCACCTGGAACTGAAAAACCTGACCATGTGTGGACGCAAAGGGAACCTGCACTTCATCCGCTTTCCCAGCTGTGCTATGCACAGGTTCATTCAGATGGGCAGCGAGAAGAACTTCTCTAGCCTTCACACCACCCTCTGTGCCACAGGAGGCGGGGCTTTCAAATTCGAAGAGGACTTCAGAATGGTAGGTCGGGTTTGTCTTTGTTAAAACATCAAAACCTCTCACATGTCCATAATCATGGCCACTCATACCGAAGAACCATACTACTAGCCTTGGGACTCTGGACAAGCTTATGTCACCGCTCTGTGCCTCAGTTTTCTCACCTATACAAGAATAAAAACAGCTTCTACCTCATAGGGTTGTTACATGTAGGATTAAATGAGATAATATGTACCTGGCACTTAGTAAGTGCTCAATATAGTTATCATCATCATTTCAATTACAATTATTGCTGGGTAATACGCTAAAGACAAGATGCTAAAATCCCTTCTGAAGTATTTCAGTTAGAATTGACCACAGACTTTTACTATATAATCGTGATGCCAACTTTATGCATATATAAACAGAGACCCATGGGAAGGCTTCTATGAATCCTACCAAAAATGATTACTTCTATCTACCCATTTGCTCTCAAGTGCCTTTTTTCAGCATATGAATGCCATTCAGAAGTTTTGCTCACAAACAAAAATGAAATCTGTAATATTACTTATCAGTGAATTCCTTCATTAATGAATACCATTTAGGGAGTATAATTTTATATAGTAAGGATAATGCTGTATCCTGACTGGCAGTACTTACAAACTGTACGTTGCTCATTTAGATTTAACAAATGAAGCTAAATGGAAGATACGGATAAGTAACATGCAGTCCAATGTTTCTCTCTTTTTTTTTTAGCATTCCCTTAACATCTGTGCATTCCAATTTCTTCATTTTCTACAGTCAATATAATAATCTCTGTACTGTGTAGTCTTCATTTTATAAAGTGAGAAGAAAGTGAAACAATAGATGTAGATATATCTTGGAAAGGAAGGGAAGCTAGATAAACAAAAGTGATTGAACATGGAAGAAGGAAGGGTTGGGAGATTTTAGGATTAGTTTTACTAGAAAGTTGAACATATAGTGAGGTAAGTCATAAAATACGTATTCTCAAAGCCTGTAGTACAAATTACTGCCATTTTGTGCAGAACTAACATAATCCAGTCTTGCTATAAAGTCTGTCATTAATGAATACATTAATCAATCAGTGCACATTCATGGTATTTAATAAAGCTATAAATGCAAATTTTACTTGTGCCATCAAAAGTAACCCCATTTACCTCATTGATTATAGTAAGTTTCTGTAAGGGCAGGCAACAGAGTCCTAGAATAGTATCCTAAGTGAGACTAATTATCTTCAGTTTTTGTTTTTTTTTTTCTTCTATGTCCCCTCCTATTACCCAGCAGTAGAGTTTGACTTGCCACTTACTTAAATGACCCACAGAATCCTTTTCTCACCAAAGAGGCTCATGATCAAAGAGTTTTAAAACTGAGATGTTTGAGATCCATGGGCTTGAGAACTAAGTTTCAGTCCATAATGGAAAAACCATTGAACCTGAACTCCAGTCCTGTTTCTACATTTCATCAGCTGGGTGACTAGGCAAGACCTGTCCCTTCTCTGGGCCTCATTTTGTCATCTGCAAAGAGGTGGGAGTAAGACTTCAGAACTGAAAGTGACCTCTGGAGGTGAGAAAGTATAGCCTTCTTGTGCTACGTAGATAAGAAACTAAAGCTGCCAGAGAGATCAAAAGCTTCTAGCAGTGTCACCTAGGTAAGAGCTGGGACTTGGACTCAATTCTGATTCAGAAGGAAATGCTGATCCACTCTCATTGCTCTGAGCTCCTCAGGTCCCTCAAGGATGCCCTATCTGTCCATTTCCACTGGAGAGCCTGAAGTGAACCAAGGTGACCCAGAGGATTGATGCAACCTCTGTCAATGCCTCCATCTCTCCCCTGGGGTAACGTATACCCTGGGAGAAAGTTACTCAATATGTGTTGGCCATGAGCAGGTGTATTTCTCAAGGTTCTAAGTTGAGAAAAGTCACATCTCATTACAACCAAGATAAAGAAGCCTTTCCTCCTTTGGACAGGCTTTTGAAGCCTAATGAATAGACTGGAGTAGGGAGCAAGTATGTAACATTTGCTAAATAGTCTGGCCAGGTTGGGCATCCATCTGTGAAAGAAGAGTCTATGAACTGCCTTCTGTATCCAGGCTGAGTCTCAGCCAAAGTGAAGACAGAATTGAAACAGATAGATCTTTTCCTATAGCCCATTTGATGTTATGTTAGTGATGTGCCTGAGTCTTTCCAAAGTTATGAGGATGAATAGGTGTTATCCTCCTTCCTAAGCATTCATTCACTCACTCAGGCACTTTCAGTGCACCAAGTACTGTTATGAACAAAATAAATCCCCTGCTCACCATGAGCTTGTATTCTAGTGGGGGAAGACAATCAATAATCAATTTAAAAAGTGAATATAGAGTCAGGCGAAAGTGGCTCACACCTGTAATCCCAGCACTTTGGAAGGTTGAGGCGGGTGGATTGCTTGAGGCCAGGGGTTTGAACCAGCCTGGCCAACATGGTGTAACCCTGTCTCTACTAAAAATACAAAAATAAGCCAGGTGAGGTGGCGCACGCCTGTAATCCCAGCTACTCAGGAGGCTGAGGCACGAGAACCTCTTGAACCCAGGAGATCAAGGTTACAGTGAGCCGAGATCGTGCCATTGCACTCCAGCCTGGGTGACAGAGTAAGACTCTGTCTCAAAAAAGAAAGTGAATATGGAATATATCAGATGGTGATAATTACTATGAATGGAGGGAAAAAACCAGGGCAAAGAAGATAGGGAGTGCTGGCAGGGTCTTTGTGTGACTAGGCAATGTTGGAGCAGAGACCTGAAGAAGACAGCAAATCATGCAAAGAAAGAGTGTGTTAGGCAGATGGAGCAGTGAGTGCTAAGGCCCTTAGTGTCCTAATAATCCAAGCTCTCCTCATTTCTAGAATAGAAAATCGAAGATGCTAACTTAATTGTAAAGGATCAATATATACTACTGTACGTATTAAAACAATTTGACAAATCATACAGAAGTACATCTACATACCTATAAAGTCCTGTTATTGTTATTGTATAAAATCACTGTTTTTGGTATAACACAACTTTGCAGATAGGAGTTTGAAAAATCCATCTGTGTGATTTATTTGAGCGATTAGGGCTAGGTAAAAGATGTACAACAGACCCCGAATAGTAAGCACTTGTTATATTTGAATAGTATTTTTAAAAAATATATAGTATATGTACTTGAATCCTTAGATAATGTAACTATTCTTCATTCCATTTAAAATGTACAAGAAAGAACTATAAACCATGACACAATCATTAAATTAGACCTGTGTAGAATACTCTCAGTTGAACAGGTCTGCACTTTGTTCCTCCTTTTTCTTTCCTTCTTTTTTTCTTCCCACCATCCCTCCCCTCCTTCTTTCCTTTCTTGTTTTCTTTTTTAACATTTTAGGATTGGCCAGACGCGGTGGCTCACGCCTGTAATCCCAGCACTTTGGGGGGCCGAGGTGGGTGGATCACGAGGTCAGGAGATCGAGACCATCCTGGCTAACACGGTGAAACCCCGCCTCTACTAAAAATACAAAAAATCAGCCGGGCGTGGTCGCGGGCGCCTGTAGTCCCAGCTGCTTGGGAGGCTGAGGCAGGAGAATGGCGTGAACCCAGGAGGCAGAGCTTGCAGTAAGCTGAGATGGCAACACTGCACTCCAGCCGGGGCGACGAGGCCAGACTCCACCTCAAAAAAAAAAAAAAAAAAAGTTTAGGATCATTGTCATAACCAAATTTTTGACTGGCAAAAACTAGCCTTCAAAATCAATGAGTTATCAAAATGGAACACAGAAGAAAAACTTAGCCTAACTTCAAATAGACTAAGATGTTGATAAGCCAATGAGGAACTCCCACCATTTAAAAAGTGGCTTTCAAGATGGAGAACTCTGCATGGCTGTGCACCAAGGCTCTGTAGGTTTCAGTGAATTTTGTGTTTATTCCCAGTGTCTATATTCTGTGGGTTTTGTTTTAAATAACCAAGCAGAATATTTTATGTACAGATTCTAGTATTTTTATTCCCAACCACACTTCCTAACTTCAACAACCGTATTCTCAAGAATGCAAGGTATTTTTAACATCAGAAAATTTATTTTTAAAAAGTCATTAATTCTGCCCATATAGCTTTTCATTGCAATACAGGCATACCTTGTTGTATTGCATTTTTTACAGATTGAAGGTTTGTGTTAACCCTGCATTGAGCAAGTCTATTGGCACCACTTTTCCAATGGCTTGTACGCACATTTCTCTGTGTCACATGTAGGTAATTCTTGCTGTATTTCAAACTTTTTAATTATTATTGTATCTGTTATGGTGATCTGTGATCAGTGATGTCACTATTGTAATTGTTTTGGGGCACCCACCACATTATGCCCATATAAGATGGCAAACTTAATTGATAAATGTTGTGTGTTCTGACTGCTCCATTGACAGGCTGTCCCCCCATCTCTCTCCCTACCTCAGGCCTCCCTATTCCCTGAGACACAGCAATATTGAAATTAGGCCAATTAATAGTACTACTGTTGGTCTAATTGGCCTCTAAATATTCAAGTCAAAGGAAGAGTCCCATGTCCCACACTTTAAATCAAAAGCTAGAAATCATTACGCTTAGTGAGAAAGGCATGGTGAAAACCGAGACAGACCAAAGCCTAGGCCTCTTGTGCCATATGGTTAGCCAAGCTGTGAATGCAAAGGAAAAGTTCTTGAAGGAAATTAAAAGTGCTACTCCAGTGAACACACAAATAATAAGAGAGAAAAACAGATTTATGGCTGATACAGACTTTTAGTCATCTGGATTAAAGATCAAACCAGCCACAACATTCCCTTAAGCCAAAGTCTAATCCAGAGCAAGGCCCTAACTCTTCAATTCTCTAGAGTCTGAGAGAGGGGAGGAAGCTGCAGAAGAAAAGTTGAAAGGTAGGCGGGGTCCTGTGGCTCATGCCTGTAATCCCATCACTTTGGGAGGCTAAGGTGGGTGGATCGCTTGAACCCAGTAGTTCAAGACCCACCTGGGCAACATGGTAAAACCCTGTCTCTACACAAAATACAAAAATTAGCCAGATGTGGTGGTGCACCCCTATAGTCCCAGTGACTCAGGAGGCTGAGATGGGAGGATCGCTTGAGCCCAGGAGGCAGAGGTTGCAGTGAGCTATGATTGTGCCACTGCACTCCAGCCTGGGTGACAGAGTGATACCCTGTCTCAAAAAAACATGAAAAGAAAAGTGGGAAGGTAGCAGAGGTTGTTGGTTTGTGAGGTTTAAGGAAAGAAGCCATGTCCATAACATTAAAGTGCAAGATAAAGTACTAAGTGCAATGTAGAAGCTGCAGCAAGCTAATCAGGAAATATAGTTAAAGTCACTAATGAAGGTGATGCATTAAACAACAGATTTCCAGTATAGATGAAATAGCCTTATATTGTTTTGGAAGAAGAGGCCACCTAAGACTTTCATAGTACAGAACAGAAGTCAATGCCTGGCTTCAAAGCTTCAAGGGACAGGGTAACTCTCTTGTTAAGGGCTAATGCAGCCGGTGACTTGAAGTTGAAGCCGACGCTCATGGACCATTCTGAAAATCGTGTGGCCCTTAAGAATTATGCTACATCTACTCTACCTGTGCTTTACGAATGTAACAATAAGGCATGGATGATAGTACATCTGTTTATAACATGGTTTACTAAATATTTAAGCCCACTATTTAGACCTACTGCTCAGAAAAAAAAATCTTTTCAAAGTTTTACTGCTCATTGACAACACAACTAGTCACCCAAGAGTTCTAATGGAGATGTAAAAGGAAATTAATGTTTTCATGCCTATTAATACAATATCCATTCTGCAGCCCATAAATCAAGGAATAATTACAAGTTTCTAGTTTTATTATTTAAGGAATACTTTTTTTTTTTAAAGAAATACTTTTCATAGGCCATAGCTGCCATAGATTACAATTCCTTTGATGGATCTGGGTAAAATCAATTAGAAACCTCTGGAAAAGATTCACTATTCTAGATGCCATTAAGAACATTTCAGATTCAAGTTGGGGGAATAAAATAGCTTTAGGAGGAGTTTGGAAGAAGTGAATTTCAGCCTCATGGACAGAGTTCAAGATGTCAGTGAAGAAAGTAACCGCAGATATGGTAGAACTAGCCAGAGAACTAGAATCAGAAGTAGATCCTGAAGATATGAGTGAATTGCTACAATCTCATGATAAAACTTGAAAGAATGAAGAGTTACCTCTTATGGATGGGCAAAGAAAATGGTTTCTTGAGATGGAATCTCCTTCTGGTGAAGATGCTGTGAACGTTGTTGAAATGACAACAAAGGATTTAGAATATTACATAAACTTAGTTGATAAAGCAGTGGCAGAGTTTGAGAGGATGGACTCCAATTTTGAAAGAAGTTCTATGGTGGGTAAAATGCTATGAAACAGCATTCCATGCTGTGGAGAAATCTTTTGTGAAAAGAAGAGTCAACCAATGCGGCAAACTTCATTTTTGTTTATTTTAAGAACTTTTCCACAGCCACCCCAACCCTCAGCAAACCCTGCTTTGATTAGTCAGCAGCTCTCAACATTGAGGGGAGACCCTCCACCAGCAAAAAGATTACTAATCTGAAGGCTCAGATGATTCGCATTTTTTAGCAATAAATATATTTTAAAATTCAGGTATGTCCTTTTTTTTTTTTTTTAGACATAATGCTAGGCTGGGCTTGGTGGCTCACACCTGTAATCCCAGCACTTTGGGAGGCCGAGGTGGGCAAATCACAAGGTCAGGAGATCGAGACCATCCTGGCTAACATGGTGAAACCCCGTCTCTACTAAAAAATACAAAAAAATAGCCAGGTGTGGTGGCAGGCACCTGTAGTCCCAGCTACTCGGGAGGCTGAAGCAGGAGAATGGCATGAACCTGGGAGACGGAGCTTGCAGCGAGCCGAGATACTGCCACTGCACTCCAGTCTGGGAGACAGAGAAAGACTCTGTCTCAAAAAAGACATAATGCTATTGCACACTTGATAGACTACAGTATAGTGTAAACAACTTTTTTTTTTTTTTTTTTTTTGAGACGGAGTTTCAGTCTGTGCCCAGGCTGGAGTGCAGTGATGCGATCTCGGCTCACTGCAACACCTGCCTCCTGGGTTCAGGCGATTCTCCTACCCCAGCCTCCCAAGTAGCTGGAATTACAGACACATCGTGACCATGCCTGGCTAATTTTTGTATTTTTAGTAGAAACGAGGGTCTTACCATGTTGGCCAGGCTGGTCTCAAGCTCCTGACCTCAAGTGATCCGCCTGCCTAGGCCTCCCAAAGTGCTGGGATTACAGGCATAAGCCACCGCCCCGTCAGTGTAAACAACTTTTATATGCACTAAGAAACCAAAATACTCATGTGACTTGCTTTATTGCAATATTCACTTTACTGAGGTGGTCTGGAAATCAACCTGCAACATCTTGGAAGTATGCATGTAGACACTTGTGAGTTTTGTCCAGTCCAAAGCTAACATTGATTAGAAGTCAGAAGTAACTCTTTTAGTTACTTTAAAAGTAAAAAAATTACCTACCCTTTGAACAAATAGGATATAACAACAGTCTTATTCGGTTGACATTAAATTTAGGGCAACAGAAAGAGGTTTCTGATTGCTTTCATCACTTTTTTTCAATGTGTGAGGACTTAAGAATTGGCTTTTCTTATGCCAGAAATCTCCAAGGGACCAGTCTTAAAAAGCATATAATGATGGAAAAGCATCAGGAGCGGGTAGGACACCTATGAATCTGTGGAATGTCTAAACCTAAGAGCATCATTTAGGAACACCTGTTACCTTGGTCCCTATTATTAATCTGAGGACTGATTTGTGATATTGCAGGAGCATAAGATTTGGTAGACACTATCATTCTCAATTTCATTCTTGCTTGAGACTTTGACCACTCATAGATGGCCCCTTTCGTCATTTGATGGAGGGTGGAAAAAGCTATCTGGGGTTGGGGCCCAGCAGCCTGCATTTTAACCAACCCTCCAGGTGATTCTGATGCACTTAAAGTTTGAGAACCCCACTGTACCCCTACTTACTTAAGTAACTTTGGTATTAGAAATAACATTGCTAGTTTTTCAGAGTTGTAGTTGGAAAATTTTCTCTACTTTACCTCTTCCCCTACTTGTTAGTCTTAGGAACAGGAGTAGGTAACTTAACCCACTGACCCACAGTGATGCATTTTATCTGCAAAATAGGTAATAGTGATAGCTTCCTTGCTTAAAGTCCCACAGCCAGGATCTATACAGTCTTTGATTAGCTTCCATTATTTACAGAGTTTGAGTCTTAGGACAAGCTTTGTTTTGTTGTTTTTAAGTTTGAGGAGTGGCTTAAATTTAACCTAATAATTTAGGAATTGGCAGAACTGATACTCTCCAAAAGTGCTAAGGAGAGTTACAAGCAGAGGGATGCTACAGCCAGCACCTACTGGGTTAAAAGAGTCCATGTATGCATCTCTTCCCAATTATGTGTTTATTGACATCACATTGGTAGCTTGAAATTGGTCATGGTCGGGGGTGATTATACGATGGAAATTAGTAAATGCTATAAACTAGGGCTTTTAGTTTCAGAGAGCTGGTTGTTAAACATTTACCAGCATATCTTAGTTACAAAGTATGTTCAAATGACCTGAAGCTTCATTTGCATATTTGCTGGATCTAGCAGTTCAGATTTCTGATCATTTAAGGCTCATTATAGGATCAGCATTAGGATATATATAGATAAAATTGGTAATATGGGAATCAGATTCAGCCCACAGACATGTTTTGTTGGTCTGCAATGTATTTTTTTAATGTTAAATTACCTGTCAGCCCTTAAAAATTGGAAGATTTAACATAAAAATTTGGATTTCTGGCTCTTGAAAAATAGGGTCATCTGGTAACACTGGGCCCTCAACATCACATGGCAACAGTGGACAGCAGGTGAATTTTAAATATATGCAGGTTGACTTGTTTGCTACAGTCCTTATCATTCTGTGACTCTACATCTAGTCAAGGCCTTTGCTCCTTTGTTTTCTTACAGTCTCCTTTAAGCATTTGAGTCTGTGGCCCTTGATGTAAAGGAAACTAAGCCCCGAGAAAGAGTGTTTCTCACTAGCTGAAATCTCAACATGCTGTTTTAAGCTTTCCACAAAGTTCATTCAGTTGTACTAATGGACTGCAAAGTCTGATAATTAATTCCCAACTTGTCCTGAATTTCAGATGTCCTGTTTGAAAAATCCAAGTAGCAGTATGACTCACTGCCTGCATTTGGGACCCTGTCATTTTTCCCAGATGGTGAAGACTTTTGAGGGAGGTCTCTGTAGGGCTCAGTGAAAGTGACACATATTTTTGTTTCCCTGTCTGGGGATGCATGACCTCAAGCTTCAGAGATATCCACCCCTCAGTGAAATGTGTAGAAGAGATGTTTGCTGCTAGCACTTTGTTAGAAAATAATTTTTAGGGAAAAGGTGAAATAATGATGTTTCTTTTCTAGTACGTACGTAGATTATTTGCCTTGGCAGGTTTTTCTTTTTTCCTAGTATAGTTTCAGGAGGTCCAGCAGGACAGACTTTGTGTTTGTTATGTTGGCTCTGGAATTGGCTGTCAATATTGTTGATGAACCTCTGATTAATTTTTAAGCAGTTAACCTATACTTCCAAGACTGGCTGATGAAATTGCTACTTTTCAGTTTGGGGTGATCCAAGAGATAATAACTCCCTGTTCCACATAATAAATGTTTATTAAGCAATTATTATGTGCAGGCCTTTGAGCATAGTGCTAAGGGGCAGCAAGAGACCTAGAAAACAAGCCAGAATGTGACCTGTGCTGTAAGTGCAATGGAAGGCTGTGGAATCAGGGAGAACAGAGGAAATAGTGTTTACACTGCTATGCCCTGCTATAGTCTTTCAGGTCTCCAGATAGTTTTATACCTGTAATTTTGCTTCTTAAAACATGTATAATTACATACATCTCATACAGAAGTTTCACTTGGTAAAAAAAGAAATGTTTAGAACCATTTATGAGGTAGATTTACTTAGCACCATGGGTCATTTAGAATGTTTATTTCAAGAATAATCAAGAATACATCCACTATCTGGTTGGTAACCTATTCTAACTAATTCCGTTCTGCAGGTATACAATCAGAGGATTTTGTTAAATAAGAAATTCAAATGAGTAATGTGAAGTCAAAAATGTTGTCAAATAGGAAATTCAAATGAGTAACATGAAGTCAAAAATTTTGTTTTAGCTCTTTTTTTGTTTGTTTGTTTAGACAGAATCTCAATCTGTTGTCCAGGCTGGAGTGCAGTGACACGACCATGGCTCGCTGCAGCCTTGACTTCCCAAGCCTGAGTGATCCTCCCACCTCAGCCTCCCAAGCAGCTAGGACCAGCAGCATGTACCCCACACCAGGCTTTTTTTTTTTTTTTTTTTTTTTTTTAAGAGATGGGTCTCCGTATATTGCCCAGGTTGGTCTCAAAATCCGTGGCTCAAGTGATCCTCTCACCTCGGCGCCCCAAAATGCTGGAATTACAGGTGTGAACTACCACACCCCAGCCCGTTTTACCTCTTAACTTTTATAATGAAGATAATATCTTTTTGACAAAATATCTGAGTCTAGTACTTGTGTAGGCTGTTTCCAGACTCCAGAAGCAGTACCCATTATGACAATGAAGACACGAGAAGTACAGCAAGTCATTGGGAGATATTTGCTAGTTGTGTCACTTAGGGAAAGTTATTTAAGTTCTGTGAATCTTAACCATAGAATAAGGTTGATAGTACCAACTTTTAGGGTTTTAGGGAGAATTAAATAATCTGGTACAAGGGTTTAGCATGTAGTAAACAGTAAATACTTGCTATTATATTTTTAAAGAGATTTTTTAAAAATTTATATTGGGTCTCTTAAATTATCTTCATTTGTTCAGTTTCATGTTGGTGATTGTTAGATTTTTTTCTTTCTTTGGTCCATGGAAAATGATGTTTCCAGATCTCTGGGCCAGTAGTAATATATTTGAGGATCATAAATTAAACTTTTGAGAAGGCAAAATGGCTACCAGACCCTAAGCCTAGCCCTCAGCCAGGTCATTCCCCTTTACCTTTTTGCCCCTGTACATTTTTGTCTCACAGGAACATAATAGGGCACTTGGGGACCACCCCAGACATTAATAAAAGAGCCAACATTTTTTGAATGCTTTGTATTTGCCAAGGCTTATGTAAGCACTTTACCTATATTTTTAGGTAATCTTCACAGCAACAGTGTGCAATGAATGTTATTATTATCTTCCCCATTTTACACATGAGGGCACTGAGGTTTGAGAAATCATTCAGTTAAGTAAATTTTAGAGCTAGAATTCAAAGCCAGATCTAACTACAGAGCCCAAGCCTGGAAAAAGGGGAGTAGGGCTTTGTGGGCTCAAAGGTGATTCACCCCAGTTCCCAGTCCCTCGGGACTTCATGCTCTACCAAGGAAGTATAGCATTTTTGTTGCTTTCTGAATATTCTCAGTCTGCTCACCCTGTGTAAGCACCTCTTTCTTGGCAGCATTCCCTATTAGATTCCTGTCACTGCTATAACAAATAAACTTAATGGTTCAAACAACAGAAATTTATTCGTTTGTAGTTCTTAATGCCAGAGGTTCAAATTCAAAGCATTAGCAGGACCGTACTTCCTTCAGTGGCTCTTGGGGAGATGCCATTCTTTGCCTCTTCCAGCTTCTGGTGGCTGTCAGCATTCATTGGCCTGTTGAGCAGCACTCCAGTCTCTGCCTTTGTCTTCACATGGCCTTCTCCTTTGCATCTTTTAAATCTCTCCTGTGTGTCTATATGCTTGCCATTGGACTCAGGGCCCACCCCAATAACCCAGGATGGTCACTTCTTCTCAAGATACTTAATTAGATCTGCAAAGACCCTTTTTCCAAATAAAGTCACATTCACAAGTGCTCAGAATTAGGACATAGTGCCATCTTTCAGGGACCACCATTCAACCCACAACACACGCTGATGGGTGCATTTCAAACAATCAGGCAAGCTCTTGTCCTTTAGCATGCACTGTGGGCAGGTATGACATCTAGCCAAGGCTACTTTTCCAGTGCAGTGGCTGATTATCTGCAAGATTTTACAACTTGTTTTAAGGGTGTCTCCATGCTTTTCATGTGAATGACCCCATCTTAAATAAAACCTCTGGGGCTTCCCCTTAGATGGTCGCCTATCTCACAAGGTTTTATTTTGTTGTGTGTTTTGTTTTAGATTGCTGACCTGCAGCTGCATAAACTGGATGAACTGGACTGTCTGATTCAGGGCCTGCTTTATGTCGACTCTGTTGGCTTCAACGGCAAGCCAGAATGTTACTATTTTGAAAATCCCACAAATCCTGAATTGTGTCAAAAAAAGCCGTACTGCCTTGATAACCCATACCCTATGTTGCTGGTTAACATGGGCTCAGGTGTCAGCATTCTAGCCGTGTACTCCAAGGACAACTATAAAAGAGTTACAGGGACCAGGTAAACATGTTTCTGCTTGTGCTTGAACCCAGACCTCTTTCTTGATGACCAGTTTATAGTAAAAGGTTATTTATATTGAATACATTTTTAAAAGAAATATCTTGGCCTCCTTGGCCAACCAAAAAGAATTTATCAAATGGTGTGTTAAAGTGGTATGTGGGTGATTTATATAAATGTTAATAAAACAGTTCTTGCCTTGATAGAAACTTTGGTCAGGTTGAGGGAAGAAGGATCGCACACACCAGAAATTTGCCAAGAAGGAGGCATACATTAAGTGCCAAATGATTGGCAGGGTCAGTAGAATTCAGATGGAAGGATACTTGGGATGGTCACAGATGACTTCAGAAGGAACCTTCTTTTGGACCCTCATTGATGCCTAGCTCGGAGTGACTTGCTTGAAATAATATACCATTCCAAACAGCAAACCAAACTATGTCTACAAAGAATGTTTTTTTACCCTCAGCCAAATGCTCCACCTGAAAACTGGAATAGTCAGCATACCTCCTAGGGAATTTTGGAGTGGAGTAGACAGGGAAACAGCCCCATGGCCATGGTGGGGCAGAGGGCCTTGTTTTTCAGTGCACACACCCCAAGGCCCATGTAAGAGCCAAGGGGCTCAGCTTCCTGTTAACGGGTATTCAACATGGGAAAAACATCTAGGGTCAGATCTCTCTAAGACATCACAGTGTAAACAAAACTAAATAGGTTTTCCTTAATTCTAGGAGGAGGATTTGATATGAAGCATTTCTCCAGCATGTGGAACCATAGAACCCATTTTTAGAGGAACAACTTAGGAGATTAGTGCCATGTAGAATGTGCTTTGGGACTTGATGTTGAAACCAGTGTTTTTGATAGATGCAGATATCGTGTCACTTCTCTGGGTCTCAGTATCCTCATTTCTGCCATGAAGGGTGCTGTTTCTTAGATCGCTTCTACAGACTTTTTCCAGTACTGAAATTCTGCAGGACTACTCACCCATTAGGAGGAGAACATTGCTTTTGCAGTACATTTCCATGACTTGTGATAAATGAGTGGTTCCCCACTGAAGAGGGGAAGATTTAACAGTGTCCCCCAGGACATGTTTGACATCTTTTTTTCTTTGGTTGTTACAACTGGCATCTAGTGGGTAGAGGTCAGGGGTGCTGCCAAAATCCTATAGTACATAAGGTAACAAAAAATTATTGAGCCTCAAATATCACTAATGCTGCTGTTGAGAAACCCTGGCATGCATGTACACACACAAACACACACACACATTCTAATTGAAACCTACTTGTGTCCAGAGTATAGGCTTTGTTTTGTAAGTTAATTGCTACCAAGTATACATTTTCTCATTGAGAATATAGAAGTTTGCTTGCTCACACAAGAAACAAAACTGACTCCGTGACCTCATGAGGACTGTCAGGAATATCAGAGACATGAATATTTCAGCTGAGTTGGTTTTACATTAGAGAGTGATTTGATAAACATAATTTTTAAACAACTACAGACCGCCTCCCAGAAGGAGTAATTGAATTGGTAAAGCTAGTCCCAAGGTAACAGCAAGCTATACATTGTTCACCATTAGAGATATCTA
The DNA here is from genome assembly GCF_000001405.40 of Homo sapiens. Lineage (NCBI taxonomy): Eukaryota > Metazoa > Chordata > Mammalia > Primates > Hominidae > Homo > Homo sapiens. Next base: position 89,597,675 of record NC_000010.11, on the reverse strand, counting down.
GTTTTATTAACACTTAACAATTTAATGAATTACATCACAGGTACACTTTCTTAAACTTGGAGGCTCCGCAGATCTGGGTCATCTTGGATAGCTGCAAAGAAGCAAACTGTGGTGTTTGGCTTCTATTATGTGTGTAATAATGTCTATAAATATTGGTAAATGCCCATTAATGTCCAGTATTCTCCAGTCATCAACAAATTCTGTCTGGATGTTCAAGCTTCCCTATAAACTCTCTCTTCAATCAGTAGTTTTGGAAAGGTGCTACCGAAGCCTGCAGGTTAATAGAGAACCCTTTCAGGGGCTACCACGAGAAGGGAGGGGAATGAAACATCAAGTCTGTGGGGCTGTGATCCTGATCCAGAGTTGTTTTGCCAAAGGTTTCTTTTAATTCAAGTTAGGAAACCTCTGACATAAACGATTACAGTTAGCAGTGAAGTTAGTATCTATGGTTAGTATGAGTGTGTAAAACACATTTTGGGAACCACTGTTTTAGCAAATGGCTTAGCTTTAAGTTTTGCTACTCCTATTGTGAACTGATAGCTGTCACTCCAGGTTTTTTCTTATTGTATTATACCTGATTTTCCCATTAAACATTAAAGATGTTTATTTTTAAGAAGCTACACAGGATGTCAGTTTCCTTTTAAACATGATTTCAAATGGTTTATTTCAGTGTTATATATAATTTTGTTGCATCCCAGATTGGGTAGCAACATTTTTTTCCTAGTGACACAACTCGAATTATAGAAGTCAATGGAAGAAATAGTACTTCATAGCTGACAGTAGAATGTGTAATCTGTTAAAAGAGGAATGCAGATAATTTTGAAACTTTGGTGAAAGTAGCAGTACATCTCATCTCATTATTTTGGAATCTGTTTTAAGGGCATGAGCACTTAATTGAAGGTTTCTTCTGCTGTTTCCTAACATCCCCCACTATGATGTTGTTTGTTTTATTTTTAAATGATGATAATATTCTACAGCTTTTTCTTGCATTGTTTTTCTCTCTGATATACTGAGAGTTTTTACTGTATGCCTACTGAAACAAACAGATGCATCTGATTGTGAGCAAGAAAATCACTTGATTAAATAATGGTTAGCAGGTTAAGGATATTAATAAAGTGCTGGGAGACATTTGGCTCTTCTGCAGCCATGCATTCTTTCCTCCTATCTGCAGTGCACTCACTGTGCAAATGCATGCTCGCTTTACCTCATTTGCTCCAATTCTTTATGTGGAGTTGTCTGTCATTTTCCAGTCATACAAGGCACTTGCCCTTTTTCATTTATACCAACACATCAGCCAATGGGTTACCTTCTTTCTAAGTTAGCCAGTGTCTTCAGTTGCCTACCTTTGGAGTGGGTTGTTGAATGCCTCGATTGATACAAATCCTTAATGTCCAAAGAAAGATTATTCATGGGGATGACAGATATTTAGAAGCTAGAAATGGAAGCAAAGACATCTTTCTAAAAACACACAGGGAGAAAACAAAACAAATCCAAATAGCACACAAACCAAAACATGTTCCCACCGTAGTTTTGTAGGTAGGCTGAAACCAGCAATGTAGAATGACATACTGCATTAAATGTGAATAAAGATAAACTTTCTTAGAGGAAATCCAAAGTTTGTACTGTGACTAAGTTGTGAAGGTAATAATGTACATGGACCTCTTCCTTTACTCATGGAACTGCATCTACAGTTTGGGTATCTGCTACTGGTGGTACCTAGCTACATAATTTTCCATGAAAACCCATAATTTCAATCATATATATATGTGTGTGTGTACATATATATATTAGTAAATGAAGTTATATATATATATATATATATATATATATATATATATATATTTTTTTTTTTTTTTTTTAAGATGGAGTCCGGCTCTGTCACCCAGGCTGGAGTGCAGTGGTGCAATCTCGGCTCACTACAGCCTCCACCAGGGTACAAGTAATCCCCGCACCTCAGCATCCAGAGTAGCTAGGATTACAGGCGCGTGCCACCAAGGCTGGCTAATTTTTGTATTTTTAATAGAGACAGGGTTTCACCGTGTTGACCAGGCTGGTCTCAAACTCCTGACCTCAGGTGATCCACCCACCTTGGCCTGCAAAAGTGCTGGGATTACAGGCATAAGCCACCACGCCTGGCCTCAATCAAGTATACTTTTATACAAATGACAATTTAAGAATATTACACATAGTTTCACTATTTCATTTTATTTTATTATTTTTTGAGATGGAGTCTCGCTGTGTCTGTCGCCCAGGCTGGAGTGCAATGGCACAATCCCGGCTCACTGCAACCTCCACCTCCTGGGTTCAAGCAATTCTCCTTCCTCAGTTTTCTGAGTAGCTTGGATTACAGGTGTCAGCCACCACACCTGGCTAATTTTTGTATTTTTAATGGAGACAGAGTTTCACCTTGTTGGCCAGGCTGGTCTCAAACTCCTGACCTCAAGTAATTTGCCTGTCTCAGCCTCCCAAAGTGCTGGTATTACAGGCATGAGCCACCACGCCCGGTCAGTTTCGTTTTAGATGCATCTTCAAGAACTATGTACCTATCTACAGTTTTGTACCTTCTTGTTAACAGTTATTGACATTATTAAACATAACCTTAATCCCAAATTGATTTTATTCTTAGAAGTAAAAGCCAGTGCTCAAACACAAATTGAATTTCCAAAGCTAGTAGCTCTTTGGGGCTTCAGAACAGATGGATGTGAGCAGCTCTTCTTCATTTACTCTTCTACATGGTAAAGAAATAGGAAAACCTATGTCCATTAGCTTTAGGAATCAATACTCCTTTTCCTGCTGGGAGTTCACTGGCGATACTTTACTCTGAATCTGCTTTTCTTTCCATTAGGTAACTTTGATATTAATACACAATTGAGTTCATTCTTGGCTACTGTAATTACTTTCTAATTTTGTCTAGGCTGTTTTAGAGGAACTTTCCCTCTAAACAAGTCAAAGCTTTTTAAATGTAGTTCAACCATTGGAACCACTTTATGACCTTTGTTACTGTTTTTTACTATGGAGTGGTAAGTAATATACTAAAAACCTTCTGGAGAGTCTACTAGGAAAAAATTCAGTATCAGATCAGTGGTTCCTTTCTAGAAATATTCAAGGAGGCTAAATGAGATTATCTCTGCTAGAGAAGCAAGGTCAGGTAAAACACAGCTTTTAAGACAGGCCACTCCTGGCACAATCCTGGGTCAGTTTTGTCATCAGAGGGTTTGGCTTCATAGCTTTGAACTATGCTTTATGTACACACAAATTCTTTTTCTAGGTATTTATATTCAGCTGCATATGGTTTTTTAATAGGAGTTATTTCTTGGTTATTTGCTGCTTTCAGACCACCCAAATAGAAGAGATCATGATTTGGCCCCATTTCATAGGTGGGAAGGCTGAACAAAGCACTCAGGTTAGTGGCTAGTTGAAGGTCTCACAACAGAAATCAGTGAGAGTCTTTCTTTGGTTTTGTTCTCAAATTTAGGGGCAAATTTTCCTTGATGTTTATTTTTAGTCTCTGCCCTCTTTTCATATCCAGTCTACCCTAAAGCTCTGTTGCACCCTAGCACTTTAATTCAAGTGCCCCTTTGTTCGTCTGCTTTTATTCACCCATATTAATAGTCTTGACGTAGTTGGGGACTTGGATGGGCATATCTTAAAGTAAAATTTAAAAATAAACCTTATTATTCCTTCAGTCTTGGAGGTGGAACATTCCTAGGCCTATGTTGCTTGCTGACTGGTTGTGAGACCTTTGAAGAAGCTCTGGAAATGGCAGCTAAAGGCGACAGCACCAATGTTGATAAACTGGTGAAGGACATTTACGGAGGAGACTATGAACGATTTGGCCTTCAAGGATCTGCTGTAGCATCAAGGTAGAGATTAAGTAGCTAGGAGCAGTAGTGATTAAACACAAGGCAGCCTCTCCACCCTGGCCATTCACTAAGTTGTTTTAAAATGTCAGTCCACCAGCCTGGTGCAGATACCTGTTGTATCAGAGCTCAGACTTGATCTCCTGCCCTTGATGAAGCACTGAGATGTTTAGCTCTTGATGCTTGTTCTTAAAATAAGGCAACTTTGAAAGAAGGTTCTAGAAAACTGCAATAGTTTCACCTGTTCCATTCTTGTCCAGATATCTAGAGGCATTAATTTTCCCCCCCCATTAATGGACATGCTACTTTGTCCCTATTAAGAAAAGGGCGGTCAGCCATGCATACTATAATTCTGTCTGCTTATAAACCATAGTAGCAAAATTGGATCACTTGAGTTTGAACAGTTACTCGTAGAGCCTTCCACAATACTTTGGTGGAAGGATGGGCCCTGCCTGAGGACGATTTTGAACACTCTCGCTGATATTTCCAACATAGCTTTGGCAACATGATGAGTAAAGAAAAGCGAGATTCCATCAGCAAGGAAGACCTCGCCCGGGCCACATTGGTCACCATCACCAACAACATTGGCTCCATTGCTCGGATGTGCGCGTTGAATGAGGTAAGGCCTTACTCAACCCGGTGAAAGCTGTGTGTCATTCATATACATCATCTTGGCAGTGCAACACCTGTTGACTCTTACACAACTACATATCCTTAGGAAAGCTTCCCTTTACTCTAGTCACACTTTACAGAACAGGAGGGGTGTGTGTTGGGGGAGGGGGAGGAATATATGCTTTATTTTTAAGAAGGCACTGGATGATAATGAATGATAAACCATTCACCTGTGGAAACAGGATACAATTACAACCCATGTCATAGTCTCTCTAACCATCATTATTGCCATGTGTCCACTGAAATGTGAGGAAAAGGTCTGAGCATCCTTGCACATAACTGCAGGTAAAATGCTCGACTTGCAATATTCGATATTCTCTCTGCTTTCAGCTTCTTTACAGTGTTGCCTTGTGGCATGGAGTTCAAGCAGCATTGTACAGGGCTATCAAAGCACAGAGAGCTTGCTACAGCCAAGGCCAGCCAGAGTCCCAGGCACAAAAAGGGGTGGAGCTGGTGACATACAAAGTTGTATTAACATGTTTTGAAGCATTGCAAGATTCGTTTGGAAAAAATTGAACCTTTTCTGAAATACAAGGTGTATAAAGTAGAACTCTTCACACTGAGGTATATTAGAAAGACAGGAAAGAGGAGTTGAGGCATGGAACAGGTCATAGGAGAGTATTAAAGAACCACAGTAGATCTGTAATGGAGTTTTTATAAATACAGCTTTTAATAGAGGTGACATACATACAGAAGAAGGCTCAAATTATAAGCTTACAGTTTAATTTACACACACAAGCAACCCTGTATAGCCATCACCCAGATCAAGAAATAGAACATTATAGGTACTCAGAAAGCCCCTTGAGCCCCCTCTCAGTTGAATAGTTGAATGTTAGTGTATGAGGCAGTCTTTATGATACATGGGTGTTAGCCCTGCCTTTGAGTTCTGGGTTGACAAAAAACATACTCTCCTTGCATAACACTGAACAGAGTATGTTACTGGCCTGCAGATCAGCGATATACCTTTTTGGAAGCCCTCAGTTCAGACGGAGTTTAAATGGGAGGCTGATACTCAGAGAAAAGAGCATTCCAGAGATGTTTTTTCAAAGTCCACTTGAGTCATGGGACTCAATGTAACAGAGTTTATTTCTTGACATTAACCTTTAAAGGGAATTTTTCCAAGTAATGAAACAAGCCCCAAGACCAATATGTGTGTAGTTGGCTGTACTCATGGGCTCTCAAAGGTCAGCTGGTAACAACCCTTGCCCCACAGAGCAATAGATGCCCTTTCCCCTACTTTCCGCAGAGCTGGCTTCTTGTGCTTTTTGCTGGAGTGAGCCAGCAGGTCAGCAGGTCTTTTCACAGGCATCAGAATCCCTTTGGGAGAGAGCAACTGACTTTACTTTTCACTTTTGATTTCAATTTCAATATTGTTGATTGGTGGAGTAGAGCGAGTGCCAATTTGAAAATGTAGCCATGTTATACACTGGTTTGAGCAACTATTTTATATGTTTCTGTGGGGCTGAATGAGTGAAGGGAATCACCAGTCGCCTTGGGGCCAAGGCTCTACCAGAGGGTGTCCAGTCAGTGCAGACTCCCAGTGGCCGCACCAGTGACTGGCAGTGTTGCATTTCCCATGAGAGCAGCCACCAAGTCCCTCAGTCCTTGCTTTGCTCTCTGGAGTCACTGATTTGAGAACCTTTGATTGCAGCCATTTCATTGAGGGACACCACGTTTACCAAATCTAAAACATTTTTGCTGTGATTCTTGAGATGCTGTGAAATGCTTCCCCATCAGTTATAAATTTTCTGATTCAAATTTTTGGATAGATAATACAAACACATAATACAGACTTCTAAGACATTAGAAGGATACACAAGGAAGTGAGTCACCATTTCCACTTCTGTCTCTCAGTGTTAACCTCAGTAGAGGCTGCCATTTTTTTTAGGGTTTTTTTGTTTGTTTTTATTGTACGTATTACAATATATCTTTGTTTATATTGTATGTAATGTAGGATACATTTATCTTTCCAAAGGTAGCAAACTCTATATAGCATTCTTTTTACAAAATAATAGCTTTATTGAAATATAATTATATGCTATACAATTCACCCTCCATATACTATTCTATATCTTGCTTTATCAGCTTTTTATTAAGAAAATTCATAAACATATGTAAAGGAGAGAGAACAGTATAAAGAACCTCCATTAATCCATCAGTGCAGATTCTGCAATCATTAAGGCTTCACAACACATGCTTTCTCTATATTTTCTTCTTCCTCCTCCCTCTGGTCCTCTCTCCTTCTTCCCTCTTTTTTGCTAAAATACTAGAAAACAAATCCCAGATATTATATCAATCTACCCTATATATTTTAATAAGCATCTCTAAAAATACTGCCTTTTGCTTTTTGACGTAATAACGCATCTTGAAATTGATCATATCAGTATATTTTAAATTGCTTCATTTTTAATGGCCATATAGCATTTTAACATATAGATATGCTGTTATTGATTTGTTCAATTTCCTAATGATATTTAGGTTTTTCCAGTCTTTTACTATTATTTAAAAATTCAGTGTATTTGTATACGGTATACACACATATATGTACACACATGTATATTATTTTGCCTACATGTGAGTATATCAATAGGATAAATTCCTAGAAGGGAACTTGCTGAGTCATCGGATATGTTGATTGTAATATTAACAGATATAAAGTTCCCTCCATAAAGGTGGTTCTAATTTACATTCCCACCAAGCAGGGTTATAACGGTACAAGTTTCTCCACAGAGTTATCAAACTTTTTGATTTTTTTCAATGTAATAGGTTAAAAATTATACCTTATTTTGGGATTAACTATTAATATTATTTACTCATTACTCTATTGGGTTGTTGGACTTTTTTTCTTGTTGATTTATGGAACTCTTTATTAATTAACAAATCCATTTTATGTGAAATGTACTGATAATATTTTCCATTTATTGCTTCCCGTTTGGATTTGTTTGTGGTGATGTTTTTCCCCGAATAAATTTAACTTTTTAAAGTAAATGTAGCAATTATTTTGAGATGATTTCCTTTATTATGCATTTTCTACTTCAACTTTTTTTTCCAATTCTTCCATATTTTTCCCTATCTCTTTTTCTTTTCTTTCTTTCTTTTTTTTTTTTTCTTTTTTAACATCTTTGACCCACCTGGAATTTATTTGAAACATGGAATGCTCTTCCAGTTTTAATGCCACTTCTACTCCTTCTGACTTTCTATTAGGGTAATGCAGGACTGGGCTTTGAGCAAATCCTCCCTTGGACTCCCCTGTTTTGGGAGAAAGGGCAAAACTCCTCAATTTAATTAAATTTCTTTTTAGTCTGAGTTTCTTAGAGTGTTCCTTGCTACCTCTTAGTTTGGGTGATTTGTGGCTAGTTTTTTGTTTTTTTTTTTAATGAAAATTTATTAAAACTACCTCCACTCCTCCACCCACGGAAAATTTTCAGTGGCTAATGGGTTAATGAACATTCATTGTTAAAACTTGAGGCAGTTAAAAGGTGATGTTCCCAGACCCTGATTACTCTTGATAGACTAAGCAGAAAATAATACCAGCTTCAAAGACTCTCTTGCCTTTGATATGAGTGACCATAGCAACTGGCTCTAAGTGAGTGAGTGAGTGGTGAGCAGTCTCTGCATGGTAGACAGGTTGAGCTCCAGTTTGAGCTTAAGAAATATCTCGGGGAGTGGGAAGTATAACGAGTGCACTGGAGCTAGAAGCTTACGGGATTTGAAGCATGTCTGCATGAACCGGATAGGAGAGGAATGTTCATAAGTGTATGTTCAGAATGCAAAGCCACATCCATGATGACAAAAATAGAATTATTTTTTGTTACCATATTTTAACTCATGTGTTGGCCAAACAGGATATTCCACCACATATCCTGAGGGCAGAGACTGAGTATTCTTTCTTCTTTGTATTTCTAGTGTCCAGCACAGAACAAATTGAGCATTATTCATTACACAAATAAACCATACCATAGCCGTTTTATTTGTGAGTTGGTTATAAGAGTATTTTATACCTAGAAGTTGGGGGATTGAGGTATTACACATGAAAATTTAGCTGAACTTGAACTCCAGTTAAAATTGTATATATACGTATGTTTTGAGAGCTTAATGTCAGACGTAAGGCAGTCTGACATAACACCTGCAAATAAGTCCAATATCAGTTTCTGCCTTGCCCAACAAAAATCTCAGCCTCTTGTTCTTGTGGAATGCACTATAAGGTTGGTTTAACTTCATTTTGGCGATGTTGAAATAATTCCACCAAAAAAACAAGGAATATTCACTCTTCAAGGTTCTGTACAGAGACATACAGAACATTGGGTCTTTGCCAAATGCTATTTTTATGCCATGATTCAATTGTTTTCTTTAATATTTTTTCCAGAACATAGACAGAGTTGTGTTTGTTGGAAATTTTCTCAGAATCAATATGGTCTCCATGAAGCTGCTGGCATATGCCATGGATTTTTGGTCCAAAGGACAACTGAAAGCTCTGTTTTTGGAACATGAGGTAGGTTGAGCTTGCATAGACTTACTGTCATATGTGGAGTATATTTTGGTTTGGCTAACATATCAGCAGGTCTCTTAGCTTTTTAAATTGGTCAAGTAGAAAAGTTGCCATTTACACTTTGCATTTACACAAAGGATAAGAAAAAAGCATATATAAAATGGAAGCGTTCTTATCCAACAACCAGGACTGGTAGTTGGTTAATTTAATTTTTTAAAAAGTCACTGGAAATGTAAATTAGGACAGTCATTATAGAAAACTGCATGGAAGTTTCAAAAAAACTAAAAATAAAATTACCATATGATCCAGCAGTTCCACCTCTGAATACTTACCCAAAAGATTTAAAATCAGTATGTCGAAGAGATGCCTGCACTCCCATGTTTATTGCAGCACTACTCACAATAACTAGGTTATGGAATTATCCTAAGTGTCTATCAGCAGATGAATGGATTTTTTTTTTAATGTGGTACATATACACAATGGAATACTATTCAGCACTTAAAAAGAAATTCTGTAATATGCAACAACATGGATGGAATTGGAAAAAATGCTAAGATAAGCCAGGCACAGAAAGACAAATACTACATGTCCTCACTTATTTGTGGAATCTAAAACAATCAAACTCATAGAAGCAGAGAGTAGAATGGTGGTTACAGAGGCTGGCGGGTAGAGGAAATGGGAACATACATTTCAAACTTGTAAATTTCAAATGTTCTCACCAAAGAAATCTAAGTATTTGAAGTTATATACATGTTAATTAGCTTGCTTTAATTATTTCACATTGTATTCATAAATCATAACCTCACTTTGTACCCCATAAATATATACGATTATAAGTTGTCAATTTATAATAACATTTTTAAAAAGTTTTAAAGTCAGATAAAATGAGTAATCATTAATGAAAGCTTTCTTCAACCATTTTATTATACCTTAAAATGTGTAAATGTGCACTTACTTACCAATCTTTTGATGTGAGACCAACGCCTATTTTTGAGCATGGTTTCTCCGATTGGAGTCCTGTAGTTATCTTTCTTTCATAATCTACAATATTATGCACCTCCTTTGATTTCCAGTTTGTTTCCTTAAAGTGGATTAAGAAGATAAAGATACTTATGAAGTAAATTGGTTGCAGAATGTTTACAGGTTTTTCTCTCTCTCTTTCACGTTGTGGCATCCACCTAAGTAGACAGCAATTATTTCTGACTACCTTTTTCAATATTTCTCAAGAATTTAACTGAATTTTCATAGAACTGACCATTAATTTGTGCTCTTTTTATTGATTTAGGTGGTATATAGTTAAACTAGATTATTACATTACAATCAACCTGTCATAAACAAATTTAAGGATAAACACAGCTGACTCTTGGCAAGTAAGCAATTCAGCTGGTAAGAACAGAAGTGCTTGGGCTACTAAGAGTAGCTTATTGGCCTTGAGAGGTCAGTGTACCTGACCATTAGTGAACCTCTTTACAAAGGAAATGGAGAGTGTCAGTAAATTCAGAGTCCCTTATTGGAGTTTCTTTTTTTTTTTTGAGACAGAGTCTCCCTCTGTCACCCAGGCTGGAGTGCAGTGGCGCAATCTTGGCTCACTGCTACCTCCACCTCCCAGGTTCAAGCAATTCTCGAGCCTCAGCCTCCCAAGTAGCTGGGATTACAGACGTGCGCCACCACACCTGGCTAATTTTCATATTTTTAGTAGAGGGTTTCACCATGTTGGCCAGGATGGTCTCGAACTCCTGACCTCAGGTAATCCACCCGCCTCAGCCTCCTAAAGTGCTGGGATTACAGGCGTGAGCCACCCCGGCCCCCTTACTTGGAGTTTCTACCATAATATAAACCAAAAAGTGGGGGCCCTTCTCTCTTCCACCTCCTCTGTCACCTCCTTTAAAATCAATGCTGCAGTGCTGCAATGAGCTATCACTGGAGGTATCTAATCTCTTGTATACACTGCAGCAGAAAAACATTGAGAGAGCTGGTATTGTCAATTTCAATTGTAATGAATAACTACTGTGCCATTTTTTTCTCATTTTTAAGCTGAGCTATTTATTTAAGAAGTTACCAATGCATTTAGAGTTATTTAGAACTCTCTATGCCTGCATTTTGTTTTATTAAAGTATATGAAACAGGTACTTAAATACAAAATAGTTAAGGCCCAATGATAGAAATTCATACTAAAGAAAGCTCTTGTTTTTAAAGCAGACTTTAGGCATTGAGTGAGGGGGAATGAGGTCCCAGAACCTCCACTCCCTACCCCCCACAGCCAGAATACCTGATTATTTATGGAGTTTCCATGTAAGGTTTTGTTTGAAAAAGAAAAAAACATCTCAGCCTTTAAAAAAAATAATGAAAAAGGAAAAAGAAAACTCCTGTTCTAGTCCAGATAGAGTTGCCATTTTTAGCAATAAAAAATACAGGGTGCCCAGTTATTTTATCTGCCATTTATCTGTGTCTTATCTGGTAACCATAAGTCCAGATCTTCTTGGCCTAATGCAGACAACAAAGCCTGGAAACTGTCAGGGATAAAAAGTCTTCTATAACATCAGGTGGGAAGTTAGGTGGTAAGATAGGAAATAAAAGCCAACATTTTGGGGAAACTCACTTCTGTAGGTAAAAATGTAGTCGCCTATATCACCCTGTACAATCCTAAGCCTCTGTGGACTCTGGCTTTGGTTTGTTACCCTATATCATAACTCAGTCTCTATGGCCAGTGAAAATGGAGTATTCTTGTAACCCTCATAATGTGTTCCTCAGAAAATTCTCTACATTCTTAAATTCCCTCTGGCTTACGCGGGCCTTACTAGAGAATATTATGGAGAGACAACTTTTGAGAAGCACGGGTATGGTGGCTTTCTGGTCACCTGCCCTGGCCTTAGGAGTCCTCACTAAATTTCTCATTCATTCAACTAATGTTACTGAACATCTCTTAAGAGAAGTCATCTAGCCAGGTAGTTAAGAACACTGCGTTTTACTGACTGTGAGATCTTAGACAATGACTCTGTCTCTCCATTTCTGTTTTAGCATTTGTAAAATGGGGCAATTATATTTGTCTCATAGAGTTATTGTGATGGGTAAATGAGTAAATCCATGTAAAGTGCTTAGAACAACTTCTAGCATTAGTGGGGCCTCAATAAATGTAAGCAGACAGCAGCAGCAGCAGCAGCAAAGATCCATCCACATCCTGCCACACTCACACCTACTGCTGCAGTTATAACTATTGAGTTCAGCAAGTGCCAGAAGAATGGAGCCTCCTGCCTTTTGGAAACAGATTGCTGTGGACTGATTATTTGTGCCGTGACCAACTTCAAATGTCTATGTTGAAATCCTAATCTACAAAGTGATGGTATTGGGAGGTGGCCTTTGGGAGGTGATTAAGTCATGAGGGCTGAGCCTTCATGAATGGGATTAGCATCCTTATAAAAAGGTCTAAGGGAGCTCCCTTGCCCCTTCCACCACGTAATCCAGCCATGTGAGATTACAATGTGAAGACAGCTATCTGTGAGGAATGGGTCCTCACCAGACACCTTGATTTTAGACTTCCCAGCCTCTAGAACTGTGAGAAACAAATTTCTATTGTTTATAAGCCACCCAGTCTAGGGTACTTTGTTATATATAGCAGCCTGAACAAACTAACACATAGTTCTCTAAAAATTTATATTTTTTAGTTCCTTTCATTTTCATAGACGTATGGTCTTTTATTTTACAGATGGGCAAAGTAAGGCTTGGACTAATTTAAGTGCCTTTGCAAGAGCTACTGAGGGAAGTTTAGGGTTTTCTCTCATGAAATATAGCTTTAAAGTCAGACAGATTTGGTATTGAGCCCTGGTACAAGACCTGTGACCCTGCAAGGGTAATTTACTTTATTACCTTCCATTTCTCATATGTGAAATAATAGTCAGTGTTTTGCCATGACAAAGATAAAGATGAAATAGTTATAATACTAACAACCCTGGCACACACTTAGCACACATGTACCAGACATAGTTCTAAGCATTTACATATGTGAATGTATTTAATATATATAAGTAGGTGTCCAATAAATTATAGTTGTTATTATTCTGCCATGTTTTGTGACACACAATTTAGGTTTTAAATTTCTCTTTTATCGATATTAGTGGCATTCCTAGAATTATTAAAAACAATACATATTTGGCTAAGGTTCAGAGATCATCGTTTTGTATTGTTTTCGTAGGGTTATTTTGGAGCCGTTGGGGCACTGTTGGAACTGTTCAAAATGACTGATGACAAGTAGAGACGAGCAGTGGAGGAAACAGCCTCCCAAAAGGACAGAGAACTAAAAAATTGCTGCTGGAGAAGGTGAAAGTCGCTTTGGGACGGAAGCCAAGCCATTATGGCAGATGAACCTGCTGGATTTGTAAATAATTTAAAATCCTTCCAGATGATCTTTTACTCTTAGGTTTTGAGCTAATGATTCAAAACGGGGGAATATAAAAGGTTTTTTTTCTGTATACTGTATTTTTTTAAAAAAATGGTGCAGCGTGGCCAAACCTACCAATTGTATGCATTAACTTTGAAAAGTTGTTTGATGTTTAAGAAGGACCTGATATGTAAGCGCTGGTCATTTTTCTTCTGGGGTTTACTGATCAGTGTGGTGATTTTAACTTCATTTAGTAATTACTCTAGGAGATTTTACCTTGACTTATATTTTTCATGACGTTTCATGATTTGCTGTTGGTTTCAAATGAAACTACAAATCTGGCATGTTTTACTGTGAACACTTTTGTTATTTGTTTTGTACCCTTTTTTGTCTTGTTTTTCTGTTTTAGTTGTCTTCTGAAAAAAGAGTCGTTCCCTCTGTTTCTGTCCTCAGATGATGTCCCTCCCCCTACCTGTAACCTTTCTTTGACATAATTGTTCATATCAATGAAGGTGCTGACCAGCTCAATACAAAGTTAAGCACAAGATCTAAAGCTCTTGAAAATGCCCGTGAAGAGAAGACTGAATGTGTTAATGAATTTAATGAGTCTGGCAAAAGTTGCAAATTATATGCAAGTTTGTCCTATCGCTTATAAATGTAGTGTTTCATTGGATTTATTTTATGCTAGGTTATATTAAGTTGAAATAGTCTGTGATTAAATGTCCTCATCCATGCACAGAATATGAATGGCAGCAAATCTTTGTGCAAGAAATTTGAAACTTATTGGGAAAAGCCTCCCAGTAGATTAATTGTTCATATCAGGAGATTTAGGGTAAGTCATGGGTTGAGGTGTCAGATAGTAATATCTATTTGTTTTGTACATGTATATATCTAGGAACTTTGTAACAACACATCTTTAATAATGTTAAAGGTTTTTTCATTTTTAATATTTTAAACTAAAAACTGTACTTCAATCTCAGTTTCTAAAATTAAAAATAATTTATACTGATCTATATATTTTTTCTTTTTGAAAGATTTCATTAAGACTGATGGGTAACTTTCAAATGAGGGTCATGTACAAATATTGGGATGCATGAGATCCCATGATCTTGTGTATTGAGCTTATTGTTGAAAGGGATTTTTGAAGGACAGAACAATTACTCCATGATGAATCTTCCTTTCTCTGCCTTCTGAGCACCGTCTTTAATTTCCATATCTTCAAGTCTTGAAGAAGTTGATGTTAATTGAAGAATTCACTTGTCTGGTTGAAATAAAGCCTGTTTCTGTTGTGATGTTTTTAGTGTATATGTTATTTTCATTTCTTAATTCTCATGTTTATAGTATCTGCTTTGTACCATGAAATGACTGTCTGTTGTGTTTTTGCTACTCTACATTTCAAAATTGGAGGCTTTCCCATGAGTGTGGTATGGTCCAAAACACTGTCTTCAGGTGAAGCTGTAGCCCTATGCATAGATTTTTAAAATAGAGCTTTATTGTTTCTATACAAGTGACTCCTTAATGCCAACTACCTCTGCTATATTTGGTAATTCCAAAGGAGTTTCAAAATTTGGTCATCACAGATACATTTTACCAACTTCTATCTGGCTTTAAAAAAATTCAGACAGCTAAAGTGTTCTTGAAAAGGATAAGTTAAAAATCTACATATTATTTATAATTAGTGCCTTTTGATGGCCTCTTCTATTCCTATTCTCATCTATCAGGTAACAGCAGACCTTGATTCCGCAGATCATGGTTCTACAAAGGAAATCAGGGCAAGTTAGTGTGACTGTATTTTTTTTAATTATCTGAAATCACTTGATCTCTCATTACAAACATTTAAAATATTGGTGTAGCTGAGAAAATACATTATTCCATTATACAAATATCAGTTAAATGTTGACTACATATAGCCAGCCTGTTTTTTACAAAAGAGATCTTGTAGCCTGAGGATTTTCACATTCACTTGAATTACAGAAACTTTTCTTAGAATCAACATCACAAAGAAACTGGGAAGACTAAAGAATTTTGACCTTGTGCAATATGAAGTAAGAGCATGGCTTTTTATCGTGAGGCAGCTTCAGTCTGGGTCCAGCTTAGTCAGTTACCAGTTCAAAGATATGCTAAGCCTCTTTCTAAACCATAGTTTCCTCACCTATAAAATGGGACAAATAATTGTTTTACATACATATTTAAAGAGCTCAGCACAGGGGTTGACACAAAGTAAATGCTTCATTAATGATAGCTACAATGAAAAAATAAATTATTTAAACTAATTTATTAAATCAGTAATTCTTAACTTTCTGGATTGTGGGAAACCCATGTTAGTATGGAGATGTTTCACCAATCTCCGTATGCTAATACATATCCACAGCTCCTTGTCCACACTTCCAAAATCCCATACTTAAGAAATCTATCTTGACAGCTCACTTGGCAGCAAAAGCTGACTTGAGCATTATTTCTCACATGTAGTAGGGCTCTTCACATGTTTTGTTGCAAAGCTCGTCATGAGTTAGATAACAGGATACTGACTCTGACAGGGGTGTTAAGTAATAAACGATTTTGAATTGGCTGGGTGTGGTGGCTCACGCCTGTAATCCCAGCACTTTGGGAGGCCGAGGCAGGCGGATCATGAGGTCAGGAGATCGAGACCATCCTGGCTAATACGGTGAAACCCCGTCTCTACTGAAAATACAAAAAGCTAGGCATGGTGGTGGGCACCTGTAGTCCCAGCTACTTGGGAGGCTGAGGCGGGAGAATGGCGTGAACCTGGGAGGCAGAGCTTGCGGTGAGCCGAGATCACACCAATGCACTCCAGCCTGGGAGACAGAGTGAGACTGTCTCAAAAAAATAAAATAAATAAATAAATAAATGATTCTGAATTTTGAAACACATCTGATCCCGAGTTTTAGACAAAGGGATTGTGGAAATATAGTTGTGTTCTTCACCTTATGCAGTATACATGGATTCAGAGTCTCTTTGTTGGGAACAATTGTTATAGGTAATGTATACTTGATGTCGTTCAGTCATAGAAGGAATATTAAGAAGTTACTCTGTGCCAGGAAGGAACTGGAGACTAAGATGCATAGGATACAGCCCCTGCAGAGAAAGACAGCAAAATCTCAAGCCAACATCAGTCATCAAGTGCCACAAGTGCCATTCAATCATTTATTCATTCACATTCACAGCAGTAAACAGAACAAAGATCCACCATCACAGAGCTTATATTCTAGAAGGGAAGACAGGTACATTACTAAATATATAATGTTAGATCAGTACTACAAAGAAAAAGTAAGCTGGTGTAAAGGCTAAATAAGGGGTAGTTCTATTCAGAAAAATGAGAAGGGGAGGAATATCTCAGGGTGGTCTAAGACAGCCTTTCCTAGGAAGTGACCTTTGAGCAGAGAGTTGAATGGAGGTGAGAACACATTGTGTAAATGTCTGAGAAAATATTTTTCACTCCTGGCAAATGAAAATAGGGATTTGAGGAACTGCAAAGAGGCCAGTGTCTGGAGTTAAAAATAGAAAGTGGTGGGAGATGCAGTGTTGGGAGTAAACTTGAGCCAGGTCCTATAAGAAATCTGTGAGGGTAGTGGCCTCTACCCAGAAGAGAGGTTGGTCATTTGTCTTCCAGAAGGTGCTAGAGAAGGTTTTGTGAAGTCTTAACCAAAGAATAGGAATCACTAAGTGGAGAGGAAGGGAGGGCTTTCCAAGCAGAGGGAGCTGGGTGAGCAGAAGCGCTGAGGGAAGAAACCACTTGGCTTATTCAGGGACTGGAAGCTCTTTGCTATAGCTGGAGCCTGGTTCATGAGACAGAAACCAGGTAGTGAGAAAGAGGAAGCTGGCCCAACTGTGGAAGGACTTGTCTTCCATGCTAACATTGCGGACTTTTCCGTAGTCACTGTGGAGCCATCAAAGAGTTTCAAGGAAAGTGAAACTAGAAATAATCAGGTTTCAAAGTGGTAAAGCAAAATGCTCTGTTGAAGTAAATGAGTAAACAAGTTACGTACTTTTGAATACCTAACATTATTCCATTTTTTTCCCTATTGTGCCAGACCTCATGCAGTAGCTACAGAGTGAACCATGCTTTCGCTGTAAGTAGGATGGCTATAAAAATTATTGAGAACTTTCTCAGAGGACACAGGCTACTAATAGCTACAGCCCCACTATGAGTCTATTCATTGAGCAAGAAGGTTTCAATACTGGGAGCATCGTAAACTATCACTCACAAGAATTGTTAGAAAGCAGTTTTCCTCCCAGTGATCAGAAGATGACGCCACATTTGTGAAAAAGATTTCATTAGTGTACATCGTTTATTAGGTCTACCAGCTGCCCATTCTTTTGCTCATCTGTTTAATTTTTAATAAATATCAATGATCTGAGAGGCATTGGGTAGCACTGAGGATGCAATCCGATGTGAACAAGACTTCAGGAGCTCTGCTTTCATTAGGCTTACATTTGGTTAATGGAGATAAACTTGAAGCATATAAACCAATAAATAAACAAGAAAATATCAGGGAGTGACAATTGCTATTAAGGAAAGAAACAGGGTGATAGGATAGAGAGGGAGGAGAGAGACTTCTTCAGTCAGATGATCATAAAATGCAAGTATGATTAAGTCATGGCCTCAACTTTTAAGGAATGATGGGCTCACCTTGCTTTCATTCTTGCCACCTCCTCAATGAAAATGAAAGATGTTTTTGGGAAACTGATAGCTAATTTTCTTTTTCTTAGAATATTTGATTTAGATAATATGTATTTAAAATAAAGTTATCACGTAAAATAATATATTGATTTAGTAATGCACCTTTTTTCCCCTGCTCATTTAATGAAAAAATATTATTTGAACTGTTTACTTGAATCTTTATTGTTAATGATTTTGTCATGACCAGAGTCATTTAATAGTTTCCACAGCACAAGTTTGAAATTTAATACTTTTTAAATTTGTGATGTGTTGACCACTGGGTTTTTAAAAAACCCAGCCACAAACACCTATTCCCATGATGAGCTCAATTATTTCACATTCCAAAAGGTGTCTCTTCAGTGTAACCATGTATGTCAAGCCTTGCAAAGTCAACTTCAAAAGGCTAGTTTACAAGTATTCGTCACTTGCAATACAAAAATAAAAAGGAATTTTGTATAAAAGTCTTTGCCTGTTTTTTTAAATTATCAAGTAAATAAACATTCCAAACTAGAATTAATTGAGGTGATTTCAGTTAATGTTTTCACTAAACAGTTTTCAATCAGTCCATAAGAAGAGTTCATCTTTTTAAATTTAAGTATTTTTTAAAAAAATTCAACATTTTACATGCATATAGTTTTAAAAGTCAAATACTTGCACAAGACTATGGAAAACAGCAGCACACAAGTTTTCTTTTTTCTTATTTTATTTTATCATTGTGAACACGGTGGTTTCCCAAGGGTAAGGTGATGGAGATAAAAATTTTTGAGTATTTGCATATCTAAAAATTTTTAGAAAAATTTTTATTCTATTGTCATGCCTAGTTGATAGTTTGGCAGACTACAGAACTTTATGTTAGATGCCATTTTTCTTCAGAATTTTGAAGGCATGGTTCTATTATTTTGGCAATAATAGAGAAATAGGAACCTTCATACATTAGTGTTGGGATTTCAAAATAATACACTCACTTTGAGAAACAGTCTGTCAGTTGTTCAAAAAGTTAAATATAGAATTACCATATGATCTAGCAATTCCATTCTCAGATATGTATATACGCAAAGGAAATGGAGATATACATGCACATATGACTTGTTCGAGCATATTCTTAGTAATGTTACTCATAATAACTAAAAAATTAAAATTTCCCTAACGTCTATCAACAGATGAATGTATAAATAAAATGTGTACTTCTATACAATGAAATAATATTTGGCCATAAAAAGGAATTACAACACAAATGAACCTTGAAAGTATTATGCTAAGTGAAAGAAACTAGTCACAAAAGACTACGTATTGTATGATTCCATTTATATGGGGTCTCCAAAATAGCCAAGTCTACAGAGACAGCAAGTAGATTAGTGGTCTCCTAGGGCTGAGAATTTGGTAGAAATGAGGAGTACTGCTAATATGTATGAGGTTTCTTTTGTGGTGATGAAAATATACTAAAATTGATTGTAATGATGGTTGCATAATTCAACTAAAAGTCATTGAATTGTACACTTTGAATGGATTAATTGAATGGTATGTGAATTATAGGCATATGTTGTTTTATTGTGCTTTGCTGATACTGTGTTTTCTACAAATTGAAGGTTGTGACAACTCTGCCTTGAGCAAATCTATTGATACTGTTTTCCCAGATTGTGCCCATTTCATGTCTGTTTGTCGCATTTTGATAATTCTTACAATATTTCAGACTTTTTCTTTATTATTATAATTGTTATGGTGATTTGTGATCGGTGATCTGTGATCAGTGATTGTTTTCTGGTGCCACAAATGTAAGACACTGAACTTAATCGGTATGTGTTGCGTTTTGACTGTTCCACTGACCTGCAGTTCTCCTATCTCTCTCCCTCTCCTCAGGCCTCCCTATTCCCTGAGACACAAAAATGATGAAATTAGCCCACTTACAAACCCTACAATGGCCTCTAAGTGTCCAAGTGAAAGGAAAAAATCACACATCTCTCATTTATTAGAAACTAGAAATGATTAAGCTTAGTGAGGAAGGCATGTTGAAAGCTGAAATAGGCTAAAATCTAGGCCTCTTGTGCCAGTTAGCTAAGTTGTGAATACAAGGAAAAGTTCCTGAAGGAAATTAAAAGTACACTCTAGTGAACACACAAATCATAAGAAAGCAAAACAGCCTTGTGGCTGATATTAAGTTTTATGTCTGGATAAAAGATCAAACCAGGCACAACATTCCCTTAAGCCAAAGCCTAATCCAAAGCCAAGCTCTAATTCTCTTCAGTTCTTTGAAGTCTGAGAGAGGTGAGAAAGTGGCAGTAGAAAAGTTGGAAGTTAGCAGAGGTTGGTTCATGAAGTTTAAGAGCAGAAGTTGTCTCCATAACATAAAAGTACAAGGTGAAGCAGTAAGTTATCCAGAAAATGTAGCAAAGATCATTGATGAAGGTGGTAACACTAAACAACAGATTCTCAATGTACACAAAACAGCTTTCTATTAGAAGAAAAGACGACCTCGGACTTTCCTAACTAGACATGAGAAGTCAATGTGTAGTTTCAAAATTTCAAAAGACAGGCCGACTCTCTTTTTAGAGGCTTATGCAGCTGGTGACTTGAAGGTGAAGCCAATGCTTATTAACCATTCTGAAAATGCTAGGGCCCTTAAGACTTATCTCCTCTGCCTGTGCTCTATAAACGGAACAACAAAGCTTGGATAACAGCACATCTATTTATAGCATGGTTTCCTGAATATTTTAAGCTCATTGTTGAGACCTGCTTCTCAGAAAAAAGATTCCTTTCAAAAGATTTCTTTCATTGACAATGCACCTAGTCACTCAGGAACTCTGATGTAAATGTACAAAGAGATTAATGTTTTCCTACTTGCTAATCCAATATCCATTCTACAGCCCACAGATCAGGGAGTAATTTCAATGTTCAAGTTTTATTATTTAAGAAATACATTTTGTAAGGCTATGGCTGCCATAGATACTGATTCCTCTTATGGGTCTAGGCAAAATAAGTTGAAAACTGTCTGGAAATGTTTTACTATTCTGGATGCCGTTAAGAATATATGTGATCCATGGATGGAGGTCAAAATGCCAACACTAACTGGAGTTTGGAAGAAGTGGATTCCAACCCTCACGGATGAATTTGAGGGGTTCAAGACTTCAGTGGAGAAAGTCACTGAAGATGAGGTAGAAATAGCAAGAGAACTAGAATTAGAAGTGGAACCTGAAGAGATGACTGAATTTCTGCAGTCTCATGATAGAACTTGAAAGGATGAGGAGTTGCTTCTCACGGACAAGCAAAGAAAGTGGTTTCTCGAGATGGAATCTACCCCTGGTGAAGACACTGTAAACATTGTTGAAATGACAACAAAGGATTTAGAATATTGCATAAATTCAGGTGATAAAGCATCGGCAGGGTTGGAAAGGATTGACCTCAATTTTGAAAGTCCTGTTGTGGGTAAAATGCCATCACATGACATCACATGCTGCAGATAAATCTTTTGTGAAAGAAAGAGTCAACAAATGTGGCAAACTTCATTTTTGTCCTATTTTAAGAAATTGCCACAACCTTCAGCAACCACCACCTTGATGTCAGCAGCCAAATACATTGAGATGAGACCCTCTACCAGCAAATAATTAGTACTGGCTAAAGGCTCAGATGATTATTAGCATTTTTTGGCAGTAAAGTATTTTTGAAATTAAGGTATCTATATTTTTTAACACAATGCTATTGCAAACTTAACAGACTATAGTATATTCTAAACATAACATGTACATCTGCTGGGAAACAAATTCATGTGACTTGATTGCCTGGGTCTGAAAACAAAGTTGCAATTTCTCCAACATATGCCTATATATTAATGAAATATATAAAAAGCAATGTAAATTAGAAGACTGAAAAGAACCATTGGAATATAGCACAAAACTGAAATTATATATGTTAATTGGATGTTTTTTTTTTGACCTGTGTGGTATTATTTTCAATTTTGTAAAATATTCCACTTGTTACTTTTGCTTTTCCACTAGTTTTTTTCCTTGTACATTTCTTGAATTATGACATTTCTGGAATCAACCACTAAGCACATTTAGTCAAACGTGTGTGGCCCACAGTTGGTGTGGTTAATACTAAGGGCACTGTGACATAAATTCAAGTAGCCTCAATACCATTTGCGTAATTTGTTTTAACAGATGGATTTTCTTTTTAAATTTTTTGCAGTTATGGCTTAAGGAGAGTTTAAAATTTTCTTTTAGGCTATAAGGCAACCAGAAAGAATTAGACAGTTTTTGTATTGGATTGTTCTTCTCTTTTCTCTTCCACTTCACTTTGTTCATGAAATTTGCTGTTGCTATTTTAGCAAAGTTCAACATCTAAAGAATTTATGCCATTTGGCTGCCATGACACAGATATAAATTATGTTTGTTTTACCACATTCCATAGTGAGGTAGGTGGTGTATGTCTTCTCATATATCTTGAAAATATATGTAAAATTTAATTTTAAAGACAACTTAAACTTTAAAATAATTATTTTTCATTAACTACTCAAGCTTATTTATCCTGACATATGAAATATATTTTCATGATATATTCTTAAACTTTTCTAGCATTCATATTCTCTATGCATATTTGGATGTGTACGTGTTTTTGGCATATTGGGGAAGAGATAGTTAATCCTGCAAGTTGTGGATCTAGAGTTTGTATTAAAATTATTATTTAGGAAGAGTACATTTTTAAGCTTAATATTTGAACAGTTTGTCAAATGTCACTTTATTTTAAATATAAGCCAAAAGTATTTTTGAATTAAGCTCCATAAGTGGGTTGAAATTTGGTAAATTAAACATTATTGTGAATTTTAAACATTTTTAGGCATTCTCCTTTGAGATTTGTTTACTATTTATATTGGCTTTATACATTTTAAAATGAGCAGTCACTTTTCTGTCTGTCTGTTCATGTGCCAACATCAACATTGAATTTATCAAGTAGTTATTTATACAATGTTTAGACAGGCAAAATGAAATGGAGAAGTGGGGCAATTATCTGTAGATCCCACCCACACAACTTTCAGCAACTCTAGAGAAAATGGTGTGGTTGTCCAGAACAATTGAGTTTTGTTGGCTGTGCCCTGAACATTTAGTCAATTACACAATTCTTCGTGTCCTTTAGCCTGTGTTTCTACAGTCCCTGTCTGACCTCAGCTGCTCATGGTAGTCTTCTGTGGTCCTTAATTAACTATGAAGATTATCTCAGCAAAATCAAGCTGTAGGGGTCTTTGTCCATGGAATGTTAAGGACCATTTCATCTATGGCATAATCCATTTTAATGGCCATAGAGAGAGATTTTATGAAGATATAGCCACACTTAGAAATTAACTGCCTGGCGCGGTGGCTCACGCCTGTAATCCCAGCACTTTGGGAGGCCGAGGCGGGAGGATCACGAGGTCGGGAGATTGAGACCATCCTGGCTAACACGGTGAAACCCCATCTCTAACTAAAAATACAAAAAAAAATTAGCCAGGTGTGGTGGCGGGTGCCTGTAGTCCCAGCTACTCAGGAGGCTGAGACAGGAGAATGGCGTGAACCCAGGAGCAGTGAGCTGAGATCGCACCACTGCACTCCAGCCTGGGTGACAGAGCAAGACTCCGTCTCAGAAAAAAGAAAAAAAAGAAAAAGAAATGAGAAATTAACACTTTAAAAAAGGTATATAGTGTTAGGATTTGAAGTTTTAAAATAAAACACCATGGCATGCATAGTTTTTGGAAGCCAAACAAATTCTAAATACACTGGTATTCAAACTTTTAAGATGTAGAGATTTAGTAATTCATTAGTATTAATTATTGAATAATTGCTACTTATGTTTTAGTGTCAGTTTTTATTCATTGATCCAGTCCTGCAGAAGAGACTTTGGAAGCATTAACTGCATCTTGCATTTCAACTCAGGAGAAGTTCATTTTAATTACTAAGGAGTAGTTGCAAAATAGGTTCAAGGCCACTCCCAAAATAAACCTACCAAGTTTGAGAAGTGAAAATTACACTTTTTGCTATTATTCTAATTTTTAAACTTCTAAATAAATGTTGAACAACTATTTGGAGAATATCAGTAAAAAAGGTGCCAAATTATTAACCTGCATTGAACTTTCACAAGTTCTGACCTGGCACTGGATGGAGAGGTAGAGCTTGGACCAGAAGTGACCTTTAATATCCTTCCCAACCCAGAGCTTCTGTGAGTGTGAGAACTGGGCCTTGACCCTGCCCTTTACAAAGCTACCATATGGGGTCCCGGCGCAGTGACTCACGCCTGTAATCCCAGCACTTTGGGAGGCTGAGGTGGGCGGATCACGAGGTCAGGAGATTCAGACCAGGCTGGCTAACACGGTGAAACCCCGTCTCTACTGAAAACACAAAAAAATTAGCCAGGCGTGGTGGCAGGTGCCTATAGTCCCAGCTCCTTGCAAGGCTGAGGCAGGAGAATGGCGTGAGGCCAGGAGGCAGAGCTTGCAGTGAGCCAAGATTGTGCCACTGCACTCCAGCCTGGGCGACAGAGCGAGACTCTGTCTCAAAAACAAACAAGCAAACAAACAAAAACAAAACAAAACAGAACAAAAAAAAAGCTACCATGTGGGAATAAAAGATGTTTCCAGGAAAGAGAGTCCACAACAATAATGACAGCTCTGATGGATTAAGCCTTTCATATGCTTGGCACTCCCTGTACCTAATCTCCATTAATCCACTCAGATGATGAATAACGTGGGGATTCTTATCTTCATTTTACTGGAGAAAAGACTGAAGCTTGAAGAGGCAAAGGAACATGCCAAGAGCATGCCATGAACAAATCGTCAAGAATCCTGAAGTGGCTTTCTGGGAAAAATCAAGGCTTTTTTGGGACTAAATGATCCAGAGATTTGCTTCCATTTTCTAAAAGGGATTGTGTATAGAGGCAATGTCTGAATGTGTATCTATCACCTTTATCAGTCATATTATTGAAATTTCTGCATACTCAGGCTTAAAATTGCACATTGGCTGGTCTGAAGTTCTAGCTCAAGTGCCTTCCTCCTACTGCTATTCAGTTAGTTAATATTCTTTGGCCAGGTGTGGTGGCTCACGCCTATATTCCCAGCACTTTGGGAGGCCGATACGGGTGGATCACCTGAGGTCAAGAGTTCAAGACCAGCCTGGCCAATATGGGTGAAACCTCGTCTTTACTAGAAATACAAACATTTAGCCAGGTGTGGTGGCTCACACCTGTAATCCCAGCTACTCAGGAGGCTGAGGCAGGAGAATCACTTGAACCTGGAAGGCAGAGGTTGCAGTGAGCCGAGATTGTGGCACTGCACTCCAGCCTGGATGACAGCATAAGACTCCACCTCAAAAAAACAAAACAAAATAAAAGAAAATTCTTCCACTTGCCCATTTCTTTTTTTTTTCTTCATCATACTTCCACTACACTTTACCTCTATGCAAACATTGATGCTAGACTTGTACATATGGGAGTACTTATACAACAAACAAAACCTTATTGCTAAACTTCTGTGTGGATAAAATGATATATATTCTATCTTGTCTAGGAAGAAGCACTTGAGTCTATTATGAAGACTCATGCCAAAATTATTATTGTTATTGTTTTTAGAGATGGGCTGGAGTGTAGAGGTACAATCATAGCTCACTGCAGCCTAGAATGCCTGGGCTCAAGTGATCCTCCCACTTCAGCCTCCTGGGTAGCTGGGCCTACAGGTGCATACCACCATGCCTGGCTAATTGTTTTTATTTTTTTAGAGACAGGGACTCATTATATTGCCCAGGCTGGTCTTAGGGGATCCTGTTGTCTCAGCCTCCAAAATTATCTTTGAAAAATAGAATTATTATTGATTTCTATATAAATGTTCTCTATTATAATTTGAAATAAATATTTTCTGTTTTATTTAATAACTTGAATTTCTTAGCTCTAATTATACTTTTGAATATTAGTATCTCTCATTAAACCAGTTCATTTCGGTGTGACTTTTTTCTTATTTTTCAATTATTACATGTTAAGAGAAGGATATATAGAAATTATGGTATTTGGCTTTTAGTAAGTATTTCTTGTCAGAATAAAAATTTTTAAGGGTAGGCCAAGCACAGTGGCTCAGGCCTGTAATCCCACCAGTTTGGGAGGCTGAGGTGGGCAGATCACCTGAGGTCAGGAGTGGCCAACAGGGTGAAACCCCATCTCTACTAAAAATACAAAAGTTAGCCGGGTGTGGTGGTGTGCATCTGTAATCCCAGCGCTCGGGAGGCTGAGGCAGGAGAATCACCTGAACCCGGGAGGTGGAGGTTGAAGTGAGCCAAGATTGTGCCATGGCACAATGCACACTGCACACTCCAGCCTGGGTGACAGAGTGAGACTCCATCTAAAAAAATAAAAAAATGTAAGGGTAATACAATTTTTGGTTTCAGAACGTAAACCTGCTTTCAAGAACTAATTAATATTTTAAATAACCTATCAATTTGGCCTCATTATAACTTATATTATGAGAAACTTGTCTCCTAAATTCATTGCCATCCTTAAAGGTTGTTTTAAGAAAAGTTGGGTTGTTTTTATTCCTGCTCAATTTTTTTAATCCCTGGAAATGGTGTAAGTAAAGATAGCTTTCCTTTTTAAATAGAATCCTATGTTCTTAATAATTTAGCCCAACATGATTGCTTAACCCTAGCGTCTCAGATTCAAGTGGCGTTTATTCAGGGAGATGCTTCTAATACAGAATGTCTTAAAGTGTAGCTTAGGCCCACCTGCCTTAGAATAACCTGGAGAGTTTGTTTAAAATGCCTCTTTGGGAGCATTTCCCCTGACTCACTGAATCCATCTCTTATAGTGGGGCCCCAAAAGCATTTTTAAATAAACCTCCCTACATAATCCTTAAACAGTTACAATTTGTCTAGGTAGAAATACTTGAGTCTATTGTGAAGACCCATGCCTATCTTAAAGGATATATCACTACCAGCGTTAAAAAGTATATACACACTTAAAATAACCCCTCCTGATTCTTTGGCAGGCCATGCCCAATTGGCAGAAACCAGCACTATGCGCTGATCAACTACTGACTAAACCACTCCAACTGCTGTCTCTAGGTTCAAAATGATTGCACCTCATAGGTGTCATTCAACTATGTGTGCAGCATGATAACTAAAGCCCCTTAAGACAATAGAGGCAAATGTGTCCCTCACATTATGTTGAAACTGATTTTGCCAGCACGCTTTTGTAGTCTAGTTTTCAGTTTCTGTTCTACTCCCACATTTTTCTAATATTCTGTACTTTCTTTGGCATGAGGAAGGCAATATGCTGAGTTTAGTTTGCAGGAGAGAAAGAATCTCGTAACGGGGCAGTTTCTCTGAGATTGTCTGGAGTTCATTTCAGGTGAGCCACTTTTCTCCTTCCAAGTATAGAAGTGACACAGGACATCTTCATAACATCAGCCTAAATTTACTGCTGCTATTATCTCCGGTTGCTGAAATAAACATTTTGCATTAAATTTTTTTTCTAGAGATAAGATCTTGCTATGTTGCCCAGACTGGCTTTGAACTCCTGGGGCTCAAGCAATCCTCCTACTTCAGCCTCCCAAGTAGCTGGGACTACAAGCACACACTACGGGCTGAATTTTTGAAGTGCCCAGCAACGACAGTAGACTTTTTTTTTTAAGAGATAAATCTCACCCTGTTGCCCAGGCTAGATGGAGTCCAGTAGTGTAATCACATCTTACTGCAGCCTCAAACTCCTGGGCTCAAGCAATCCTCCTGCTTCAGCCTCCTAAGTCGCAGGGACTCAGACACACACCATCATACCTGGCTGAATTTTTTATTTTTATTTTTCATAGAGGTGAGGATATCACTATATTGCCCAGTCTCCAACTCCTGGCCTCAAGGAATCCTTCTGGCCTGGCCTCCCAAAATGATGGGATTACAGGCATGAGCCACTGCACCTGACCCACAGTGGAAATTTTAAGGACAATTTGAAAAGAAAATGTTACCATTTCTTCCAAATAGACGATTATATTGAATGCTGAATGGCAGAGGCACTGTTGTATAATTATTTTGGGCTATGAGAAACAAGCAGTTGTTATCTTGCAATCATGTAACTCTTTTTCATCTAGGAATCTCCAAATTATCTCCAACAAGAACAGCAACAAAAATCTATGACCAAAAAACACAGTTTCAAAGTGTTCCCCAACCTTTTTGGCACCAGGGACCAGTTTCGTGGAAGACAATTATTCCATGGATGGGGTGGATGGTGGGGGAAGATTGCTTCAGGATGAAACTGTTCCACCTCAGTTCATCATGCATTAGAGAGTCTCCATAAGGAGCGTGCAACCTAGATCCCTCATATGTGCAGTTCACAGTAGGGTTTGTGCTCCTATAAGAATGTAATGCCACTGCTGATCTGACAGGAGGCAGAGCTCAGGTGGTAATACCCACTTGCCTGCTGCTCACCTTCTGCTGTGGGGCCCAGTTCCTAACAGGCCACAGACTGTTACTGGTCCACAGCCCAGGGGTTGGGGACCTCTGTTCTAATAGGTAGAAAACATGTTTATAAAGGACTCCATGACAGAAATTAAGCTGAACCCTTGTTTGTTAATCTCCATCCAATGAAAGGCCTACTAAATTCAACAGGTACGTATTCAACAGCTCTCATGAGCCTAGCTTTGTGTTGATTCCCCAGATCTATCTCTGCGTTGGGAGAATCCAAGTCCCTCTCATTATCTTAAGAAATATTTTTACATTTCTCCAAAATTTCAAAATAAAAGTAATAGAAAAATCATTATTTCTTTTTTAAAATTAGTAGTGCTCGCCATGAATTGAATTGAAAATAGGAGAGGGGTTATTTTAAATTCTTCAGGTTCTGAAATGTCGAAATTCCCAGATGACTAAAAAATCACTTATTCATCTAGATATTTAGGCTTCTTTATAAAGCTCTATAAATGCGCAAATATCTAGATGAATATCAGGATATATCTATATCCTGAAACCATATTACTTTGGAGGACCTGTACCATATTATATGAAAGATTATTAAATATATCTTCTTCCACTTATACCATGTAATTGCTAAAATTTTTCTCCCTATGGTCATTTTATTTATCCAGAACTAGAGACGTGTTTTTTCCCTACTAAATGAGGTGATAATGAAGTGGAAATGTAAATTTTTTAAGTCCACTTTTTGGTTTTGCTCTGTATACACTATATTCTGAAAGTATAAGGTTTTGAAAACTTAAGCTTTATAAATCATTTCACCAGAAAGATACATACATATGTCTATGTCTACATCGCTGTTTTGTGGACTCAGCTGCAACGTGTGTTCATAGGTTGCTATTTCTACCATATCCATCCAAATAATATGTGGATATCCACATAATAGCCACATATTATAATTAGAACTCTATTGAAAGTAAGCTTTTATTAATTATAGTATTTCCTGCAATTATGACCTCTTAACACTTCTTTGTTATACTTAAATAAAGAGTCAACATGGGGCACCCAAAAATCCTTCAATGATTTTGACATTTGAGCCAATCACATCACTTGAGCCAGGATTCAGTTCTTTTAAGTCACAGCTGGCTCTTCTAATGGCTAGTTACTCATATGATCCACAGAATGAGGTATTTGTTAAGAATTTGGGGTGCATATTCTGCTTTCAGAAAGTCAACACTGTTTGGTGATTATTTATCTTTTTTTTGTTTCCTCCATGCCCCATTACTTTATTTTCAATAACTGTTGCTTTCCTGAAGATAATGATACGGGATAGGGTAGAAGACGAGATTTTTTCTCTCAAAAGTGGAAGTTGATATTTTAATTAACAAAAGGGTGGGATTACAAACAACATTCTAATCATATGACCACACCACATTTTTCTGTTTAAATCAAGTCAAGGTTATGATCGTGATTCATAACACACATTGACTAAAAAAAGTCAATTGGCATAATTAAGAAGGGGAAAGTTTTCTGTTTTTAGTAAAGAAACAAAACAGTCCTATAACTGACCTTTACATTTCATTCTACTTTAAAAAGGCTTTCTAGCCTTTTGGAAAATCTTCATACTTCTGTTACATATTGAATTTAAAACTATATGCATTAAAAAATGTGCTATTAATAAAACCTCATCTTGGCAGCTGGTTCAAATATTTTTTTAAGAATATGTAGCCATTGTAGCACTTGTAATTTAAAATAGATGGCAGGAGCACACGGTCACTGTATATTAATGAAAAAAGTAGTCTATTTGAATTTTCTTAAAATGTTGCTGATTTGAAGTTTGAGGGGACTTAAATATAATTTATCCTCTTTTGCCTGGTCCTTAGTGAAGCACACAGAAAGCTTGGAATGCTAATTCAGAATTAATGCTCCAAAGACATGTACAGCTCTTTAGGAGAGGGAGCGTAAGCTGCCAAATATCTAACCCCAGGCTGGAGGTCAGATGTTAGGATTCTGCTTCGTGACATTCTCTTCCAGCTTCCCACCCTCTTTCAGCTATTCTATCCTCTCATTGGGATGTTTATGTTATTTTCTCACTCTTTAGAGACAGTATTGGCGCATATTCCCATACTAAGACAATTCATTTTCCTCATAAAAAAAGATTAGAAGAATAGGGAAATGTTTACAGGCAATATGCATGTTGCCAGTATTTCTCTCCTCAATTTCAGCTACTAAAAACCAAAAAATGTGTGTCTTAGTGGAAACTCAATGACTCTAGGATTTAGTACAGGGCCTGGCACATAGTAGGTACTCAGTAAATCTTGAACAAATGATGTTTCCATCAGTTAGACTTTCGTTAGCTTACTTGGGTTCCCTGGTAAATTTTTTGCTCACTTATTTATTCAACCATTCATCCAATAGATATTTCTTGAGAGCCTATTAAGCACTTGCTACAATTCAAAGGGCTTGACAAATATTTTACCTGGACACATGCTTTCTATCTACAAGATTGTATTTACTACAAAAATAAACGTTGTTGAATTTTTCAAGCAGTTATTTCCATTTGGCAATCAGTAGTTTTCTCACAACACAGGATACTTATTTTGCTAATGAGACCAAGAACCATCCAGATGGCTTCCGTCAAGTGGTAAGTTAAGCCTGCTTAAATTTTTGGTCTGTGATATGGCCTTTAAAGAGCATAGAAGCCACTTGAGGGGCTTGTGAAAATGCAGATCCCTTGACCCTACCTGCAGAGATTCCAATTAATTTGTCGAGAGAGAAGCCAGGTCGTCAGTATGTTTTTTTTGTTGTTTTTTGTTTTTTTGTTTTTTAAAATCTCCTCAAGTGATTGTAATATGCAATCAGGGTTAAGAACCACTGGATTAATGGGCAGGAAAGAATGCTTAAGGTAAGTGCTCATAAAATTTTGGCATGCGTAAACATTAATTGAGAGTTTCTGGCTGCAGGGCACTGTGCAAGATGAAGAAAACTTATAAAAGGTTTTTGGAGCAGAAGGATGATGTGACCCAACCACGTTTCTTTATATTTATGTTTTGCCGATGTAAACGTTGTAAAATAACGCAATGTCCTTGAAACATATCAGTAATAAGATGTCAAAGGAGAGTTCCACTTTACTCATTCTACTCTCCATCTTCCCTGAAGTAAGCACTGCTGTCAGTGTAACAAATATGTTTCCAAATTTTTTCTATTCACTTGCGGTTATAGGTATTCATGGAAATATGTAATACTTTATAAAATGGTTATGGATACATACTTACATATTGGAAACATATAATACACATAGGATATATAATATACATAGGATTAATGCATATGAAGTTCAAGATAAGGTTATGAGAGGACAAAGGGTTAGGAGGTGAATACAAAGTGGTTTTATATGCCAAGAAATTAAGATGGGCTTAGGTATATGTGTTCTTTATGTTAATTATATTTCTTTAAATGCATGGAATTTAACACAAATCTATGCTTTTATTTTGTGTTTATATATTTTTTGAAATATTGTTTATTTAAAACGGTTTTAGATTTAGAAAAGAAATGTGAAGATAGTAGAGTTCCTTAAAAGCTGCACCAGTTCCTTCGACCATCTTACATTAGCATGGTATATTTGTTGCAATTAATGGAAAAATTTAATACATTATTATTAACTAAAGTGAATTCTTTATTCAAATTTCAGTAGGTTTTACCTAATGTCCTCTTTCTGTTCCAAAATCTCATCCAGGAAACCACAGTACATTTAATTATCGTGTCTTCTTAGACACCTCTTGGCTGTGAGAGTTTCTCAGACTTTTCTTGTTTTTGATGACTTTGACAGTTTTGAGAAGTACTGAGCAAGCATTTAGTAGAATGTCCCTCAGTTGGGATTTGTCTAATGTTTTCTCATGATTAAGTTAGACTTATGAATTTTGTGGAGGAAGACCACAGAAGTGACATTCTTGTCACTTGTCAAGGGTACAAACTATCAAGCTGACTTATCACTAATGATGTTGACCTTGTCAACCTGGCAGAGTTAGTATTTATCAAGTTTCTCCAAAGTAAAGTTTCTATTTTTTCTCCTCTTTCCATACTGTGTTCTTTGGAGGGAAGTCACTACGCACAGCTTACACTTAAGGAGTAGGGAGTTAGGCGCCGACTTGCACAATTCATTTTGAATTCTTCTGCATGGAAAGACTCCACAGATTACCCCTAGCTCTCAAAGCAACGTGGTGGGAATTCACTTGCAGGGATTTGCCTAGTGCCCTCGAGGTGGGTGCTGCCTCTCAGGCAGCCTGGTGCCTGGATCTCACTGCTAGAACAGGCATCAGAAAGATGCACACTGTTGTGTTTGTTGGGCTTGATGCCTCGGCATTTAAATTTAAGCTGAGATTCTCCACATGGTGTGTTGTTTACCATTAAGCTCCAGATCAGAAACCACTTCTCCTGGAATCTTTCCTGTGTGACCACCCTTCCTGAACCCCGTCTGTGAAGTGTTGTCATCCATCTCCAGTTGACCAGAATAATTATCTTTTATCTCCTCTGTGCCACTTACCACCTTCTACCTTCTAGTACTATTATTTAAATGTACAACTTTTCGCCATTCAGTTACATATTTTACAAACAGAAACTGATTTTTACAGCTTTGTCTTTTTTTTTGTAGTGCCTAGAACATTGCCTTAGTTAATATACGGCAGGACAAATATGGTTTATTATATGTTTTGTGTAAATATGAATATTACAAAGTAATGTGCCTATAGAATTATTGTGCTTAAAGCAAACAATTCAGTGGCATCTAGTACATTCACAATCTCGTACAACATCTAGAACATTTAAAGCATCTACTTTCAAAACTTTTTTGTCACCCAAAAGAAAACATGCCCTTTAGCATTGACTCCACATTTCCCCCTTCACACAGCCCCTGGCAAGCACCAATCTGCTTTCTGTCATGGTGGATTTATCTATTCTGGATGTTTCATGTAAATGGAATCATATGTTATGTAACTTTTTGTGTCTGGCTTCTTTTGCTTATAACAATGTTTTTAAGGTTCATCCACATTGAGCAGGTGTCAGTGTTGCCTTTCTTTTTATGTCTGAGTAATTGTTCTGTAATTTTGTCATTTATTGCAGGTATATTACATCTGCCCTGATTTTACCGCTAGATGGCATTACTTTCCTGGGAATTTCCTGGTCATTGCCCATACTGGTTAGTGAAATTAACCAAACTAAACTATGAAATTATATCAGTTCAATTTGAAAATTAAAAATTTTTAATTTTAAATTTAAATTTGAAAATTAAAAATTTAAAACTTTTAAAAATTTAAAAATTGGGCAATTTTTAAAGTTGCCCAATAAATTAGCATCTGTAGGCATTCTTTGACAGATAAAACCAAAGAGGTGGTATTCATAATGAGGTTTACAAATAATTCAAATGATGTAAATTTCTCAAAATATAAGCAATACAGATTTCTTTGCATTGTGTAGGAAGTACTGGGACCTTGAAAGCAAGATGGTGGAGACATGGGGACACCTGGATGAAATGTTATAATGCACACAAAGTTGTCAATTCAGTACCTGGCTTGCAGCACTTTTGGGCTAATTAGGTAAAGACCAGGCAGATGCAGCCCTGTAGGCTGGCAGTTTGGCAAGCTGAGTGGGGATTAGATGTGTGTCCACACACACACTCTTGGGTGGCAAACTTGCCCAATGAACAACCTGTGGAACGATTTCTGGAGGCCCTGGAGCTAGCTGTTGTCATTAAGAGACAGCATGACACAGTAGTCAAACTGTCTTCTGGATTACAAACTGATACCTAGTAACACAGTAATCTTTCTGGACCTTGGTTCCTTACTTGTGAAATGAGATAATGTTATGTTCACCTCACTGGGTCGTTACGCAAACTAAATGGTGACCGCAAGGAAAATAAATAGAACAATATATGGCAAATGTATATATTCCATAAAATATTAAGTATTATTAATATTACCCAGATAGACAAGTTCTCAATAACAGACAAGGTAAAATTGCACATTCCAACCCTTTGATGGTCTTAAGGCATAGGATTTAGGGTGGTGAGGCCTTGAAGGAAAGACCGTCCTCTGCTCAAAGCTCCCTAATAGGAATGCTGTAACCAAGTGGTCTTGCAGAGAATCATGAGTAGTTAAAACCTTTTGAGAACTGTCCAAATTTAGGGATGTGTGGAATTCTTTCTTCTAACTCTGTACTCTTATTCACTATCTTCGTTCTGATGTTAAATAAAACATTTTTGGTGATCTTATGAACTGTTAAAATGAAAATAAATCTTGGAACTCCAAAATCACTTAGCCAAAGGGAAAAGTCAAGCTGGTAACTGTGTCAGGCAAAACTGCCTCCCATTTTATTCCTAAATAAGATAGCTTCAAAGATTTTTAAAAAGCTACACACCTCCCTCACAATTGGCCCACTAGGAAATTCCTTATGGGCCCCCATTTATCCTAAAATGGTTCTGTTGAATGTTACCCTGACAATGTAAATTGATAGCTTATCTTCCCAGGTGTGAAGGCTAGAACACAAAAGCTTATCTTCACAAAGGATAGAACTGTAAGTAAGTCCTCTGCTTACCTGAGACAAATGACAAATGCATATCTGATGGCTTTCTCTGGTGTAAAAATGCAGTTTCACCGAGCTAGAAAAAGGCTTAAGTGACTATTCCTCTACCCTTCTTTCACATGTAAATTGTGTATTTGGTGAAAGGCTGATCAAAGACTCAAAATAATAAAACCATTTGTCTTTTACCTACCCATACCTTTTAAAAAATATCTTCCTCTTTCCCCTTTAAATACTGAAGCCCTCAAAATCATCTTTGGAGAAAGGCACAAACCTGCTTCCAGGGCACACGTCCTTAACCTTAGCAAAATAATCTTTCTAAATTGATTGAGACCTGTCTCCGACACTTTCTGGTTTACAGAAATAATGGGAAATGTCTATGTATCTTTGTTCTCCATCCATCCTAGCCAGCTGATTTGTTAAGATTACTAGTTTATGCTGAAGTCTGAAGTCAGATGAGGTAGTTTTCTAAATCTTTTTCTCTAAGAGGATTACTTACTTGTCCTTTCCAAATACTGAAATCCTGAAGCATACTCTCCTGCATGTCTTGAAGTTGCTGTCACCTGCACATTGTTATCACGAATATTTCTGTTCCCAGAATGGTAAGGAATACAAGCAAGCATGAGAGCTCTTGGATTGCATTCTGCAAGATTTAACTACCAGACTTCTTCATCATGAACTTAAAACACACTTAATAGATTTTTTTTAAAAGAGCATTTTAGGTCCACAGTAAAATTGAGTGCAAAGTACAAAGAGTCTTGCATATTCCTTCTCCCAAGAGCCTCCCCCACCACCAGGATTCCCCACCTGAGTAGTACATTTGTTGCAATTGATGAGCCTACACTGACACATCATTATCACCCAAAGTCCACCCACCCACATTAGAGTTCCTTCTTGGTGTTGTATGTTCTACAGGTTTGGACAAATATATAATGTATCTGTATCTGTCATGTATCTGTCATTAGAGCATCATACAGAACAGTTTCCTTGCCCTAAAAATGCCCTGTGCTTCACCTATTTATCCCTCCCTCCCCTTAAGCCCTGGCAACCACTAATCTTTTTCCTCTCTTTGTAATTTCACCTTTTCCAAAATATCATGTAGTTGGAATCACACAGTATGTAGTCTTTTCCGATTGACTTTTTTTTTTTTTTTGAGTTGGAGTCTCGCACTCTCGCCAGGCTGGAGTGCAGTGGCGCAATCTTGGCTCACTGCAACCTCTGCCTCCCGGTTTCAAGCAATTCTCTTGCCTCAGCCTCCTGAGTAGCTGGGACCACAGGCACACACCACCATGCCCAGCTAAGTTTTGTATTTTTAGTAGTGAGGGGGTTTCGCCATGTTGGTCAGGATGGTCTCAATCTCTTGACCTCATGATCCGCCCACCTGGGCCTCCCCTGATTGACTTCTTTTGCTTAGTAATGTGCATCGAGTTTCCTCCATGTCTTTTCATGACTTGACAATTTATTTATTCTTAGTGTTGAATAATATTTCATTGTCTTGATGTACCACAATTTATCCAGTCACCTATTGAAGGACATCTTGGTTGCTTCCAGGTTTGGGCAATTATGAGTAAAGTTGCTATAAACATCCATGTGCAGGATTTTGTGTGGACATAAATTTTTGATTAATTTGAGTAAATACCAGGGGGTGCAACTGCTGGATTATATGGTAAGAGTATGTTTAGTTTTGTAAGAAACTGACAAGCTATCTTCCAAAGTGGCTGTACGATTTTGCACTTTGCAATGAATGAGAGCTATTACTTCACATTTGTCAGTATTTGATGCTGTTAGAGTTTTGGATTTTAGCCATTCTAATAGGTATGTAGTGGTATCTCATTGTTTTAATATGCAATTCCCTAACAACATGTGATATCAAGCGTCTTTTCAATGCCTTATTTGCTATCTGTATATCATTTTTGGTGAAGTGTCTATTCAGATCTTCTTTTTATTTTTTAACTAGGTTCATTTTCTTGTTATAAGTTTTATTACAAACTTTTTATTTTTTTACTTTTTTAATTTTTAAAGATGGGGTCTCGCTATATTGCCCAGGCTGGCCTCAAATTCCCGGGCCAAAGTGATCATCTTTCCTCAGCCTCTCAAGTAGCTGGGACCACAGGTGTGCGCCACGACTCCCAGCTCATCATGGATTTTTTTTTTTTTAATTGTGGAGATTTTAGTAAATGTGGACAAGCACAGAAAAAAAAATTATATAACTCAGAAATAACCAAAACATTTTGTTTTATACCCTTTGGATCTATTTTCAGTGTACATGTATGTAAATATTGTTCTATGTCATGTATTAAAAAATTGGGATAGCATTCAACAATGTAGAAACCCTACAGTGGTTTATAAGTGTTTTCCCAATTAGTAATATTTGTATAGGTCCATGTCTTCTTTGCCACCATTTCACTCAGTTCTAGATGCTTCCCATATGTATTCCTTTGTTTCAAATTATGCCAAACTCTTCACTGTGGCTGAATGATTGAGTTGGCCTTCAATCATTCTTCCTTGAAAATCCATAATGAAGTCAAGCAATGTAAATACAGTGTGAAAAGTTTTCTGTAAATCTCTAACAGATTTTTATCAAATAATTTTTTTAAGTGTACCATAAGCTGTTCCTCATTTACATTTTTCTGACTTACAGCTTGGTGTAGTTTGGGATTTAGAGAGACTAAATTAAAATCCTGGGTCTAGGTGGTGACATATGCTATTTAACCTGCCCAATTTTATTTTTCTTACATTTAAAGATGGGAATAATAACATCTAATTTGTAGGGTTGTTGGAAGATAATGAATAGTAACCAACAACCGCCTAATTCAGTGCATTGCCTGGCATCTAGTGACCCTTCAGGATTGCTAGTAGGTATCATGTGCAAGTATGCTAAGGGGGTACTAAAATCTGACTTGGCGTTTTTATGAGTGATTGCCAATGCTATTTATTCATTCAGTAAACATTTCCTAATTATCTGTTGTGTCTATATAAGTATTTAAGTACTATGGATACCGAGACAGAAAGAAAAAGCTTTCTTGTCCTCAAGAGGCTTGCTGTCTGGTGGGCAAGGTAGAGAAGTAAAGCACCAGCTACAATGCAATGCAATAGACACTAGGATAGGGTTGTGCATAGGGTGACAAGGTGCTACGAGGGCATGCTTGTCTAATCAGGATGGGGGGCAGTTTTCCAGAGAAGGCCATAATTAAGCTTGACTTGAAGTATAAAAGGAGTCCGCTTAGGTAGACAGAGATGGCGTGGAAGGGTGAAGAACACAATCTATTTGGAGAACTGTAAAAGGTTCTATATGTAGGTATTACAGGAGTTATTAAGAAATTATTTTAGGCAGCTAGAGAGGGTAAAAGAGTCCTCAGTAAGTCTTTTTCGTTTAATAAAAAAGCGGTCCCCCAAATATTTATTATCTAACAGAAAGCAGCCTGAAAAACCAGACCTGCAAGTATTGATATGCAAATGCAGATGGTTAAGAGTCAGGTCCAGCCAATATGGCGGTTCCTGCTACTTTTTCTTTGTTGCCACGTGTACAGGTGTCATGGCGACCAGCCAGGTAGCCGCATTTGCATAATAAAAGGCTAGGGTGGGAGGGCCAGTTTTTTTGGGGGGGCTACCTGAATGACACACGTGGTTAAACCAATCCCCTGTGCCCTATGCTAATTAGACACCACCTCCTCCAGCCTCCCAATATAAACCACTGCTTTCCTCTGCACGCGGGTTTTCGGTTCAGAGCCCTCCTCCCTCTGTACGGGGAGCTATTCTCTCCTTTCTTGCCTATTAAACTTTCTACCCCTTAATCCACTCCACGTGTGTCCACGTCGCTAATTTTCACCACACGAGATAAAGGACACCGCAACTGAGCGGTGTAATAGGGAGTAACATTGCCTTGGGCAGCTGTAGGAGACGACCCCAAGAGATAGTTTCAGCAGACATCATTATCTGGGTTAGCTGTTGCCCTTGCTCTAATTCCACTTCTTTTTTTGAGTAGAATTTGAACTTCTGCCCTAGTTCATCTGTTCCAGTCGCATCAGCCTCCTTGTGTTTCCTCAAGTATACCAAGCACACTCCAAACTCAGGGTGCCTTCATTTTGCCCCTTTCTCCTTTTCCGTGCTTTCCCTCCAGATGACCACAGCCACACTCCCCTGCCTCCTTCAGGTTGCTGCGTGAATGCCACGACCCGGACCACACACTATTTTTTTTTTTTTTTTGAGACAGAGTCTCGCTCTGTCGCCCAGGCTGGAGTGCAGTGGCACAATCTCAGCTCACTGCAACCTCTGCCTCCAAAATTCAAGCGATTCTCCTGCCCAGCCTCCTGAGTAGCTGGGATTACAGGCGCCTGCCACCATGCCCAGCTAATTTTTGGATTTTTCGTAGAGATGAGGTTTCACCATGTTGGCCAGACTGGTTTCAAACTCCTGACCTCAAGTGATCCGCTTGCCTCAGCCTCCCAAAGTGCTGGGATTACAGGCATGAGCCACTGTGCCTGGCCGTGGACTACATTCTTTTTTTTTTTTTTTTTGAGGTGGAGTCACGCCCTGTCACCCAGGCTGGAGTGCAGTGGTATGATCTCAGCTCACTGCAACCTCCACCTCCCTAGTTCAAGCGAGTCTCCTGCCTCAGCCTCCCGAGTAGATGGGACTACAGGCATGTGCCACCACACCCAGCTAATTTTTGTATTTTTAGTAGAGATGGGGTTTCACCATGTTTTCCAGGCTGGTCTCGAACTCCTGGCCTCAGGTAATCTGCCTGCCTTGGCCTCCCGAAGCGCTGGGGTTACAGAGGTGAGCCACTGCGCCCGGCCCCGGACCACACTCTTAATCACACTGCCTTGTCCCTCTCCCAGTCCCTGCTGTGTTTCCCCATAGCACTTATCTCCAACTGACACATAGTGTATTTCACTCCTTATTTACTTGTTGTCTGTCTCTGCCATTGCATACTCTTGATGGGAACAGGGCCTAACATACAGTGGGCAACTCATATAGACTTATTTTTAAATGAGTATATCACGTCATTGCTGTTAATTTGAATTTATTATGAAACATTTTGTTGAATGATAGTTCTATTCATATTTAACTTCTATCTTTTTGTTGCTGTTGTAAGAGCTAAAAACATTCAGAGTTCATACCTAACCTTCTTATACATGCTTAAGCAGCAAGCATTATGATCAAAATAATTTAAGTTGACCGTAGGAGGTGATGATAGCGAAATCTAAAATAAATTCTTTATTTTTTATTCACACATTCCTCATATTTAAGAAACACTGCTATAGTATTGTAGGTTGTTATTTTTGGGAAAACCCACCTCAGCCTTTTTTTCTATTCTCTCACTCACAACATCATCACAGAAGACGTCTGTGACCAAATATGTGTGAGTTTCTTCCCACACACCAAGAAGCAATCATTTCTGCAGTGGACATCAGCTGGGTATCTTCCAATTCAGTTCTGACAGTATCCACCTGGAGATAACATCAGATCCCACAGATTGAGGGCTCAATCCCCAAGACCATCCCCTCCTCCCACCAGTTGAAAGTTCCAGCCTCCAGAACTTCTGACCAATCAGCTTCAAGTTGGGGTTTCTATGAAACCTCTCGTTGAGTTAAGTTAATTTGCTAGAGTGGCTCACAAAATGCAGGAAAAGACTTACTTACATTTGCAGGTTTAGTATAAAGGATATGAAGGATTCAGATGAAGAGATGCATAAGGCAAGGTATGGGAGAAGAGAGGCAGCCTTGATAAACCACCAGTCAGGAACTTCTATTTGTTCAGCTCCCTGGAAGCTCTCCAAACCCTGTCCTCTTGGGTCTTTATGGAGACCTCATTGGATAGGCATGACTGAAAATGGACAACCTGTTAAAATGCGATTGGACAAAGGGTATGATCTAATACTAACAGACTGAGTGGGGTAACCCAGCAGGGACTGTCTGTTCAGATTCTTCTTGGTCTCTCTGTGCACCATGCCTTCCTCCATGGTATGGGGCAGGAACCCTTCTGAAATGGAGGTGTTCTGACCTATGATCAGACAAGGTAGGTCAGAAACCAGCTCCAGAAACCAGGAAAAAGTTCCTGCCTTGGGGAGAGAAAGAAATAGGTGAAAGGAGGGCAGAAAAGGTAAGAGAGAAAAAAAGAAATTCTGTTTTCTGAGGCCTGCTTCTGAAGCCTAAAGCACCCTAACATTGTAACAAGGGCTATGGGAGTCATGAGCTAGGAACCGTGGATAACCTAGATAGACAAACAGACAGAGAGATAGAGAGATAGATTGATAGATAGAGATAGAGATATGTATAATAATATTGCAGTCGTTTTCTTCCCCCCTTTTTGTTTCAGTTAGTAAAGTGGTCAGGAGTGGTTGAGTCACACAGTTCCCTCACCTACTAGCTGTGTGATCTTCTGCAAATTATTTATCAATGGAGTACCCACCCATAGCTTTTGAGAGCATGAATTGAAAGCGAGGAAGCATAAAAAGTGCTTAGCACAGTGCCTGGGTAGAAAGCTGTCAATACATTGATCTATGTGATGCTGACCATCTTGGGAGGCCAGAGATAAAGCTGAATAATTTTCAAAGCACTAAATTTTTTCCTCCAAGTTACTGCAGCTTGAAATTCTGTGTTTGATAATTTAACTGATGGCTGTTTTATCTCCTGAGATTGCAGGAGCCCTGCCTGTTTTGCTCGTTGTTGCCTCACTAGCCCATACCAGAGTGCAGGGTGCGCTGTAAGCCGTGACCGCATCACAGATCATCAGCATGCAGAGGTAATGTAAGTTCCAATAGTAAACACAAGGGAGTAGTGTTCTCCCACCTGTCCTCACACTGGTTCAATTCAGAAACTTGATTTTTCTGGAAGTGCATTATTTAAATGTAGTCTTAGGAAAGCAGGCTCAGTCTTACTCTTTCTTCTTCCCTACTGCATGGAATATATATATATATATATATATGTATATATGTGTGTATATACGTATATATGTGTATATATACATATCTGTATATATATGTATATATGTGTATATATACATATCTGTATATATATGTATATATGTGTATATATACATATATACATATACATATACGTATATGTATATATACGTATATACATACATACGTATATATACACATATATACATATATATACGTATATACGTATATATACGTATATATACACATATATATATTATCCTTTCTGTAGAAATAAACATGAAACCCAAAAGCCTAACTGTGTTTGTACCCAGCACGTGTTAATAGAAAGTTTAAACAACAAAACATTTAAACCAATGCAATTTAAGCTCATTATCCCTGTCTATTGGGTAACATAAGACAAAATTATATTGTAGGTAACTGTGCCTGCGTGCCTGTAGTGCCTGCTACTCAACAGGTTGAGTAGCAGGAGGATTGCTTGAGCCCAAGAATTTGAGTTCAGCCTCAGCAATATAGCAAGATCCACTATCTTGAAAAAAAAAAGAAGATATTGTGTCCTCTTAAATACTAATTTGCTTTGTTAATCACGATGGGCCCTTTCCAAAGGTAATTGCTAATCCTGAAGACTTCATTCTACAAATATTTACTGGATGCTTTCTAGGTGCTAGGGGCTTATCTGGGTGCTAGAAATTTAAGTGAGGAAGACAGACAAGGGTTAGGTATGGACAACCAGTGTTTCTACTGGGGGATATTCTGCCAGGACAGGGGTAGGAAAATACCTGCTTGCGGAGCCTCAACACCCTTGGAATATTATCTTAGAAATGTTTAGCTTTATGAAGATGAAAGGGGACTTAGACATTATCTAGTGGAAATTCAGATGGCTAGAGGGCTAGAGGGGCCAGATAGCTAACATAAATAAGTAAAGTAGGCCAGCTGGGGCCTGCTGTTGAGCAAAGAGCAGGTATCCAATGTAAAGGTTGCTCCCATCTCATCAGCTCAGGCTACAGTTTTCTTCTTTCTCTCTCTCTAACAACCAAAAGTAAGACCGTTTCCCCACAACACACACATACATATGTCATCTAAAAGTCAACAAACAGAAAGAGCAGCTCTGGGAAAGGTGGATTCAGAGGTGGCAAAGCAAACACTTTGTCCTCCATCTCCCCACAACCTCAAATATTTTAAAAAACAAACCTGTTCAACCCAAATTGTGATAAATATTAAACAACACAAGATAATAACATGATCAACAACTAAAGTGATGATGTAGATGAGGTCTCCTGTCCTGTTTCCTCAAAAGGTTTTCTCGGCCATTAAAAGAGCTTCCCTCTCTAGATCTGGTTCCTTTAAATCTCCTGGTAGATTTCACCAGAAGCAGGGTCTTCAGGTGCTATCAGAAGGGAATTGAGGTGGGTTAGTTATGCCTTCCTGGCTTCTCATTTGTGAATGTGAGAAGAATGTGCAACTGAGGCAGGCACTCTCTGAGGCCAGATTTTTCTAGGGAAGTCAGGTGTTGATTTTTCAAGAGAAGCCAGAAATCTGGAGTTTTTTGAGAACTTTCCCATTTTCTTTCTTTCTTTCCTTCCTTCCTTCCTTCCTTCCTTCCTTCCTTCCTTCCTTCCTTCTTTCTTTCTTTCTTTCTTTCTTTCTTTCTTTCTTTCTTTCTTTCTTTCT
Organism: Homo sapiens; assembly: GCF_000001405.40. NCBI lineage: Eukaryota > Metazoa > Chordata > Mammalia > Primates > Hominidae > Homo > Homo sapiens. The sequence goes on along the minus strand of NC_000010.11, from coordinate 89,554,050 downwards.
TTCTTTCTTTCTTTCTTCCTTTCTCTCTTTCTTTCTCTCTTTCTTTCTTTCTTTTTGAGATGGAGTCTCGCTCTGTTGCCCAGGCTGGAGTGCAGTGGCATGATCTTGACTCACTGCAACTTCTGCCTCCCGGGTTCAAGCTATTCTCTGCCTCAGCCTCCCAAGTAGCTGCGATTACAGGCACCTGCCACCACGCCTGGCTAATTGTTTTGTATTTTTAGTAGAGACAGGGTTTCACTGTGTTGGCCAGGCTGGTCTTGAACTCCTGACCTCCTGGTCCACCCAAAGTGCTGAGATTACAGGCGTGAGCCACCGCACCTGGCCAATTTGTGATAATTTTCAAAGTGCTGTGAGGGCCAATCCAAGCTGATCTGAGAATTAAATTTGTCCCATTGTTGAGCAGTTCACTCCCTAACCTAATGCAATCGCCTAATTTTACAGATAAGGTAATGACTCAGAGCAGCTAACAACTTGTCCAATATTGTCACAAAGTCTGCATTCTTTTCATTGAGTCATCAAGTAGCTACAAAATGTGGAGAAAATGCCTGCGAACTATTAAGACAACTACTGTCAACTTTAAACAATTTAGTATTGAAATGAGTCATGCTAGTTGGCAATATTTGTGCTGAGATGATTTAATAGCCTGTGATTTATATGAACAAAGAGTGTAGTACCTAATGTGCAAAATGTTGATTGTCAGAGAGGGGCTAATGAGAAGACAAAAAATGTACCACTCTGACTGTAATGGATTACAAGATGGTGCTATCAAAGGTGAATAAGTAACTATAAACACAACAGTCTACTGGAAAACAGCTGCAGGGTAACACCACAAGAAATTCTGAGCAAGTCAGACATTCTGTTATTTCCCAAATCTAATAAAAGATATGCATACGGATTTTACTATTAAATTAAGAAAAAATGATTCAATATCACAGAAAACATAATAGGCATGCGGGTGTGGTGAAGGAGTAGAGACGGGGTTTCACCCTATTGGCCAGGCTGGTCTCAAACTCCTGACCTTGTGATCCACCCACCTCAGCCTCCCAAAGTGGACAGAGGGACGGAGGTACATTCAAGAGAATTCAGCTGGGGCTTCAAATTCTGAGTCCAATGCATTTCAATGGTCATTTTTTGGAACTTGGGAATAAAAACATTTTGGTAGCATTTAAGAAAGTACCATTTCTTTGATTGTTCATTACACGTGGCTAATTCCGGTGTAAAACTGACACTCCGAGAGGAAAGCCAAGTGCGGATGTCACCATCTGGTTTTGCTAAGTCTTAGTTCGCATCTCACTTACTCTCTCCAGATTCTGTTAGGGCAGGGCCGATTATCCATTTTGTTCATTATCATACTCCCAACTTACTTCCTGGCACTCAGAAGGCTCTCAATAACTGTTTAGTTGAGTTGAATTGGCTTAGCTGGAATTGAAGAGCCAGAAGCAATTGGAAGGGACCTTAGAGCTAATTCTCATCATCCACAATCACTCACACCCCTCCTAGTACCATACGTTTCCCCCTCTCACACGTCCACCTCAATTCATGGAGAAATGCAATGTGCTGTTGTGCCATAGTCAGCAAGCAGCCAAATCTAATTCAGTGCTACCACCCTAGATTCTCTCCAGATGATGCCTAACTCCAAAATAGATTGTCATAATGTTCTTGGCCAGAAGCCTATAATTTTTAAATGAGATTACATGGGATTTATTTAAGCTTTAATATAACTATAATAAGTATTAATAACACATGCTTTATAATCTGTTTTCTGTTTCTTGTGATATCTTTGTACTTACAAATCAACATTAATACATCTCTCTTTGGCCAGGCGTGAGTGGCTCACGCCTGTAATCCCAGGACTTTGGGAGGCCAAGGTGGGAAGATCAAAAGGTCAGGAGTTCAAGACCAGCCCGGCCAATATGGTGAAACCCTGTCTCTACTAAAAATACAAAAATTAGCCAGGTGTAGTGGCACGCACCTGTAGTCCTAGCTACTCAGGAGGCTGAGGCAGGAGAATCACTTGAACCTGGGAAGTGGAGGTTGCAGTGAGCTGAGATCACACCACTGCGCTCCAGCCTGGACGACAGGGCGAGACTCTGTCTCAAAAAATTAAAAATAAATAAATAAATAGATCTCTCTTCAAAAGGGCAAAACAACCTTTTAGCTTTTGTATTAGTTTGTTTTCATGCTGCTGATAAAGACATACCTGAGACTGAGAAGAAAAAGAAGTTTAATTGGACTTACAGTTCCACATGGCTGAGGATGCCTCAGAATCATGGCAGAAGGCAAAAGGCACTTCTTACATGGTGGTGGCCAGAGAAAATGAAGAAGATGCAAAAGCAGAAACCCCTGATAAAACCATCAGATCTCTTAAGACTTATTCACTACTATGAGAACATTATGGGGGAAAACACCCCCATGATTCAAATGATCTTCCACTGGGTCCTCCCACAACACATGGGAATTATGGGAGTACAATTCAAGATGAGATTTGGGTGGGGACACAGAGCCAAACTATATCAGCTTTATGGAAGTTTCCCAACAACAATGTGCTCCATCAGCACTGGGTTGGAAGAACAATGAACTTGGGACTTTTTATTTATTTATTTATTTAGAGACAGGGTCTCACTCTATTGCCCAGGCTGGAGTGCAGTAGTGTGATCTCAGCTCACTGCAACCTCCCCCTCCCAAGTTCAAGCAATTCTCATGCCTCAGCCTCCCAAGTAGCTGGGACTACAAACATGCACCATCCTACCTAGCTAATTTTTAGTATTTTTAGTAAAGATAGGGTTTCACCATGTTGGCCAGGCTGGTCTCGAACTCCTGACCTCAAGTGATCTGCCTTCCTTGGCCTCCCAAATTGTTAGGATTACAAGCGTGAGCCACCACGCCAGGCTGAACTTGGGGATTTTTGATCACCGGTCACCAGTATAACTCTGGAACAGAGTTTAATTCCAGAATACACACCCTCACTCCATCCAAAATGGACCTTTCTAACTTGATTACATCATGGACTTCCACACCTTGAAAACTTTGGATCCTTTTATTCATTCCTCCAATAATTGAATTCCTAATATATGCCAGGTAACTTACAAGGTGCTGGAGATACAATGGTAAACATGATGGACATCTTCTTGGTTTCACTAAGCTTTTAGTTTAGTGACACACAAAATCAATGCAAACAGCAACAACAACAACAAAATGCAATTAACATTAGACCCCTGGGGGAGGTGACATTTAAGCTGAGAACTTTGCGAAAATAGTGAAGAGCTTTCTAGGCAGGAGGAAAGGCAAGCACAAAGCCTTCTGCATCCCTGGCTTGGTGCCCAGAGAAAAGCCAACATAGCTAAGTATAGCGAGATATGGGAGTGTGGCACGAGATGATGTAGAGAAAGGCGGGGGTGGGGCCATGACACATTATGGGCCATGGTCAGAGGAGTTTAGATTTTGTTTTAGTGCTTTGGGAACTACTGAAAAGTTTTAAGCTGCAAAGCAATATGGTCTAATTTTGATGTTGTTGTTGTTGTTTGTTTGTTTTGAGACGGAGTCTTGCTGTATAGCCCAGGCTGGAGTGCAGTGGCGCGATCTCAGCTCACTGCAACCTCCGCCTCCCGGATTCAAGTGATTCTCCTGTCTCAGCCTCCCAAGTAGCTGGGATTACAGGCACCTGCCACCACACCCGTCTAATTTTTGTATTTTTAGTAGAGACGGGGTTTCACCATGTTGGCCAGGCTGGTCACGAACACCTGACCTCTTGATCCTCCTGCCTCGGCCCCGCAAAGTGCTGAGATTACAGGTGTGAGCCACCGTGCTAATTTAAGTTTTAAGAAAAACATTCTTGATGTTTTATGGAGAATAGATGGGAAGAGGCTAAGAGCAGAGGGAAGGAGATCAGTTAGGAGACTTGCACTAGTGGGAGAGAGGAGATGGCAAGATGGATCAGGATGTTGTCACAGTGCAGATGGAAAAAAAGGGGTGGATATTGATGAGACAATTGACAGGACTTGTTGATGGATTGATATGGGAGGTAAGTGATGACTCCTAGATTTTTGGCTTGACGAATGGAATGAATGAAAGTCCAATATAATAAAACCATAAAGTAGAGTTCTCTGCTTAAAGAGGGAGAAAGGAAAGAGGGAAGGCTGGGTCTGAGGCACTTTACTCCCTTCCAGCTACCCTGGGTCTTCCTAGACTTCTTAGGTCATGGCTCTCAAATTTTAGGATGCTGAGCCACTTGCAAAGCTTGTTACAATGCTGGCTGCTGAATATAATGTTCCTGGAGCAGAGCATGTGGGGCAGATGTAGACCAGAATGGCTAATAAAGGTGTGTCTGGTGACTAAAGAATTATAGACACACTGCTTTCAGCTAACCTTAGAATTAGGTGGAAACGCCCTAAAGCAATTGGCAAGCAGTTAGCTGACAGAGTATGGCTTCTTTTTATAAACTTAAAAAAAAACCCAAAACACTAAGGTGACTTTTTCTTTTCACTTTATGCTTCTCCATTCTTCACACACTACTGAAAAAAACAAAAACAAAAACTGATGCCTATTATTTATATTGCTAGAAACTCTAAGTAGTTCTCCCTGTTGTTAGGATGAATTGTAATTTCTTAATAATCTTACTACAGCATCATCTATAACCACAAAAGCTAATTAATATGAATGTGTAAATGTGTCTCTGCTGAAGGAAGCAGCACAATAGTGCACTGTATATATAATTGGTATAGCACTTGAGGTGTACACTTACTGCAAAGAAACTGAAACTGGATTTAGCCATTGTTCCTTTATCTGGATGCCTTATGTGTATTGGTTTTATCCTGATCAAATATTCCTTCAATTTGCACTTTCTGAATTTATCAAAATGAATAAAGGTGAAGCAGAAACTTGCTAATTAATTCATAAAGAAGATCAACACAGAGAGTCAGAAAGGGTAAATCAGCCCCAAACAAAGCTGGCTATGCCTGTTTTTCAAATAAGTTTAATCAGTCTTCTCTGGTGTTTCTGTTGTTAGCAGGTGACAGTCCAGCAGAACCATCCATCTCATTCAATGATTTGCAAAAGCTGCCTGATCCTGCTGCGAGCAGGTCCTGCTCATTATCACTCATTCCTCTCTTGAAAGACAGCATTTCCCCTCTGCTGGTGTACATCCCTCTCCACTCTCTAAATTGCATATCACACTTGTGCAATTCCTGTGGCACTTGCTACATCCTGCTTAGCAATCAGTTAGTGCGTCTTTTTTTTGAGACAGAGTCTCGCTCTGTCACCCAGGTTGGAGTGCAGGGGTGCGATCTCAGCTCATTGCAACCTCTGCCTCCCGGATTCAAGCGATTCTCCTGCCTCAGCTTCCCTAGTAGCTGGGATTACAGATGGCTGGCACTGCACCCGGCTAATTTTTGTATTTTTAGTAGAGATGGGGTTTCACCATGTTGGCCAGGCTGGTCTCGAACTCCTGACCTCCAGTGATCCACCCGCCTCAGCCTCCCAAAGTCTGGGATTACAGGCATGAGCCACTCTGCCCAGTCGCGACTGCGTTTTTTTTTTATTTCTCCTACTAGACATTGCAGGCATTCCCCAAGGTCTGGTCCTCGGCCTGCTGCTCTGGCTTCATCCAACCTCTTTTGCACAGAACATTTTCAAAGCATACCTCTAACCTTGACTCTTCCCCTTGGCTCCTGACCTGAATTTTCAACAGTTTGCTGGGTACTTCACTTCCAGCTCAAGATCCATGTGTTCAATATTGAACAGTTCACATGCTGCTACCTTTTCTTTCTCTGTTAATGATCACCATCCTCCTGGCTGGAGACACACAGACTTCTCATGTCTCTTTCACTTCATATCTAATCAGTCACTTTGTCCTATTGATTTTCTCCATTCTCATCAATGGAGAATACACTGACAAATACACCTTGCACTTTTCCACTGCAAGTATTAGTACCTGCATTAGTACCTGCAGTTTGATTTAACAAGACTGCCTTCCTTCCTGCTTTTTGAAATTCTCCAAGAAGGTGTTCCAGCCCTACCTATAATGTCACGCTCCACCTTGCCAGCTTCTCTCTCAAGCAGTCCACTTTTTTTTTTTTTTTTTTTTTTGCCCAGGCTGGAGTGCAGTGGCTTGATCTAGGCTCACTGCAACCTCTGCCTCCTGGGTTAAAGTGATTCTCCTGCCTCAGCCTCCTGAGCACCTGGGATTACAGGCACATGCCACCATGCCTGGCTAATTTTTGTATTTTTTGTAGAGATGGGGTTTTGCCAGGCTGGTCTTGAACTTCTGACCTCAGGTGATCTGCCCACCTCAGCCTCCCAAAGTGCTGGGATTACAGGCATGAGCCACTGTGCCTGGCCTCCACCTCTTCTCTGAATTCTTCTAGCAAGTGTTGACTTCCTTTATCAAAATAATCATGTACCCTTTTCTTTTGAAACAAAATGATCACATACCTTTTCTTATTATAAGGTTGTAGTAAAGGTGTTTTTGAAATATTTGTCATTTGCATGGCTACTTATAGTTCCAACTAGATTGTAAATTCTGTGAAGGCAGGAACCATGTCTTAAAACACCAATGTACTATGCACAGGGCCTATACAGACTAGATACTCAGGAATTCTGGTTGATTTATTTGTACTGGATTTAGCTAGTATAGAGATGATAGAGAGCCATGCACTGTAGTTCAGTTTGCAATTTAGTCATTCATTAAATTGGCTCATTAAACACAAATAATTTCTTTTCTAATATATTGCTAATAAAATGTTTTTTTCCTCAAGTAATTGAAAAGATTGTAATAGTATGATAAAAACTATACAAAAGACTTCTGATAATGTGTTTGCAAAAACTTTTTTCCCTTATACTCTTATAAGGCATATTCAAGGTCTGTAGGCAGCATGAATTTTTTTAAATTCATTCTTCTAAAAAAAATGGGGATACATGTGCAGAACGTACAGGTTTGTTACATAGATACATGTGTGCCATGGTGGTTTGCTGCACCTATTGACCAGTCCTCTAAGTTCCCTCCCTTCACCTCCCAACCCCCCAACAGGCTCTGGTGTGTGTTGTTCCCCTCCCTGTGTCCATGTGTTCTCACTGTTCAACTTCCACTTATGAGGGAGAATATGCGGTGTTTGGTTTGCTGTTCTTGTGTTAGTTTGTTGGGGATGATGGTTTCCAGCTTTATCCATGTCCCTGCAAAAAACATTATCTCATTCCTTTTTATGGCTGCATAGTATTCCATGGTGTATATGTACCACATTTTCTTTATCCAGTCTATCATTGATGGGCATTTGGGTTGATTTCATGTCTTTGCTATTGTAAATAGTGCTGCAATAAACATATGTGTGCATGTGTCTTTATAGTATAATGATTAATATTCCTTTGGGTATATACCCAGTAATGGGATTGCTGGGTCAAATGATATTTCTGGTTCTAGATCCTTGAGGAATCGCGATACTATCTTCCACAGTGGTTGAACTAATTTACATTCCCACCAACAGTGTAAAAGTGTTCCTATTTCTCCACAGCCTCGCCAGCATCTATTGTTTCCTGACTTTTTAATAATCGCCATTCTGACTGGCATGAAATGGTATCTCATTGTGGTTTTGATTTGCATTTCTCTGATGATCAGTGATGTTGAGCTTTTTTCATATGTTTATTGGCCACATAAATGTCTTCTTTTGAGAATTGTCTGTCCATATCCTTTGCTCACTTTTTGATGGTGTTGTTTTTTTTCTTGTAAACTTAATTTCCTTGTAGATGCTGGATATTAGGCCTTTGTCAGATGGGTAGATTGCAAAAATTTTCTCCCATTCTGTAGGTTGCCTGTTCCCTCTGATGATATTTCTTTTGCTGTGCAGAAGCTCTTTAGTTTAATTAGATCCCATTTGTCTATTTTGGCTTTTGTTACTATTGCTTTTGGCATTTTTGTCATGAAGTCTTTGCCCATGCCTGTGTCCTGAATGGTACTGCCTAGGTTTTCTTCTAGGGTTTTTATGGTTTTGGGTTTTACAGTTAAGTCTTTAATCCATCTTGAGTTAATTTTTGTATAAGATGTAAGGAACGGGTCCAGTTTCAGTTTTCTGCGTATGGCTAGCCAGTTTTCCCAGCACCATTTACTACCGAATAGGAGATTGTTTCCCCATTGCTTCTTTTTGTCCAGTTTGTTGTAGATGTGTGGTGTTATTTCTGAGGTCTCTGTTCTGCTCCATTGGTCTATATGTCTGTTTTGGTACCAGTACCATGCTGTTTTGGTTACTGTAGCCTTGTAGTATAGTTTGAAGTCAGGTAGTATGACTTTGCTCTTTTTGCTTATGATTGTCTTGGCTATGTGAGGTTTTCTTTGATTCCATATGAAATTCAAAATAGTTTTACCTAATTCTGTGAAGAATGTCAATGGTAGTTTGATGGGAATAGCATTGAATCTATAAATTACTTTGGGCAGTATGGCCATTTTCACAATATTGATTCTTCCTATCCATGAGGATGGAATGTTTTTCCATTTGTTTGGGTCCTCTCTTATTTTCCTGAGCAGTGGTTTGTAGTTCTCCTTGAAGAGGTCTTTCACATTAGCTATATTCCTAGGTATTTTATTCTCTTTGTAGCAATTGTGAATGGGAGTTCATTCATGATTTGACTCTCTGCTTGTCTACTGTTGGTGTAAAGAAATGCTTGTGATTTTTGCACACTGATTTTGTATCCTGAGACTTTGCTGAAGTTGCTTATCAGTTTAAGGAGTTTGTTGTGTGAATTTATATTAGTTATTTCTTGATTAAATAATGCTGCATGACAATCATCATACCTCAGTGGCTATGATGATAAACATTTTTGTTTGTGCATGAGTGTGTAAGTTACCTGGGTGGTTCTGCTGATCTCAGCTGGTCTCAGTAGGCTCACTTGTGCACCTGCAGCCTGCTGAGGGGATAGCTTTGCTGGTCTTGGCTGGGCTCAACTGGGGTGACTCAGGTTGGCCCCAAATGTCCTCTCATCCAGCAGGCCATTTGAGGCTTGTTCTCATAGCAGTGCAGGATTTGAGAGAGAGCCAGATGGAGGTATAACCCCTTAAGGTCTAGACTCAGAATTGGCCCACTATCATTTCTCTTCCCTATTGGCTAAAGCAATCATAAGATGATGCCTGACTTAAGGAGTATGGAGATAGGCCTGGTTCTTTGTGGAATGAGCTACAAAGTCATATTGCAAAGGATATGAAAACAGGGGTGGTAGAGAAAACCCCAGCTATTTTTACAATCAATCTACCCCAGAGTTAGACAGACCTGGTTTCATAAACAGACACTGTTTACTACTTGCCTGATATTGGGCAATTCACTTAACCACTCTGAGCCATTTTTTCTCAATTGGAAACAGGTATTATGAGAACGGAATGAAATAATACATACACAGGGCCTGGTATATCATAGGAACTAAAAAATTTCAATAAATTTCCTCACAACCTTCTCTCCAAAGAATTGCTCTTAATATTATGAAAATTAAATAATTGTATTTAAATTTAATTTGGAGAAACAGAATATTAAAACTGAATACATACTTCAGAAAATAATGAGATAAAAGTTTGAACAGTCATTTGAAAAGATTTTGAATAAATTAACTGGAAAACCAAGTTCAACATTATTAAAACCAGTAGATCGAACTGATCCAATGGGATCCAAAAAGGGTAGGTCATAAAGTCTGTGGGTCAGACCATGGGGAATGTATCACCTCCTTTTCTTCATACTCCACATCTGGTTGGGAGACAGCACCAGTAACTCTTCTCTTTTGTCTATTCTCCACTTAAACATATACTTCTACTCCAAATATATTCTCAGAAGAAGCCTTAGACGGTCAGAGAACCACCAACCTGCACAGCAGCACTCAGCTAGAGAAACTTGATTTCAGGGATAAAGTATTGGGTTAGGTGTGGGGCCATAATGGTTCTGCTCATGGCTGCTCCTTTGTTCATAGTAGATGCTTCAGAAATACCAACTGAATGAGTCTCCCAGAGGAAGAGCAACAGAGGTAAACAACAAAGGTGTTATACGGTGAACATTTACTCATTCTACAAAGCTCAAGTTTCTACTCTGTGGACATAGTGGGAATGGTAAATGAGACAGAGTTACTGCCGTCAAATAGCTTACACTCTAGGCATTCAAGGGAGGAGCATTTGTATTTTCTGCTGACACATATTGGGCACTTACTAGGCTTCAGCTATTGTGCTAAGCACTTTATCCATTTATCCATTTTTTTTTTGACAAGGTCTTGCTGTGTTGCCCAGGCTGGAGTGCAGTGACACAATCATCATTCATTGCAGCCTTGACCTTCTGGGCTCAAGTGATCCTCCCACCTCAGCCTCCCAAGTAGCTGGGTCCACAGGCATGTGCCACCATGCCTAGCTAAGTTTTTAACTTTTTTTTTTGGTAGAGACAGGTTTTCACCATATTGCCTAGGCTGATCTCAAACTCTTGGGCTGAAGCAATCCTCCTGTCTTGGCCTGCCAAAGTGCTGGGTTTACAGGTATGAGCCACTGCACCCAGCCAGCTAAGCACTTTTATAAGTACAAATCTCAATTAGCCTCCACAACACCTATGAAGTGTTATTATTATGTTCATTTTATAAATGAGGAAAATGAAGTTCTGAGTTATTATACAACTTGCCCCAAATCACCCAGCTAGCAAGAGGGGGAGCTAAGCCGTGAATTCAAATCTGTCTGATGTATAAACTTGGGTTCTTAATGACTATCACTAGAGTTGGATGGGAAGGCTTTGTGAATAAACTGGGATGTTTGTTTTATTTTTAAGTTTTAAATTATTTTTATTTTATTATGACAATTTGAAACAGAAAAAAAGTCAAAAAGATTATCCAGTGAACACCTATATGTTTCTACCTAGATTCTAGATTTAAAATTTACTAAATTTGCTTTATCATATAACTATCCATCTGTCCATCCTTCTCTCTAACCATTAAGCATCTTTTGTAAATGCCTTTCAAGGGAAGTTACAGATATCACTAGAAGTTGGGATTTGAATTGGACCTTCAATGATGCTGTTAGATCTCCGTAGGCAGAAGACAGAAAGGAAGGGGTAGCCCAGACATGGGAAAGAGTATGGGTGAAAGAACAGGGGTAGGAATGTGCATGGCGACTTCACAGAACAAGAATGAGGATGTAACAGAGGGTGCCCATTAGTGTTGAGAAGCATGATAATGAAGGGTGGATAGGAGGCTGTTGGAAGAGGACTTTGGCCAACCAACAGGCAAAAGAGTCCCATTTCGATGAAGTAAATATGGGGAATAGGAATGGCCAGAGTTTCCAGTAGAAAGAATATAAGGCACAGTGTCAAGAAATTAGCTGTATAGTTGGGCGGGGAGAGAGGCTAAAGTAATGGAAGTATAGTGGTTCTAGTGAGCCATGCATGACGGAAGATGAGTCTGGAGATCAGTGACAATAGATAGGGAGATAAAACTATTAAGAAAATATAACAGGCCAGACACTGTGGCTCACACGTGTAATCCCAGAACTTTGGGAGGCCAAGGTGGGTGGATCTCTTGGGGCCAGGTGTTCAAGACCAGCCTGGCCAACATGGTGAAACCCTATCTCTACTGAAAAATACAAAGATTACCCAGACGTGGTGGTGCATGCCTGTAGTCCCAGTTACTCAGGAGGCTGAGGCACAAGAATCACTTGAGTCCAGGAGACGGCAGTTGCCATGAGTCGAGATCACACCACTGCACTCCAGCCTGTGGGACAGAGTGTGACTCTATCTCAAAAAAAAAAAAAAGAAAAAAAAAGAAAATATAACAGAAGAAATTTGCTTTATTGTTGTTTAAATTCAAAAATAATATTTGTTAGCATATAATAATAATTCATAACAATATGATCTAAATTGAATATTTTTGTAAAAATAGTCTTCTACCTGTGATCTTCAGAGAACACCTCACCTTCACAGAGCTTCATGAATGAGTAGACATCCACATTCTTCAAACAGTGACCTGGGTCAGGCTGTGCCCGCCACTCTCGTATTTGTCATCTCATGTAATCCTCAAAGCACCCGGAGAGAAAGGCACTATCGCCCCTGGGATATCACAGGAACTAAAAAAATATCAATAAATTTCCTCACAATCCTTCCTCCAAAGAATTGCTCTTAATATTATGAAAATTAAATAATATTAGAAAACTTAATTTGGAGACACAAAATAATAATATCAAACACATATTTCAGAAAAAAATGACATAAAAGTTTGCACAACCTAACCTAGTGGAAATATTTGGCAATATCTGAAAAAAATTTTGATTGTCACAACTAGGGCATTACTATTGGCACCTAATGGGCAAACACAAAAGATGCTGCTAAATGTTCTACAATGCACAGGGGAGCCCCACAACAAAGAATTGTCAGGCCTAAAATATCAGTAGCGCAGACCTTGAGGGTCTAACCTAATTAGCACAGAAACTGGGATATGTAGCTGCTCAACCCTTTATTTGTTATTTTCTATTTTTAGAGACTGGGTCTAGTTCTGTCGCCCAAGCTGGAGTGCTGTAACACGATAACAGCCTCGAACTCCTGTGCTCAAGAGATCCTCCTACCTCAGCCTCCCAAGTAGCTGGGGTTACAGGTGCTCACCACCATGTCTAGCTAATTTTTAAAATTTTTTTGTAGAGACGGGGTCTCAGTATGTTGCCTAGGCTGGTCTAGAACTCCTGGCCTCAAGTGATCCTCTGGTCTTAGCCTCCCAAAATGTTGGATTACAGGCATGAGCCACCATACCCATCCTCAATCCATGTTTTTTGAATAGTACTGGTGATTTTATTTTATAGATGAGAAATCTGAGGCTCGAGAGGTGGGATGTTAAGAAATTTGCAGCCAGGCGTGGTGGCTCACGCCTGTAATCCCAGCACTTTGGGAGGCCGAGGCGGGCGGATCACGAGGTCAGGAGATCGAGACCATCCTGGCTAACACAGTGAAACCCCCTCTCTACTAAAAATACAAAAAAAAAAATTAGCCTGGCGTGGTGGTGGGCACCTATAGTCCCAGCTACTCAGGAGGCTGAGGCAGGAGAATGTCATGAACCCAGGAGGCAGAGCTTAAATTGAGCCGAGATTGTACAACTGCACTCCAGCCTGGGCAATAGAGTGAGACTCCTTGTCAAAAAAAAAAAGGGAAAAAAAAAAAAGAAATTTGCTTAGTTTGTCTTGGTAAGAAGTGGTAGAAATGAGATTTTTTACTTCGGTTTTCTGATTTCAAATTCAATGCCTTTCAGTTATACCATGACTCCAGAAAGATAAATGGGTTAAAATGATGACATAGCTTTGAGTCATAGTAAATGAGAGAATGTTAGCTCCAGAGACTAAGTGACATCGGAGAAGAGAGTTGTTGGGATCTAAGAGCAGATTGTAGTGATGACTTGAGTTCCTGATATTTTAAAATCTCCAAGTGATGGTGTAGGGAGAATGCAAGTGAAAATATTCACTGGCTATCTGGCAACAAGAATTGGAGTTCAGAGGGAGGTCAGAACTGGAAACGCACTGCCGTTGACAGCAGGTATTAGCTACAGTCATGAGGCTGGGATGGAGATATACATTAAGAAAGGACAGTGGAAATAGGGGCTAAAGTCTAAGAAAGTGCTCATAGAAAAGAGTGGACTGGTGAAAGAGGAACAAAAAAAGATGATAAAGAAGGTGGACTCTAGGCTGGGCATGGTGGCTCACGGCTGTGGTCCCAGCACTTTGGGAGGCCAAGGCGGGAGGATCGCTTGAGCCCACAAGTTTGAGACCAGCCTGGGCAACATGGCAAAACTCTGTCCCTACAAAAAATACAAAAACTAGCCAGGCATGGTGGTGGGTGGCTGTAGTCCCAGCTACTTGGGAGGCTGAGGTGGGAGGATCTCTTGAACCTAGGTAATCAAGGCTGCAGTGAACTGTGACGATGCCACTGCACTCCAACCTGGGTGACAGAGTGAGGCTCTGTCTCAGAAGCAACAAAAGAAGAAAGAAAGAAAGAAAAAGAGGCAAAGAAAGAAGGAAAGGAAGAAAAAAGAGAGAGCCAGAGAAAAGAAAGGAAGGAAGGAAGGAAAGAAGGAAGGAAGGGTGAGAGAAAAGAAAGAAAGAAAGAGAGAAAGAAAGAAAGAAGAAAGAAAGAGAAAGAAGGAAGTAATGAAAGAAAGAAAAAAAGAAAAAAGAAAGAAAGAAAGAAAGAAAGAAAGAAAGAAAGAAAGAAAGAAAGAAAGAAAAATTTGTTTCTTGGTGTCTAAGGAAGAATTTCACTATTTCCTTGTCCATGTATTGCCCTAATCTGTACAGCTGACTACGTAAAATACTTGCATCTTATTTATGCTGTTTGTATTTAGTCCTAAAATCTTAATTAGTCATGAGAACAAAATTTCAAATTCTATTTAGGCAAAAGCCTTAAGGTTTCATCCTCAACCCCCAACCTTCCAGTAGCTTCTATCTTGACCTGGACACCCCAAATATTACTTATCTGTAGCCAATGTTCCCTTTTTTTCTGTACTGAGTCCACACATTCTTGTTTGACCAAATAACAGGAACAAACAATTCTTTTCATAATGGATGTACCCTAAGGTGTCAGGCTTCTCAGAATCCTATCTGAAAATTAATTCCACTGAACCATGGTGCAATAGGATTTTAGTTAACACACGTGTTATTTATTGGCTACAAATGGTAGGGATTTGACAAAATATTCTGTGCCTCCAGGCCAGAAAAGTACAAATAGTACTCAATTCTGAGTAGGGAAGAAGAGGAAGGGAGAAAGTTAGAACACAACTATTAATGCATGTGGAGGTACCAGATCAGCTGACCACATCAGCGAAAGGTTACTTAACTAATAATGATGTACCATTAATGCCATGTCCCTATTAAAGAAAAAAAATATTCAATGTCACTTGTTACAGCATGGTAAAGAAGACTATTCAGGACCATTGAGACAGATACAGGGACCACTACAACGAAGACTTGCAGTAGGGTAGAGAGATGGGGCTCCACTATGAATACAGCAGAGGAAAATCGGAATTTATAGCCAAGAAACAGGATATGGGACTCTAGTTAAATCGACCTAACAGGATTCTTACTAAAGACAGGCCAAGGTGATTAGATATCACCTGGAGGACAGTGGAGGATGAGGAACCCTTGGGTGATCAGTTGTCAATGGGAAGGGACGTTATTGCCAAACTGATTTTGCCGGGTTCTTTGATAAACTGGAATTTACAAGGAAATACACACATGGTCTTAGGAGAAAGTTCAGGAGCCTGACTAAAGTTTGGCCAAGGAAAAAAATCTTTGTCATTCCCCAATATTTTTAAGGTAAAAGACTATTAATACTAATAAGGATTAATATTTTTTACACATGTATAATATGCAAGGCATTGAATTAAATACATTCTATAGATTAACTCATTTTGATTATCACAAAGCCTCGATGTAGGTTTAATTTTCATTCTATTACTTGCTTTTAGACAGATGAAGTTCTGACTATGACTTGGAAAAGCTGGGTATCTGGGCTCATTTCTTTACCAAAATCCTGGCCTCTAAGCGTCACTGTCCAGTAGAACTTTCTGTGATGAAGAAAACGTTTTGAGTGCTATCCAGTATGGTAGACATTAGCCACATCTTGGAGTGAAGCACTTGAAAGGTGATTAGTGCAACAGACTAGTAGTAAAAAAGAAAAAAGCAAAACACACACAAGAAACCTCAATTTTAATTACGATTATAATTAATTAACTAAAATGTAAATAGCCATATTTTATAGCCGTGTTGGGACTGTGCAAACATAGCACATTTCCATCACTGTAGAAAATTCTGTTGGACAGTGCTATTTGGAAGAAATGTTGCTCCTTCCCTTTCCTCCTAGGTTGGATTCTAGGGTTCCTTTGCTTTGCTTTTCTTCTGCACAGCGATAGCAGTCCAACATTCTCCACCCCCAATCCTCCAGCCTCAGTGAAAGGAGATTGTTTTGCTTTGTGCATCTCCCTTTCTCCACTTCCATGCTGCCTGTCAGCAGCTATGTCAGGTCTTGAGCGTGGAACCCCAAAGGGGTAGGCACACAGAAGTGACCCGTCTGTATCCGGCACTGCCTATACGCATTGCACTCACCATCACCATCATCAACCCACAGTTACTGAACTCGTAAAGGATGAAAATCATCCTGCCAGAGATAGAATCAGACACACAAAATCTGAACTTCTAATGAAACAACAACATCAGTGACACAGCATTGAATAGAATAAACACAGTATTAGCTTTGGTCTTTGCTAGAGCCCCCTGTAAGTGGTGACTTAGACGAAAGGAAGCCTTGTGCGGTGTCCTAGTCTCCAAAACTTTAAAAACTGTTGTCCTACATTATTTAAATGGAAAGTGAGACTTATTTGCCACCCAAAGCAATGTTTAACTGAAAGAAGCATTTTTCTGAAACTCAAAGGTATTCAAGCCTTTAACCTAAAGACCTTCACGGCTGAGAGGTCAGGGCTCACTCATGGCAGCCTCTACATTTACAGGTTCATTTTCAATGCTAATGAATTCTTTTACAAGCTGTATTTGTTCTTTCTTTTGTGAGTTTTGAACATTTATTCACTAATCATCACTTAAATCTAACCTAGGGTTTTTTGCAAGTGAAAATAGGACTTAAATTCAGATTTATAGTTAAAGGGCAGGAAACTGAGAGGAGGGGGATGACTAAAAATAGCCAGAGGGTAAAATGAGAAAGGACTATACTAGACTATTTAAAAAAACCCCTGGCTTGCACAGTGGCTCAAGCCTGTAATCCCAGTGCTTGGGGAGGCTGAGGCAGGAGGATCCCTTGAGCCTAGGAGTTCGAGACTGCAATGAGCTATGATCGCACCACAGCACTCTAGCCTTAGCGACATAGTGAAATCCCTTCTTTAGAAAACAAACAAAACGAGACTCCTTCCCAAAAAAAAAAAAAAAAAAAACATACCTACGGTGCCTTGCTGCGTGGCAAATGCTCCCTACTGTTCATCAGTAACTCTTTGTCGGGCAGATCATGAGGTCAGGAGTTCGAGATCAGCCTGGCCAACATGGTGAAATCCCGTCTCTACCAAAGATACAAAAAATTAGCTGGGCGTGGTGGCACGCGCCCGTAATCCCAGCTACTCCGGAAGCTGAGGCAGGAGAATCGTTTGAACTAGGGAGGCGGAGGTTGCAGTGAGCCAAAATCGCACCACTGCACTCCAGCCTGGGCGACAGAGCGAGACTGCTTCTCAAAAATAATAATAATAATAATTCCAAAAAGCCTAATTCATTTTGAAATTTTGACATACAGCGAAATCACCAGGGAATCTTGCAAAAAATGCAGATTCTGATCCGCGGTTGGGCCTGAGATTCCGCATTTTTAACAAGCACCCAGGTGATGACCTCGCTGTTGGTCTACGGGCCACTCTTGAAGAAGTGAGGACGTAGGCTCCAAGATATTGGAACCAGACCTTGTCAGTTCAGAGGCCTTGCTTCTGACAAGGAGAGGACTTTACAGAAAGTTCGCCTGGAACCTGTCCTACGTGGGGTACGTCCTGGCAGCTCCCTTTTCAGGCTTTGAGTCAACGTTTGGGGAATTGTATTATGTACCGGGCGCCTACACCTCACTCATTTCATACTCGCAGCAACAACATGAAGTGGGCGCTATCATCCTTTGTTTTACAAGCAAAAGTGAGGCTCAGAGAGTTAAATTGCCCAAGGTTATGAGATTTTCAGATGCGTTGAACCCAGGTCCTTTTGACTCCAAGAGATAACGCTTTTCACTAGCATTCTGGAGCTTCAGTTTCCTGTGCTGTGAAATGGGAAGGATTGGCTAGCAGGGTCCGGATCCCTGCCAGATACACCTAAAGGAGGCCTTGTATTTTTTCTCGAGATCTTGCTCTTTGACCCTGAGGGGAAAAGTTCTTTTTGGGAACACCGAGCTCCCCTCGGCTTGCCGAGGTCAGGGGTCATGGCTCTTCCCGGGGAGGGTCCGGCAGTCCTAGAGCGGTTTGGCTGGGGACACAGAAAGCCGGTGCATTACATAACCGCGAGACGTCCCTCCTCCGCTGCGCCCCTCGCCCCTAGCCAAGCCACAGTACTTAGAGCGGATCCCCGCGCTAAATCCTCTTTGCCGGCCAGGCAGAGTCCCCGGCGGAGCTGGCGGGGCTGAATGAGCCGGTGCATTTCGAAGGCCGAGCACTGGGATTTTCCGCGCTACGCTTCCCTCTCCCGGCGTTGCCAGCTAGGCCCCCGGCCCCAGCCTCGCCGGCGCCTCCGCCCAGTCCGCTCCCCGCCCCACCGAAGCGCGGATCGCGCAGCCTGGGGCCCGGGAAGGGGCCACTGCGCAGGGACGCGGCTCGGCGGGTGCGCCCCGGGGGCATGTCCGCGCGCTACCGCCAGGGCTGCAGTGGTCCCGGCGAGGTGAGGAGGCGGCGGGGCCGGGCTGGGGGCGGGTGTGGCAGGAGGGCGGGCGGGGCATGGGGGTGGTCTGCGCGCTCTGGGCGGGCTGCAGAGCGCTGGAGCGCTGGAGCTCTGGGCTGTCCCGGGCTCAGTCTCGCCGGCGGCCCCCGCTCCCGGATCCCCAGCGCCCTGGCCAAGAAGCTTCCTCGGCTCCCCCTCTTCCCTCTCCCTGACACGGTTGTGCAGAGGGCGCGGTGGCTCAGGTGACACGGGCATCCTTCAAGGAAGGGCGGCGGGACGGCGGGGCGCTGGCGCTGTCGTTGGAGCTGGAGGAGGACGGGGACCCTCCATTCTCCGCTGCCCTAGCGCCCATCCCGCGCCGGGAGCCTGGGACCCTAACTTGGGTGCGTCGGCGCGCAGCTTGGGTTGGGAGGGAGACACGTGCTCACTTGCCCTGTCTGGGTTGGGTCTGCGCTGCGGCCGAGTTTTTGGGCAGGTGGCTGGAGAACGAGCGGCTTTGATCTCCATCTCTTGTGGTTTTCAAATGCAGACTTCTCGGTGGAATAGAGACCATCTTTCTTCTGGATTTTATGTTTATAGTACATTTTAAAAATCTCTCCCCGTCCCCCACCTCAGACAATAATATTTATTTCCCGTGTGTGCTATATTAAAAACACACCGGCTTTCAGTGGATTGAACTCAATTTCTCAGTTGCTTCTTGTCCACAAATAAACCAGTGATACCTGTATTGTGGACTCGGAAAAGCGTTCGTAACAAAATTTTGAAGCACAATTTCAGTAAGTCCTGGGGCTATTTGGTTAGTCTTCCGTTTTCACACATCAGCATTCTAAACCTCTTATACTATTTATTTATTTAGAGACAAGGTCTCGCTCTGTCGCCCAGGCTGGAGTGCAGTGGCGCGATCTCAGCTCATTGCAACCTCCGCCTCCCCGGCTCCAACGATCCTCCCTCCCCAGCATCTGGAGTAGCTGGGACTAAAGGTGCGCGCCACCACGCCCGGCTAATTTTTGGATTTTTTTTTTTTTTTTTTTTTTTTTTTGCAGATACAGGATTTCGACATATTGGCCGGTTTGCTCTCGAGCTCCTGGGCTCAAGCGATCTGCCCGCTTTAGCCTCCCAAAGTGATGGGATTACAGGCGTGAGCCACCGTGCCTGGCCATAATTTTTAAAAATGTCTAGTCAGGTGAGTCCTGCCAGGAAACTGGTTAAACACTCTCCTTTTGAAGAGCCTCTAATTAGTTCATCCTACCTGGTTCTTTGCTCAGAGCTAGGCACTCCCGCGGCGTCACCAGCTTAGCCCAGGGGGAAAATCTTCCGGCCTTTCAAATTCAGAAACACATTCGCTCCACAGGTGTAAGCTCGCTAACAGTTAAAATCATCAGCTAGCTGCCCTTGCATTGTTTGTCGCTCCCCCTCCATAAATGTCGTGCCAAACTGTGGCTAATGGTGTTTGACATCCTCCACCCCCTGCGCCCCCAAGGTGACCGGATGTTTGCTGAAGAAATGAAGGATGTAAAAGAGTAGTGGTAGTAATTAGGTGAACTGGATTTAGTCACTTATAATTACAGGGTTTAGAGAAACTTTGAAACTGAAAGGCTTTGGAGACCATCTACTAAATTCAAACTCTTCACGTTACAGCCCAGGAAGCTCAGATCCAGATTGGCAAGGATTGGCTGAATTCATACTGTTAACTGGTGATGGAATCAACACTAGAATCCAGATCTTCTCATTCCCACCTAACTCAGTTTTCCAAGGCATATTGCCTCTAGGCATTTTGAGCAAAAATAATATGACTAGCATCACCTAATCACATCATTTTCCTGTTCTTATTTTTTATGTTTTTTTTTTTTAACTGATGGGATTCTGAAATAGATGAGAGGTTGATTTAATCAAATTGCTTTTGTGGCACAATTTTTAAAGGTGCAAACCTTTAATTTTAAGTAATATTTTAAATTATTTTTATATTATGGATATACAGATACTTCTCAGGTGAATGCCCAGAAGAAGAAAATTAGTCCAAATAGATGGGAGTAACTCTACCCCCATCTTTCCTTGGAGTCTTTTCTGATTCTCAGCACCCTCTATGGTAATGATCGATCAGAAGTAAAAACATGAATTATAGTGTTGAAGTGTTTTATATGAGGACTGTTTGTTTATTGTGATTAATACTATGACCAAAACAAAGCTAAGAAAGGAGTTTCAAAGTGACTTATTTAACATTGCATTGCACTGCATATTTTTCAATTTAGTTCAATTGAGCAGATATTTATTGAGTGCCTACTGTATGCCTAGTGCTGTTCTGGGCATTTGGGATATGTCAATGAACAAAACAAAGAACTTTGATCCTATAGAGCTCAAGTTGCAATTTATTCACTAGAATTTTTCCAGGATTTCTTAGGCAGGTACAAGAGAATTTCAGTTTTACCTAAGCAGGAAAATAAACATAAGTGATCCAAACTATCTTCCTTCCAATCCTGCAATTCTGAGAATCTTATAATCATGGAAAAAAAAAAAACTAAAAACGACAACAACAACAACAAAAAAACAAATTCAGGTGAAGTTACTTTGACTTTTATGAGCTGACATTTTACTGTAAGTGAATTGCAGTTCCCACATTTGGTTATTTAATATATGTTCATTTGGAGTCAATGAAATTACATTTCCTTTATTGCAGGGAGATCACCTTGGTGACTAAACTTGAAGCACGGGATGATTTGTTTTCTTAAGAGTGTTAGTGGTACCATGTTAGTATTGGAGACTAATTAAATTAGTTTATAAGATGTTGCTTTTTATTTATTTATGAAGATGGTGTTCTGTTGTTATTTTGTCTCACTTTACATTTTGTCCCCCACTTTCCTCCATATTCATAGACTATTAGACATTCCAGTTTTAAGCATTTTCTAATTCTCTCAATTGCTTTTTCTTCAAAACAGCATAGTTTGCAAGCTCAGGCATGTTTATTGTTTTTAACAAAGGCTTATCGAAATGAACTTGGCAGTTTTTCAGTCGTATACAGCCAAAGAAAAGTATTCAGTGCCGCTTTTGGGGTTGTTTATGCATTCCTCACCTAACCAGTTGCTTTGCTTTTAAAAATTGCCAATTTGGAAGCTATTTTCTTATGAGTACCTTTCCAGTGTATATAAAAAGTCACCCATTGAAATGATATAATAATTTAATTGATGAAAACTAAATACACAGTTGAAGAGGTTGGGGGATTTTGAACAGAAAGATTTTCCCTCTGATAATATTTTTAATGTGCTCTACATCAAAGGACATCAGAAAGTGTCATTATCTAACAATGTCCTGTTTGAAGGTGGTGTCTGTTGAACATTTGGGGAACAGTCACAATTTCTGATGCATGCTAGGCACCTGGAGTAGCTGATTTTTTTTTCTTCATTCACCCACCACTGTGCCCCATCAGATACATATCCTTCCTTCATTTACCGCGCATTGACGAGTAGGGTTAATTGCTGTAGCCAGGTAAGATGTTGCATGAAATTAATTAATTATTTAATTAGTGTGCTCATTCATTTATTAATTTAATGAATATTTATTGAACTTCTACTTCTTATTAAAAGATTTGTATAAGGATTTGTGTGAAGACTGTGTTTTGAGCATCTCTTTTCTGGTGCTGGTGACAGCAGGACGTGTAAAGACACAGAACATGCCTCTGATGCAGCTTACATCCTGGTATGGAAGAGAGGACATTGTATGGCTAGCTATCATACCGATTCAAACTACCATAAGAGATGCATAAGTACTTTGGGAATTAAAAGGAAGAAGAGAGAGCAGGCAGGCACTGTGAAGATTTGAGGGTTAGGGAAGACTTTGTAGAGGAGGGCCCATTGGAGTTGCTTCTTGAAAGATGGTAAAGCACGGTAAAGCTTTTATAGAGGCAGAGGATATACCTATCTTTATGGCAGCACATCCTTGCCTCTTTTTGAAGACACGTAGAGAACTTCCTCTTGGGAACCAGTTGAGGCTGTGTTGGGTCATATAATAGACACTTATCACCTCTCTGCCCCTCTACATGCATGTGACTCTGTTCTGCTTAATGAAATACTGCCCAACACTGAAACAACTCATTGGATTAACCAATGCTCTCCTCCTCTGAACCACATCCTGGTGGTTGCTCAGACACAGAGACCGCTGTGGGAAATAGCTATCATCTTAATAAATTTGTATACTTGGCTGTTACTAGGTCAGGTGCATGCTTACAGCGGTGTTTGGTTACAGTCCAGTTTATGCCAGTTGTACTTTGCTATTGTATTTTTGTTTTTTTCTTTGAGACAGAGCCTTGCTCTGTCACCCAGGCTGGAGTGCAGTGGTGTATTTCGACTCACTGCAACATCCGCCTCCCTGGTTCAAGTAATTTTCCCACCTCAGCCTCCTGAGTAGCTGGGATTACAGGCATCCACCACCATGCCTGGCTAATTTTTGTACTTTTTTTTTTTTTAGTAGAGACAGGATATCACCATGTTGGCAAGGCTGGTCTCGAACTCCTGACCTCAGGTGATCTGCCTGCCTTGGCCTCCCAAAGTGCCAGGATGCTATTGTAATTTTGTGATTTAATGAAATATTGCCTAAACCGATGTAATATGAATGCTAAACAAAGAATGGTATTTCTGTGAAAACTAAGTTGATCGCTATATGGACCCATAAAAGTAAGTAATGTTAAAAAAAATATATCAACACATGCTGCGACATGGATGAACCTTGAAAACATTATGCTAAGTGAAAGAAGCCAGATACAAAGACCACATGTTGTATGATTTATATGAAATGTCCATAATAAGCAAATGCATATGAACAAAAAGTGGATTAGTGATTGCCAGGGAAGTGGGGTAGGGGAAATAGAGAGTGACTGATGATGGATGCAAGGTTCCTTTTTGGGGTGACGGCTATGTTCTGGAATTAGATAATGGGGTGGTGGTTGCACAACATTGTAAATATATGAAAACCACCAGCCGGGCGCCGTGGCTCACACCTGTAATCCCAGCACTTTGGGAGGCCGGGGCGGGCAAATCACAAGGTCGGGAGATCGAGAGCATCCTGGCTAACACGGTGAAACCCCGTCTCTAGTACTAAAGTACAAAAAATTAGCCGGGCGTGGTGGTAGGCGCCTGTAGTCCCAGCTACTCGGGAGGCTGAGGCAGGAGAATGGCATGAACCCAGGAGGCGGAGCTTGCAGTGAGCCAAGATCCCGCCACTGCACTCCAGCCTGGGCAACAGAGCGAGACTCCGTCTCAGAAAAAAAAGAAAAAAAAAAACCACCAAATTTTACATTTTAAAAGTATTAAAATAGTGAAGTTTATGTGAATTTTATCTCAATTTATAAAAGGACTATAAAGCTTTTTAAAAAGCAACATGAACAAGCAAATTACAAAAGGAAGAGGGATGAGTACTTAGGTGTGGCATAGTGATAAGAGATTTGAAGAGTACAGTAAAAATTTCTAGAATGATTTTGCATTCAGGTTTTTTCACAAGCTCCAATAAGGTCCTGATCCTCTTTAAGAAATGGAAGCAGGAAATCTGGATGTGGATTAACCAAGAAAAATAACATAGAACTCCAATCATGACCCAATATCCAAAGATTAGTGAATGAATTTTTTGTT
The DNA here is from genome assembly GCF_000001405.40 of Homo sapiens. Classification (NCBI taxonomy): domain Eukaryota; kingdom Metazoa; phylum Chordata; class Mammalia; order Primates; family Hominidae; genus Homo; species Homo sapiens. The sequence goes on along the minus strand of NC_000010.11, from coordinate 89,530,068 downwards.
TATGAAAGGAATTGAAACAAAATGTTCAAAATATGTTGTATCAACTTTTTGACTCTGCTTTTCCTGACTTCTGATTACTTTACTGCTGAGAGCTTCTAATGTTTCCATTTCTGAGGGTACCCTGTATATTTTGAAAATAACTCATTTCTGTATCTAGAGAGAAATTCCATGTCTATGAGCCTCTTATAGATATAGCATTAGTCACTTAAGACTGTAAAGGAGGCCGGGTGCAGTGGCTCATGCCTGTAATTCCAGCACTTTGGGAGGTTGAGGCGGGTGGATCACCTGAGGTCAGGAGTTCGAGACTAGCGTGGCCAACATGGCGAAACCCCGTCTCTACTAAAAATACAAAAATTAGCTGGGCGTGGTGGCACGTGCCTGTAATCCCAGCTACTAGGGGGGCTGAGGCAGGAGGATGGCTTGAACCTGGGAGGTGTAGGTTGCAGTGAGCCGAGATTGTGCCACTGCACTCCAGCCTGGGCAACAGAGAGAGACTGTCTCAAAAAAAAAAAAAAAAAAGACTGTAAAGGAAATTGGGACTCAGTTTCCCAACTTCTGAATCACCATAAAAATCAGCAACTGTTTCCCCCTAACACCGTCTTCTGGCTCGGTGGTTCATATATGTAAACAAAGTAGCTACATAAAGTGTTAACTATACCAATACTTAAAAATTATCACCCAAATCATTTGTAGACTATGTTTTTTTCAAAATATTCCTGAGCACAATTAATCATTTTGTGGTTTATTTGACATATTATAAATTAGGGCCATAATTACTTATTTTGGGATTCCACTTTGCTTGATGGAATACTTTCCATGGGAGTGAGTTCATATTTATCTACTGAAACCAGATGTATTTCTTGAAACAGAAATTTCAGCTCTCTGAACCTGTAACTTCAAAGCAACCACATTCATAGCCCCCGAAGGAACCACCAAAAAAATAAAAACTCACGACAAAGTTAAATCTCATAAGGGAGAACAGAATGCTGCTTCTTCAGGCAGTGATAGTTCAACCAGACAACTATCAAAAACCAGCCTTAATCATCATTATTAAATAGTTATGAATAGGGGTAGCCCAAACTCACAGGCATAAATGATATAAAAAATAAATGGTCTGTTCAGGTTGACACCTGACAACCTAGTATCCATAAATCAGTTGATTGAAGACTCTGTATCAATGGTTCTCAACCCCACCTACACATTAGAATCACCTGAGGAAGGAAAAAAACTGGTACCAATGTCCTACTCTGAAAAATTCTGATTCCGTAGGTCTGAGATACAGGGCTAGGGTATTGATAGTTTTTAAATCTCTCTGGTGAATCTCATGTACAGCCAGGGTTGAGAAACTATGGACATATGTAATAATAATTTTGTGCCTCTTTAGAAAAAAATTTTATTGAAACATAAAATTTCATGTGTGGTATATTCTTAACATATAATGGAAATTTTTTGTGTGTGCATTTTCTCTATAGAGGGCCCATTCATTATATGGAAAGCTTTTCCCAATGGTTGAATGAATGTTCAGTGATTTTTTTTCTTCTCTGTGGAATTCACTAGGCTTATGTGTATAAGATGTCAAAACAACCAAATCAACACAATTGATATAATTACTGTCAACCAATGAATTAATTAACCAACTATTTTCAAGTTTTTGATGATTGTGGTACCATATGGGTATTTTTGTTTAGGACAATAATTTGGCCTTTTACTCTACAACAATAATGTGTTTCCTCTAAAATACTTACAGATGTGTCCTTTATTATGTGTTTCTTTAAATTGATTGAGTTGTCAACCTTAATACTCAAACTTTCTCTGAAAACTTTCTGTTTTTATTCAATTGCATCAAATTAAATAAAAAGGGTTATCTTGGGACAGGGTCTCTCTTTGTCACCCAGGCTGGAGTGCAGTGGCCTTATCAGGGCCCACTGCAGCCTCGACCTCCCAGGCTCAAGCAATCCTCCCATCTCAACCTCCCAAGTTGCTAGGACTACAGGCATGAGCCACCATGCCTGGCCAGACTTTTATATAAGAAAGATATTATATAGGACTCTTACGTAAGAAAGATAGGAGTTTAAACCTTGCCCTATGTGACTTCAACAAAGTATGATTAATTTTAGAGCTTTCCTTGTCATTAGGATTTATTGTTTTTGAGAAAATGTGGTGAGGTGACTGATACAGATTCTGAAGATTTATCTAGTAGACTACTCCTACTTAGAATTCACCTCTTTTTTTCTTTTCTCTCTCTCTCTCTCTCTTTTTTTTTTTAAGAGATGGGGTCTCACTGTCACCCAGGCTGGAGTGCAGTGGTGCAATGATGGTTCATTGCAGCCTTGAACTACTAGGCTCAGGCAGTCCTGCTTCAGCCTCCAAAGTAGCTGGAACTACAGGTGGGCACCACCATGCCCAGATAAATAATTTTTTTTTTTTTTGTAGAAATGGAAATGGAGTCTTACTATGTTTTTCCAGGCTGGACTTAAACTCCTGAGCTCAAGCAATCCTCTCTCCTCAGCCTCCCAAAGTGCTGAGATTATAGATGTAAGCTACCATGCCAGCCCCTTATTTTTTTAGTTTTATTATTTTTTTTTTGAGGTGGAGTCTCACTCTTTCACCCAGACTGGAGTGCAATGGCATGATCTCGGCTTGCTGCAACCTCTGCCTCCTGGGTTCAAGCGATTCTCCTGCCTCAGCCTCCTGAGTAGCTGGGATTACAGGCACCTGCCACCACACCCGGCTAATTTTTGTATTTTTAGTAGAGACGGGGTTTCACCACGTTGGTCAGGCTGGTCTCAAACTTCTGACCTCAAGTGATCTGCCCACCTCGGCCTCCCAAAGTGCTGGGATTACAGGCATGAGCCACCACGCCCTACTCAGCCCCTTATTTTTTTTAATTTGTTCTTATTTGGTTTTAATGCTCATGGAGATTCTCACCCACTGTTACCAGTTAGCTTCCCCAAATTACACTTTAACTGTTGATTTTGTAATAAAAATAAATAAATTTTTATCCACGAATAAAAATCTTAATGGATTTTGGCCAGTAGATTTTAAACTGTATTTTGCAAATTCCTGGGAGTATCAGGGAGCACCTCTGGAGCTGTGTTACAGGGCATGAGGGCAATGGGTGGCAGACCGATGTCCAGCTTCCAGCTTTGGGCTCCTTTCTGGTGGCCCCTTCTGCTATCTGAGTAGGTGTTCTGTTCTTGATTTCTTAATGGATTTTGGCCAGTAGATTTTAAACTGTATTTTGCACATTCCTGGGAGTATCAGGGAGCACCTCTGGAGCTGTGTTACAGGGCATGAGGGCAATGGGTGGCGGACCGATGTCCAGCTTCCACCTTTGGGCTCCTTTCTGGTGGCCCCTTCTGCTATCTGAGCAGGTGTCCTGTGCTTGATTTCACATATTTGGTTTCCAAGTAAGATTTTATTTGAACAAAGGATTTCTTGGCCAAAACAAGTTTGTAAGTGATTGGGCCACATGTTTCTAAGTTTCTGCTTCCTGTTCCTTGCCAAATTTGTTTTATATTCTGGCAGCTCCTAATTGTTTCAAGCTACGACTGCGGATCTGTGTTGAAAAGCCTGGGAAATCTTCGGTCTTAATAACTTTATAACTTTGATGCCTGTGGGGAGAGATAACCAAGTAAGCAGTTAGATATTTACAGCAAGAACTATAGCTTGGGAGTTATCAGTATAGGGACTCAGTTCAAGTTATATGTCTCCCCAGGAGAGTGTTTCTAGAGAGGGGTGAGATGGGTCAAAGATCAAATTCTGGGGAATAGCTATGCTGGGCTAAGTGCCGTTCTCTGTATTCACGTTAACCAAATGTGCATTTTGGTTAATGAAGTTTGCATTTCATATTTTAATTTTATAATTCCCCCATGTACAGTTGTACATAACTGCCAAAAGAGTTGATGCATGGGTATATATGTGTGTGGGGGCGGGGGGTAGCATGATGGGGTCAGAGGACAGGGCTTGGAAACCAGCCAAGGATGCTTATCCTTTCTTTGAAAACCCTGCATCATGCACAAATCACTGGGGCCCCTTCTACATGCAGGTTGAAGTGCACAATGAGAGGATAAACTTGGGTGGTTACCTAGTGAATTTGGCAATTCAGACAGCTGTTGTGGCATTTTTTGACATAAAATTATTTGTTAAGAAATATCACGGTTTCTTACCTTAAAAAATCCAGACATTTCCCCCGTATCTTAGTTCTCCCTTGTGGAACTTGAATAGTGACTGCTAGGTTTTGGGTGTGATCCCATGGACGTTTAGGTCAAATCCCCACTCCACATGGGTCTGTAGCTAATTGTGTTTTATTGACACAGACTCCACCCTCAATGCCAGCCGGCTCTTTGGTAAATTTAGTCATGAGGAACACCTGGCAACAGCTACTAACTTAATTAAAAAATTCAAAAACACTCTTAGAAAAAGGCAGAGTACCTAGATAAAGAACAAATAAATACTCATAAATAAGATACTTGTTAAAATTATTTTACCGGATAATTGAAGTGTTCCAGTGATTAAGGGACTCGTCATTTTATCAAAATTAAGCCCCATACATTTTTTCCTTCCTTTCTTACTTGCTGAGATTGACTTCTTTCGTTATCTTCCATATCCAAAAAAAGATCAAATTTAGACAACCATATATTCTGATTTTATTACAGATGAAGATCTAACTAAAATTTCAAGTTTTGCTCAGTAACTGATGGACCCAAATTGGTATCTCAGAATGTTCCTGGCATATTCTGCTTTCTTTGTCAATTCTTGCATGATAGTATACCTAATTGACTGCTAATGCAGGCTCTGTTAAGGTGAAATTTCAGTTTAGCTTTTTTTTTTTTTTTTTTTTTTTTTGATATGGTGTCTCGTTCTGTCGTCCAGGCTGGAGTGCAGTGGCACGATCTCGGCCCACGGCAACTTCTGCCTCCCAGGTTCAAACAATTCTCCTGCCTCAGCCTCCTGAGTAGCTGGGACTACAGGCGCACGGCGCCACGCCCAGGGAATTTTTTTTTGTATTTTAGTAGAGACGGGGTTTCACCATGTTGCCCAGGCTGGTCGCAAACTCCTGAGTTCAGGCAATCCACCCGCCTCAGCCTCCCAAAGTGCTGGGATTACAGGTATGAGCCACTGCTCCCGGCCTCAGTTTAGCTTTTAACAGCTTTAAGCAGAATCTGTAGAAGGGACATTTGATTTAGATGAAATAGAATTAATTACCTTTAAAGTCTCTAACAAAAAATATTGTGATTAAACAATGCTGAAAATAACTTCATGAGTTTACCTCTTCCCAGGCAAACATGCACTGAGGCCCTGCCATGTGTTAGACAGTGTTCTTCCTCAAAGGCTTGCCTTTTTCTGGGGAAGATACTTCCCAGGAGATGGAAAGCCTTTGAGGAAAGGCCTCTGTACACACAAGTGTGTGTACAAAGTATCACAGCATTGGAATGAGTCCCATAAGTGATCATCTGCTATGGACGTGCAGAGCCAGAGGCACTTAACGTTGCTGAGGTTGGTCAAACCATTAAATAATTGTAGAAATTCGCAGGTTGAACCTTCTAGGCAGTAGGAGCAACAGGTGCAAAAGCGCTGAGGTGGGAATTGCCTTGGAATTGAAAGCACTGCTCATCTTCGGATGGTGTGGCATGGCTGACAGGTAGGGAATATGTGTGGCCAGGGGTCTGGAGAAGGCTAGAGGAGCAGGCAGGAGCGAGAGCATCAGGGTCTGGTACATCGCACCACCAAGGGGTTTTGATTTTTCTTTGAGTTTTTGAACAAGGGAGTGGGTGGGAGTGGGGATTTGGTGATAAAATTAGCTTGTGTTTCAAGCAGTTAACTCTGAATGGGGTTTGAAGAAAGGCCCCAGAGGGTCTGTTAAAATGGTGCAGATGGGAAATAAGATTAATGCCTTATGGTAAGACTTTTATTTATTATTTTTATATTCCTGTTGCTTGGTGCCCTATAAGGCATGTGGTAGAAATGCGTGGTAGAAAGTTTGATATTCTGGGCAAGAAATTCAAAATTGTATCATCCGCTAAGAAGCTCAGTTGAAATCACTTGTCTGGATGTCTTTTCCTGAGGAAAAGGGAAAGAGTGAGGTATGAAACAGGTTGAAGAACTTGGGGGAATAACTAGACTGTGCTCACGCGATACCCAGGGCATCTCTCAGTCATTGCACCTTTTGTTTTATTCTCTAATTATCTAGCTGTGTTTTGGTCTTTTTCACTGGTCCAACAAGAGGGCAAGGACTATGTATTCTTTATAGCTTCACTGCCATTGCACAACTTTGGATGGGGTCATTTATATGCCTGTGTAGTGTGTCTGCACTGTGAATAGTGCCTGGAGTAGTGCTTCAGCTTAACTGGTCCTAGCAGCTGTCATGGTACCTGACATATGGTAAGAGTTTAATATGCTTGTTGAATGAATGAATGAATGAAGGAATGATGACACAACATATAATGAGTGGTCAGAGGAAGAGAATCTAGCGAAAGAAACTAAGAAGCAGGGGTTGGTAGGGAAGAAAGATAAATAGTAGAGACTCCTATCATGGAAACTCAGGGAAAAACAAGTTTTAGTCATGACAGAGAGGTCAACAGTGCCACATTCTACAGAGACTGGCCAATTAAGAATGCCAGAGTAAACACTGGCAATTAGGAGTCACTGGTGATAATGTCAAAAACAGCCTGAGTGGTGTGTGGAGGACACAGGAGGCAAATTCCCTTCCATTGAGGTGGGAATGGGAAGAGAAGCAAGGAGATTGTCAGTATAGACAGGACCTTAGAGGGTGGGTTTGTGAAGGGAGGATTCTAATCCGTGAGAGCCAGAAAGGGTGGTAAGGCTGAAGGGGAGTTTTCTTCCCTGCTTTTTCCTTCTCTTCCCTTCTTTTCTCCCTCACATTCTCCCTTCCTGCTTTCAAGAAAAGAGACACATGAGTAAATTTATAGGCTAAGGAGAACCCAGTGAAAAGGTCTAGGTTCAAAATACAGAAAAAGTAGTAAAGGATACTAGCTGGCAAGACTAAATATAGAGTGACAAGTCTTTCTTTGAAACAGGAAGAAAAAAGATAAGGATGCATGTGGATATGAATAAATTGGAGAAATAGGAAATGGAGGAAAATAATAAACTGAAAGAAAGGAAAGGAAGTGGAGGAAAATCCCATCTAAGGTCTCACTTGTGTCTACAAAATAATAGCTAACGTGTTTTGGGCACTTTCTATATCGCAAGCATTGTTAAAATACCTTACATAGATAACTCACTAAATTCTTTCCACAACCTTTTGAAGATGGAATTGTCTTAATTTACAATTGAGGTAACTAAAGTACAGAGAGGTTAAGTCACTTGTCTGAGGTTATAGAGTGACTAAGAGGCAGAACCAGGATGCAAAGCTGTGTACCATCATGCTGTACTGCTGAAAATGAGGGGCACATGGAGTACTTAAGACTTCAAATAACCAGTGTATGTAAGGAACAAGTGCAATACATTTTTGCTGAGTCACACCAAGCACTTAGTTTCTGTTGGAATTCATAATTATGTTTTGCCATTAATCTCCAGGATTGAGAGATTTCCTCTAGTAAAACTTGATTTACCAGTTGTAGAAGTGGAAATGTTTGGGTGTTCAGATTGATGCAGAATTGGGGGTTAGTAGTTTGAAACAGAGGTGCTTCTAGCAAGAGAGCAATTGAAGTGATGGACCATGAGGTCTAGCAGCCAAGAAGAGGGAAAAGAGAGCAGGACCAGTTAATGGAATGGGGGAAAGCGGAGCAGCAAAGGACCCAAGGGCTCAAGGGGGTTGAAAACCAGGTGCAATAAGAGTTAGGGTGTTGGAGATGTTTGGAGGATAGACAGTTGGGATTCAAGAAGGATACTTAATTCTCAATACAACTCTAGATTTCAGAAGTGAGGGCTGGCTTCACCTTGTGATGACAGGTAGATAGTGTGGCTTTGGGAGTACATGGCTGAAATGGATTGGAGGTGAATGCTATGGGACATGAGGTGGTCAAACTTGACGCTGAGAATGGCAAAGCTGCTGGATAGATGTTGACTGGGCCCTGCCTCTCATTGGAGGATGGTTCCTGGTAGTCCTAAGGACGGTCTGGACTTCAGGAGGACACAACCCAAGTATGGGCAGTAATATGGAAAGATACAAAAGGATAGCTGGTTTCCGGCATACAATAAAGACCACTTGATGATCTCAATAGAACATTGTCAAAGGACAGTTGCATAGCTTACATTTTGCATGGCAGTGTTTGAAAAATAACTCGAAGTATGAATTGGCAAAACAACACACATCACAGGTAACTTTGGATGCTTCAGCCAGATTACAATTGAAAGAAAAGACTACATGCCCTGATGAAACCTCCTCCTCTTCTTCCTCCTCCTCCCTCTTTCATTTTTCCTTGTAATGTGCAGTGTGACACTCTCTGGACAGAGAGAGGCAGCTGAAGATCATCAGGCTTCCAGATGTGGAGCTTTGTTATGACATGTGGGGGTGAGGGTCATGGGAGAGGGGCCGGAAGCTTCAGTAGGACTCAGTGTGGTGTCCTCTGCTTCTGTAGTTTAGCCATGTGATGGGAAACCAGCAATATGTGTTTCCTTTGTACAGCTGTACATATCATTGTTTCTTTTTCTCCTCTGCCCGTGTAGGATTCTAGGAAATCAAAGTTAGATCTGATGTAAGCTTAGAAAGCCCCACATATGAAGATATGGAGCTATTGCTCTGTGACAGAATATGTGTACTAGGTCTGATCCATAAGTGCCATGCGTAGAAAATGTAGTTGGTAGCACGTTTTGGGGTGTAAGGAACAGAAATCTCGACTTGGACTGGCTTTGTTGGGACTGGGATCAGTTACAATGGGATCAGCTACAATGTCTATGACAGAGACAAGGCATTATTGTCAGATTCAGACAGCCTTACTAAGGGGAAGGAGCCTTGGCTGGCAATCAAGTCCTCAACTTCAGCATTTGATAGCAGCATGCACTTGGACAGATATCACCTTCCATGAGCCTCAGTTTTCTCTTACAAGACCATTGCAGGGATTGAAAGCACTTTACATAAACTCTAAGTAGCTATACAAATGTGACTTACTCATTTAATAGTAAAAATAATGACAATAACAAGAATACTTCCATTTACTGAGCATGTACGTGTTCCAGGCACTGGCTGGAGGCTTATCTGCATTCTCTTTATTACCCACTAAATACATAACAAGCAATGATCATATCCAGGCACTCTAGTAAGTACTTTATTTCCAATCTCAGTTAAGCTGAGATCTGAAACATTAAGGCTCAAGGGCAGGGGCAGAGAACAGGTATGGGTTCAGTTTCACCCAGGGGTTCCATTTTTTTTTTTTTTTTTTTTTTGGCCTATGTGACCCAGTAATGGCAGCTGACATGGGGCCTTGGACAGTTCTTCTATCTGCCAGGGATTGTCATTTGCTAACTAGTTCAGGGCTAACTGCATGGGTGATTTCCAAAACACAAGTGTACGTGTGCTTTTAAAACACTCGATGCTTTTGTTTCTACTGTTCTTTTCTGAAATGTAAGCTTTTTGCATTTTTAAGCTTTTGAAATAGTTGAGGGATTTACAAATGCTTATTGAGTTCTAGTATATGTATTGGCTAATTTGAACCTCATGAAGAAGTCAAGCTTGAATTTGTATTGTATTAAGGCTTAGTGACCATGGGACCTGTCAGTAAGGTTTGAAGTTAGAAGGTAGGGGACATAATTTTTTGATGTTGCAAATTGCCTTGCTTTGAGCATTGTGTGAGATGATCTTTTTCCATATTTTTGGTTTATATTGTTATGATAGTTTTCCTGAAGCAGCCTTGGTAGGTGGGTCAAAGGGTTTGAACTTCTTTTTATATAGATAGCCTGATTGTTTTGTGGAAGCTTTTTGGATGGTGACAATGATATACTTGTAGTGCTATTTGAGAAATATGCGTTTTTCTCTTTGTATGATTTTTTTTTTTCAGACAGAGTCTTGCTCTGTCACCGAGACTGGAGTGTAGTGGCGCGATCTCGGCTCACTGCAACCTCCACCTCCCAGGTTCAAGCAATTCTCTTGCCTCAGCCTCCCGAGTAGCTGGGATTACAGGCGCCCACCACCACATCCAACTAATTTTTGTATTTTTAGTAGAGACAGGGTTTCACCATGTTGGCCAGGCTGGTCTTGAACTCCTGACCTTGTGATCTGCCCGCCTCAGCCTCCCAAAGTGCTGGGATTACAGGCATGAGCCACCGCACCCGGCCTTTGTATGATGTTTTATATGTCTGGGATTATAAAAGATTTCCAAAAAATCTGAGTCATTCTGTTGACATGTAACATTCTTTTCCTCGGACCCCCCCACCCCCTGCAATGACAATAAAAATGATGTTTCCATGGTTCAGCCTGTACTAGATCTTGAGGAAATCCAGCCTACATCAATTCCTGCCTATTAGTTCATAAAGTCTCGGGGGGAAGCTAAACTTGTGCATCTGAATTCATCCTCGCCCTGGTGTGAGTTCCCTCTCAAGAGGCTTCCTGATCCTGTGTGCACATACACTCCCTGAGGGCCTATATTACAGACACATCTGTTTTTTATTCATAGTTCCGGTTCTCACGCTGGGATCCCTGCTATACTCTCAAACAATTTATGAGTAAATTGACGTGGAAAACGAAGTGGGAGATACCAGTTTTTGCTGATAGGGTATTTTTTTTTCTTCTCTCAACTTTTGTTTTAGGTTTAGGGGATACATGTGCAGGTTTGTTCCGTGGGTAAATTGTGTGTTGGTGGGGTTTCGTGTACAAATGATTCACCCAGCAGTGAGGATAGTACCCGATGCGTAGTTTTTTGACCCTCACCTTTCTCCCACCATGCCTCTTCAAGTAGGTCCCACTGTCTTTTGTTCCCATTTTTGTGGCACAGTATCAATATGGGATATGTGTTTTGGAGTTGTAGTGAAAGTGACAAGACTTTCATTCATATAACTGAATGTCCCATAGAATTATTTCAACAATTCCTAAAATACTTCTCCCCAACTGTTCCTGCCTGCCCTAAGATATACTAATGCTGAAGCTATGTAGCAACCACCACTATTCTTAAATAGATTTTTAAAATATCATAGTTGTGATCATAGTGTATATTTAGTATATAATATATATTGAGTATTTATATTTTGTTTTCTGCCTGTACATTTCCCCAGGTAATTTTAAACACCTAATGGGTTAGATATGATAATAGGAAAAAGCAAAAAGTGGGACCACCCCTGCCACATAAGGGTCCACCAGCAGTGACCAAAACTGTGGCCAGGATTGTTGGGTAGGTGGAAAGAGAGTGCTCTTTGGGGGCTGGGCCTCAGAGTAACCCTATGAGTAGGTAGAAGATGGAGGCCCAGGAGGTCACTTGTTCCAGGTCACACAGCAAGTCAATGGAAAGCCTAGATTTCAATCCTAATCTTCCTAAATCCAACTTGCATGTTCTTTGCTTTTCTTCGTTTCTTTTTCCAGATTTGAATTTTTTAAATCACCTCGAAAATAATCCAGGCTCTAGAGAAGGGAATAAAGGAGATACTGCTCCCTCCACTGTCTCTCATACCTTAGGCTTGCACCGTGAACAGTTTGGTGTGCTTCCAGGCCAACTTCCTTGCATGTACAAATTGCCTAAGGAAACCAGCTATGCCTGTCACCAGCCAGACAGAACAGCTGCTGGGGTTAGGGCACGACTTGTCTTCTCCAGGACCTACCTCGGTGAGGCTTGTGGCATGCTGGGCTCTGGGGACCAGGACACACTGAAGTTTAACAGCAACAGAGAGAAGCCAGAGTGCCCCTGGCAGCCAACCTTTTGGGAAAGGAGAGCTATTTGTGCTCTCTGGCTTTCTGCCTGCACTGTTCTGACTTCCCAAGCAGAGAACAGAGCTCCTTACCAGTGGAGGGCTTCATGGAGGCCCAGGGACTGCCTCTTGTTTATCTCTGTTTTTCCTGTGCCTGCATTTATTGGTGCCCAGCTACTGTTGCATGAAAGGAATGAAGATGCCCTAACCCTAGTTCTGCTGGTAAATCATTTGAGTGACTTTGAGCAAGTCACTTCAAGATTAGAAGCCTAGTCTGTTTTCCCCAAGTCTAAGGTGCCCTTTTTTCCCTCCTTATTTTAATGTTTCTGAAATAAGATGTGATTGGCATCTTAGGTGTATATATTTAATATAGTAGTGTTTCTTAATTTTTCCTTTTTCTTGAAAAGTTGTAATAGGGGGATAACTCACAATGTATGTTATTCTAGGACTGTTGGAATATGGCAATCATTTTCTTGAAGGATTGTTGAGATAGTGGCTACCTCCTGTGAACTGTGAAGTTTTATATAAATATCAAGAATCAGAAAACTGCCCAGCTGTGTTGTTACTGCCCAACCGCCCCTGTTTCATTATTTCTCAGAGATGCCCAGACAGGAACTTCTTGATTTAAAAAGTAATGACATTCCTCTATTCAATAAAGTTGGAGCCAGGTGCAATGGCTCATGCTTGAAACCCCAGGGGTTTGGGAGGCCAAGGCAGGAGGATTCCTTGAGTCTAGGAGTTGAGACTAGCCTGGGCAACATAGTGTGGCCCCAGTCTCTACAAAAAAAAAAATTAATTACCTGGGCAAGTGGCATGTGATTATAGTCCTACCTACTTGGGAGGCTGAGGCAGGAGGATTGCCTGAGCCCAGGAGAGGTTACAGTGAGCTATGATTGTGCTACTGCATTCCAGCCTGGGTGTCAGAGTGAGACCCTGTCTCTTAAAAAAAAAAGAAAAGGTGGTATTCTAGGTACATTTCTATTCTGTCCCGTCGCCCTGCCCCCCATGGAACTCAATAAACTATTTTGTTTTTATTTTTTATTCTTTTGAGATGGAGTTTCACCTTGTCACCCACGCTGGAGTACAGTGGCACAATTATAGCTCACTGCAGCCTTGAACTCCTGGGCTCAAGGGATCCTCCTGCCTTATCCTCCTAAGTAGGTGGGATTACAGGCACATGCCATTGCACCTGGCTAGTTTTTAAAATTTTTTGTAGAGATGGGAGTCTTGTTGCGTTGCCCAGGCTAATCTCAAACTCCTGGCCTCAAACGATCCTCCTGCCTCAACCTCCCAAAATGCTGGAATTACAGGTATGAGCCATCATGCCTGGTACTATTTTTATTTCAAGTGAAACAAACAAGTAAACATGGCTTTTAAACATTTGAACTTTTCTTAAATTAGGCCTTAGCAAGAATCAATTGCTTACTATGGATTTAGTGGATTCCTGGCCCTTACTGGAAATATCAGTAGGGCCACAAAACTCTTAAACAGAACGTTAGTCCAAAAAAGAAGTGTTGGGACTCAAACTGAAAATAAGGAAGCTATTGAATGCTTACAATCTTCCAGGTGACATCAGGGGATCAAAAACAATTACTCAGACACTCTATTCCTGTCCAGATAGAGTTAAGTTTGGAGGGAGCAAAGGTTGCAAAGCCTAGGAACTGAGCTAAAATTTCACTTTCCAGCTTAATTCAGCCAATTTGCCCTAATACCAAGTCTGAAGGAGTTTGCAATCTAGTAGGAAACAATTTACCTTGCCAGTTAAAAACATGGTGCTAACCAAATCACCAGTGGAAACAAGATCACAGAGAGAGTATTTACATTCCTAAAAGAAATCTCATCAGTTATTTAGAGTTTCTATTTTCAAGTTAATGGTCTGTCACAGCATTTAAACCAGAGGTTGCAAAGACAGACGTTTTGGGGGCCTCCAGTGTGAAGTAGCCGAGTGGTGACATCATCGGGAGGGGCTGGACCATAGCCAAATCAGAGAGGACACGTCAGGGCTCATTCTCTCACCATTCCATAGATACTTAAGTTCCGCTCTTGGTGATAGGGATACATCAGTGAACAAATTCAACAAAAAATTCCTGCCTCTCGGAGTTTACATTCTAATCTGCTGCTGTCTTAGAAAACAAATAACTAATAAGAGTAAATGAGTCGGACACACCGGTGTGTTCCTGTGAGTAAATTGTATGGACTTAGATTTTGTTCGCTTTTAGGCCCTTTTCACACAGCTAAGATTCTGCATACATAAGATTTACTATATAATATACGTAGAGTTAGTTTGTTTTTGGCGTTCTGCTTGGTCTGATGATATAACTTGCCAAATGACCATATTTATAAGATATAATTGGCTCTGCAAGGCAGTACTGGTTTATTTAATTCTAGTTTTGCTATTTAATTGAAAATGAAAGCTCATTGTGAAAAATCCCATTTCTTTCTCCTGTTATGGTACTGATTGTGATGACTTTCTGTGGTTAATTCATGATGACTTAGTGATTTACCATGGCCACAGTTATGAATTCCATGGCTCTGGGCTGGAGAGTGAGGGGGTGCTCTTGCAAGCCTGGTTTTCTTTGGGCAACACAAGCAGGGCTTTCTACACTGTGACTCTGATGAGATCACTATAATAACAAGCCTGGGAGCTTGGACCTGGGAAACCATATGCCTTTTCTTGAGCTTCTTGTGGGAAAACGGGGATAAGAAGCATCTGGAACTGCACTTATCTTCAGTTTCGACAAGTGGAACTTCTACTGTGCCTGTAAAGTGAGGCAAAATGGATCGTTGTTGACAGAAAAAAAGCAGGTGGCTGGAGGGGAATAGAGCCCTCCGACACTGACTTCAATATCCTGGGTGACTCTGTTTTAGCAAATGAATGAATACCGAGGATATGAATGTCTGTGGCATGGATTCCTGTTTCAGGAGGCTCTTTGCATGTGAACCTAGGAGCGCATTAATTCTGCTGAACAAGGGTCTTAACATTCCCAATGTGGGGGATTTTTCACTGGAGGGATTTGAGAGTCCTGACAGGCTGTATGTATTACAGAAGTGGTCTTGGGAAATCCATGTGTCCTCATGTAATCATCATCCATTGAAATTGCTCCCCAGTACCTAACAGGCCGCTTTTCTTTTCTTTTTTTTTTGTTTTGTTTTGTTTTGTTTTGTTTTGCTTCTTTTTTTTGAGATGAAGTCTTGCTCTGTTGCCAAGGCTAAAGTGCAGTGGTGAAATCTCGGCTCACTGTGACCTCTGCCTCCTGGGTTCAAGCAATTCTCCTGCCTCAGCCTCCCAAGTAGCTGGGATTATAGGTGCATGCCACTATGACTGGCTAATTTTTTGTATTTTTAGTAGAGACGAGGTTTCACCATGTTGGCCAGGCTGGTCTCGAACTCCTGACCTCAGGTGATCCCCCTGCCTTGGCCTCCCAAAGTGCTGGGATTACAGGCATGAGCCACTGCACCCGCGCACCCGGCCCGCTCCTTTTCATCTCTACAAAGTACAGTGGGCACTATTGTGGATTGATGGGTCATGTCAACCCAGATTTATGTTTAAGCCCTGTAAACATTGAGGAAACATTGTCACCCCCAATGTGATGGTATTTGGAAGTGGGGCCTTTGAGAAGTGATTAGGTTTAGATGAAGTCACAAGGATGGAGTCTTCATGATGAAATTAGTGTCCTGATGAGAACAGGAAGAGAGAAAAATCTGTCTCTCCCCATACATGCTCTGAGAAGGGCCATGTAAGCAAGCACACAGCCAGAGGGCCATTGTCTACAGGCCAGGAAGAGTGCCTTCACCAGAACCCAAGCATGCTGGCACTCTGTTCTCAGACATCCAACCTCCAGAACTGTAAGAAAAATGTCTATTGCTTAAGCCACCAGCCTATGGTATTTTGTTATAGCAGCCTGAGCTAAGACATACACAGTCCTCTGATAGTATCATTTCTTTCTTATTTGACTTCAGTGACACCAAGCTCTCCTGGACTGCTCTTTATCTTTCTGGCCACACTTTCTCAATTTCCTTGCAACCGCCTCTTTTCCTAACCCTTCCTAATCTCTTTCTTCTTCCACCTACCTGCAAGGCACCTTGCTACTCTTACGGTCTGTAGACCAGTGAAGGCGTCACTTGTGAGCTTGTCAGAAATGTGAATTTCAGATTCCACCCAAATCTGCCAAATCTGAATCCGCCATTTAGCAGGTGGTACCTAGGAAAATCTGAGAAGCCCTGCTCTTTAGGATTTCAGTTATCAACTGAATGATCTGATCTCCAAGTATACATCTGGACACTAGATCTCTCTCCTAGGCTCTTGACCAGTTCATCTAACAGGTCCACTTAGAGGTCTCACAGGGATATCACACTTTTATCCATCCAGAATCTGACTTCTTTTTTCCCATATATGCCTCTCCTTCTTTGAGCAACCAACAAAATATAGGACCTTTCCAGAAAGTTTTACTTAAGAATGCCCATTTAACCACATACTCCTGGTTTAAATGGTTTCTTTGGGGTCAGGGCTAATTGTCAGCTGGTGGGCACTGGTCTGACTAGTCCCTTGTTCTACTGGTCTCTGATTTCTCAGTGTTATCAGTCTCTTGCTAAATATTTTGATTTTTACCCATCAAGTCACATTTGATTAGTAACAAGTCTAACTTTTTATCTTCTGTGATGTTTCAAGGTATACATTTTATAAATATATTAAGTATTAATCATTATATTTGTTATTAATTCATTACAGATGCAAGTGGTAAATAAATATTTTTAATGGTGAGGAAATATGATATTCTCTAATTTTAGTGTCAGATTTTCAAAATATTTGTGAATGACCACAGTGAGTCCAAAGGAAGAACCATCAGGAATGCAGTGTGACCTGATATGTCACATGATTGAATCACACATCTTTTTGGGAGAGAGAAATCAGAGACAACGTAACTGTCCAACAAGAGGGGATTGGTGAAGTCAGTTACAGTGCATTCAAACAATCAAATACTTTGCAACCATTAAAATGATCAGACAGAGTACATTTATTAACATAAGTATACATCCATGGTATCATTATGTGAAAAGAGCAATATAGATTAAATGATCGCGGTTTCATTTTTTTTTAAATTATGGTTAAGTGTACATAACATAAAATTTACCATTTTAACCATTATTAAGGGTACAATTCTGTGTCATTAAGTACTCAATAGGAAAAACAAACTGTTTTCCTGTCTAGTCTATTCTCAATACTTGAGAAAACTTTGACATCAAAGGTATGGGGTTTTCCACACTGAGTAGTCCTCCAGTTCTCTACAGATACCACCTAGGTGTCCTGCAATTTAACTCAGTTCTGAAACTATCTACCTGGAGATAGCAGATCCCACAGATTAAGGACTCCATCCCATAAGACAGCCCCCACTTCAGATGCCAATTCCACGTCCTGGTTGGCACCCATACTTTGACCCAACCTGCTTTAAATCAGAGGTTCCAACCCCCTCTTGGGTTCGATCTTTTGCTAGAATGGCTCACAGAACTCAGAAAACCAATCTACTTACTAGATTAGCAGTTTATTACAAAGGATATATTGAAAGATACAGATGAACAGCCAGATGAAGAGGTACGTAGGGCAAGGTCCGGGAGATTCCCAAGCTTCTCTCTTACTGGACCTTTGGCTTGTGGATGCATTCTTGTTCACCAGCTTGGAGGCTCTCTGAACACTGTCCTTTTGGGTTTTAATGGAGGCATAATTGCATAGGCAATAATCATTAACCATTGGTGGTTAAGTCAATCTTCAGGCCCTATTCCTTCCCCTAAGGTCAAGGGTGGCTTGGGTTGGGGCAGAAAGTTCCAACCCTCTAATCACAAGTTTGGCTTCTCTGCAAACATCCTCCAACCTGAGGCTGCCCAGGAGCCTGCAGACACTAGTCATCTCATTAGTGTGCAAAAAGAAACATCACCTACAAGATTTGAAGTTTTCTTAAAATTCCTTATGATGGGGAGCGCAGAGACCAAATATTTCTCACTATGTCAGAAGTATGTTCACCATTCGCATTGTTGTGTATTAATCACCACCATCCATCTCCAGAACTTTTTCATCTTCCCATACTGAAACTCTGTGCCCATTAAATACTAACTCCCCTTTCTGCTCTCCGTCAGGCCCTGGCAACCACCATTCTACTTTTTGTGTCTATGAGTTTGACTACCCTAAGGACCTCACGTAAGTGGAATCATACAATGTTTGTAGTTTTGTGACTAGCTTTTTCACTTAGCATAATGTCTTCAGGCTTCATTTATTGTGTAGTATATATCAGAATGTCCTTCCTTTATAAGGCTGCGTAATCCATTATGTGCCACATTTTGCCTATCCATTCATCTATTAATGAACATTTGGGTTGCTTCCTCTTTGGGGCTATTGTTAATAATGTGTCTATGAACATGGGTGTACAAACATTTGTTTGAGTCCTGGCTTTTAATTCTTTTGGGTATATATCTGAAAGTGGAATTGCTGGATTGTATGGCAATTCTGTTTTTAATTGTTGTTTGTTTTTAAATTTTATTTGTTTATTATTATTATACTTTAAGTTCGGGGTACATGTGCACATCATGCAGGTTTGTTACAGAGGTATACATGTGCCATGTTGGTTTGCTGCACCCATCAACTCGTCATTTACATTAAGTATTTCTCCTAATGCTATCCCCTCCCCCAGCCCCTCCACCCTCCGACAGGCCCTGGTGTGTGATGTTCACCTCCCTGTGTCCATGTGTTCTCATTGCTCAACTCCCACTTATGAGTGAGAACATGCAGCATTTGGTTTTCTCTTCTTGTGTTACTTTGCTGAGAATGATGGGTTTCCAGTTTCATCCATGTCCCTGCAAAGGACATGAACTCATCCTTTTTATGGCTGCATAGTATTCCATGGTGTATATGTGCCACATTTTCTTTATCCAGTCTATCATTGATGGGCATTTGGGTTGGTATCAAGACTTTGCTATTGTGAATAGTGCTGCAATACACATACGTGTGCATGTGCCTTTACAGTAGAATGATTTATAATCCTTTGGGTATATACCCAGTAATGGGATTGCTGGATCAAATGGTATTTCTAATTCTAGATCCTTGAGGAGTCACCACACTGTCTTCCACAATGGTTGAACTAATTTACGCTCCCACCAACAGTGTAAAAGCGTTTCTATTTCTCTACATCCTCTCCAGCATCTGTTGTTTCCTGACTTTTTAATGATCACCATTCTAACTGGTGTGAGATGGTATCTCATTGAGGTTTTGATTTGCATTTCTCTAATGACCAGTGATGATGAGTATTTTTTTATAAGTTTGTTGGCTGCATAAATGTCTTCTTTTGAGAAATGTCTGTCCATATCCTTGGCCCATTTTGATGGGGTTGTTTGTTTTTTTCTTGTAAATTTGTATAAATTATTTGTAGATTCTGGATATTAGCCCTTTGTCAGATGGATAGATTTCAAAAATTTTATCCCATTCTGTAGGTTGCCTGTTCACTCTGCTGATAGTTTCTTTTGCTGTGCAGAAGCTCTTTAGTTTAATTAGATCTCATTTGTCTATTTTGGCTTTTCTTGCCATTGCTTTTGGTGTTTTAGTCGTGAAGTCTTTGCCCAGGCCTATGTCTGAATGGTATTGCCTAGGTTTTCTTCTAGGGTTTTTATGGTTTTAAGTCTTACATTTAAATCTTTTATCCATCTTGAGTTAATTTTTGTATAAGGTGTAAGGAACGGATCCAGGTTCAACTTTCCCCATATGGCTAGCCAGTTTTCCCAGCACCATTTAAATAGGGAATCCTTCCTCCCTTGCTTGTTTTTGTCAGGTTTGTCAAAGATCAGATGGTTGTAGATGTGTGGTGTTATTTCTGAGGCCTCTGTTCCGTTCCATTTGTCTGTATACCTGTTTTGGTACCAGTACCATGCTGTTTTGGTTACTGTAGCCTTGTAGTATGGTTTGAAGTCAGGTAGCAGGATGCCTCCAGCTTTATTCTTTTGGGTTAGGATTGTCTTGGCTATGCAGGCTCTTTTATGGTTCCATATGCAATTTAAAGTAGTTTTTTCCAATTCTGTGAAGAAAGTCAGTGGTAGCTTGATGGGGATAGCATTGACTCTATAAATTACTTTGGGCTGTATGGCCATTTTCACGATATTGATCCTTCCTATCCATGAGCATGGAATGTTCTTTCATTTGTTTGTGTCCTCTTTTATTTCATTGAGCAGTTTGTAGTTCTCCTTGAAGAGGTCCTTCACACCCCTTGTTAGTTGGATTCCTAGGTATTTTATTCTCTTTGTAGCAATTGTGAATGGGAGTTCACTCACGAATTGGCTCTCTGTCTGTTATCGGTGTATAGGAATGCTTGTGATTTTTGCACACTGATTTTGTATCCTGAGACTTTGCTGAAGTTGCTTATCAGCTTAAGGAGATTTGGGGCTGAGATGATGGGGTTTTCTAAATATACAATTATGTCATCTGCAAATGGAGACAATTTGACTTCCTGTTTTCCTGACTGAATACCCTTTATTTCTTTCTTTTGCCTGATGGCCCTGGGCAGAACTTCCAATACTATGTTGAAAAGGAGTGGTGAGAGAGGGCATCCTTGTCTTGTGCCAGTTTTAAAAGGGAATGCTTCCAGTTTTTGCTCATTCAGTATGATATTGGCTGTAGGTTTGTCATAAATAGCTCTTATTATTTTGAGATATGTTTCATCAATACCTAGTTTATTGAGAATTTTTAGCATGAAGAGCTGCTAAATTTTGTCAAAGGCCTTTTTTGCAAATATCAAGATAATGTAGTTTTTGTTGTTGGTTCTGTTTATGTGATGGATTACATTTATTGATTTGCATATGTTGAACCAGCCTTGCATCCAAGGGATGAAGCCAACTTAATCATGGCGGATAAGCTTTTTGATGTGCCACTGGATTCGGTTTGCCAGTATTTTATTGAGAATTTTCACGTTGATGTTCGTCAGGGATATTGGTCTAAAATTCTATTTTTTTGTTGTGTCTGCTAGGTTTTGGTATCAGGATGATGCTGGCCTCATAAAATGAGTAAGGGAGGATTCCCTCTTTTTCTATTGATTGGAATAGTTTCAGAAGGAATGGTACCAGCTCCTCTTTATAACTCTGGTAGAATTCGGCTGTGAATCTGTCTGGTCCTGGACTTTTTTTGGTTGGTAGGCTATTAATTATTGCCTTAATTTCAGAGCCTGTTATTGGTCTATTTAGAGATTTGACTTCTTCCTGGTTTAGTCTTGGGAGGGTGTATGTTTCCAGGAATTTGTCCATTTCTTCTAGATTTTCTAGTTTATTTGTGTAGAGGTGTTCATAGTATTCTCTGATGGTAGTTTGTATTTCTGTGTAATGACAATACACAGAAATTGGTGGTGACATCCCCTTTATCATTTTTTATTCTGTCTATTTGATTCTTGTCTCTTTTCTTCTTTATTAGTCTGGCTAGCAGTCTATCTATTTATTGATCTTTTCAAAAAACCAGCTCCTGCATTCATTGATTTTTTTTGAAGGGTTTTTTGTGTCTCTATCTCTTTCAGTTCTGCTCTGATTTTAGTTATTTCTTGCCTTCTGCTAGCTTTTGAATTTGTTTGCTCTTGCTTCTCTAGTTCTTTTAATTGTGATGTTAGGGTGTCGATTTTAGATCTTTCCTGCTTTCTCTTGTGGACATTTAGTGCTATAAATTTCCTTCTACACACTGCTTTAAATGTGTCCCAGAGATTCTGGTATGTTGTGTCTTTTTTCTCATTGGTTTCAAAGAACATCTTTATTTCTGCCTTCATTTCGTTATTTACCCAGTAGTCATTCAGGAGCAGGTTGTTCAGTTTCCATGTAGCTGTGCAGTTTTGAGTGAGTTTCTTAATCCTGAGTTCTAATTTGATTGCACTGTGGTCTGAGAAACAGTTTATTGTGATTTCTGTTCTTTTACATTTGCTGAAGAGTGTTTTACTTCCAACTATGTGGTCAATTTTGGAATAAGTGTGATGTGGTGCTGAGAAGAATGTATATTCTATTGATTTGGAGTGGAGAGTTCTGTAGATGTCTATTAAGTCCACTTGGTCCAGAGCTGAGTTTAAGTCCTGGATATCCTTGTTAATTTTCTGTCTCATTGATCTGTCTAATATTGATAGTGGGGTGTTAAAGTCTCCCACTATTGCTGTGTGGGAGTCTAAGTCTCTTTGTAGGTCTCTAAATACTTGCTTTATGAATCTGGGTGCTCCTGTTTGGATGCATATATAGTTAGGATAGTTATCTCTTCTTGTCGATTGATCCCGTTACCATTATGTAATGGCCTTCTTTGTCTCTTTTGATCTTTATTGGTTTAAAATCTATTTTATCAGAGACTAGGATTGCAAACCCTGCTTTTTTTCGCTTTCCATTTGCTTGGTAGATCTTCCTCCATCCCTTTATTTTGAGCCTATATGTGTCTTTGCATGTGAGATGAGTCTCCTGAATACAGTGCACTGATGGATCTTGACTCTTTATCCAATTGCCAGTCTGTGTCTTTTAATTGGGGGCATTTAGCCCATTTACATTTGAGGTTAATATTGTTATGTGTGAATTTGATCCTGTCATTATGATGCTAGCTGGTTAGTTTGCCTGTTAGTTGATGCAGTTTCTTCATAGTGTTGATGGTCTTCACAATTTGGCATGTTTTTGCAGTGGCTGATGCCGGTTGTTCCTTTCCATGTTTAGTGCTTCCTTCAGGAGCTCTTGTAATTATGGCAGGCCTGGTGATGACAAAATCTCTCAGCCTTTGCTTGTCTGTAAAGAATTTTATTTCTTCTTCACTTATGAAGCTTAGTTTGGCTGGATATGAAATTCTGGGTGGAAAATTCTTTTCTTTAAGAATGTTGAATATTGGCCCCCACTCCCTTCTGGCTTGTAGGGTTTCTGCTGAGAGATCTGCTGTTAGTCTGATGGGCTTCCCTTTGTGGGTAATCCGACCTTTCTCTCTGGCTGCCTTTAACATTTTTTCCTTCATTTCAACCTTGGTGAGTCTGATGATTTTGTGTTTTGGGGTTGCTCTTCTCGAGGAATATCTCTGTGGTGTTCTCTGTATTTCCTGAATTTGAATGTTGGCCTGCCTTGCTATGTTGGGGAAGTTCTGGATAATATCCTGAAGAGTGATTTCCAACTTGGTTCCATTCTCCCCGTCACTTTCAGGTACACCAATCAAATGTAGATTTGGTCTTTTCACATAGTCCCATATTTCTTGGAGGGTTTTTTCATTTCTTTTCACTCTTTTTTCTCTAATCTTGTCTTCTTGCTTTATTTCATTAATTTGGTCTTCAATCACTGATATCCTTTCTTCTGCTTGATCACTTTGGCTATTGAAGCTTGTGTATGCTTCACTAAGTTCTTATGCTGCGTTTTTCAGCTCCATCAGGTCATTTATGTTTTTCTCTACACTGGTTATTCTAGTTAGCAATTCGTCCAACCTTTTTTCAAGGTTCTTAGCTTTCTTGCATTGGGTTAGAACATGCTCCTTTAGCTTGGAGGAGTTTGTTATTACCCACCTTCTGAAGCCTACTTCTGTCAATTTGTCAAACTCATTCTCTGTCCAGTTTTGTTCCCTTGCTGATGAGGAGTTGTGATCCTTTGTAGGAGAAGAAGCTGTCTGGTTTTTGGAATTTTTAGCCTTTCTGCGCTGGTTTCTCCCCATCTTTGTGGTTTTATCTACCTTTGGTCTTTGATGTTGGTGACCTATGGATGGGGTTTTGGTGTGGATGTCCTTTTTATTGATGTTGATGCTATTCCTTTCTGTTTGTTAATTTTCCTTCTAACAGTCAGACCCCTCAGCTGCAGGTCTTTTGGAGTTTCTTGGAGGTCCTCTCCAGACCTTGTTTGCCAGGTATCACCAGCGGAGGCTGCGGAACAGCAAATATTGCTGCCTGATCCTTCCTCTGGAAGCTTCGTCCTAGAGGTTCACCTGCCAGATGCCAGCCAGAGCTCTCCTGTATGAGGTATCTGTCAGCCCCTACTGGGAGGTATCTCCCAGTCAGGCTACATGGGGTCAGGGACCCAGTTGAGGAGGCAGTCTGTCTGTTATCAGAGCTCGAACACTCTGCTGGGAGAACTACTGCTCTCTTCAGAGCTGTCAGGCAGGGACGTTTAAGTCTGCTGAAGCTGTGCCCACAGCTGCGCCTTCCCCCAGGTTCTCTGTCCCAGGAAGATGGGGGCTTTATCTATAAGTCCCTGAGTGGGGCCGCTGCCTTTTGTTCAGAGATGCCCTGCCCACAGAGGTGGAATCTAGAGAGACAGTTGGCCTTGCTGAGCTGTGGTGGGCTCCACCCAGTTCGAACTTCCAAGTGGCTTTGTTTACACTGTGAGCATAATACCGCCTACTGAAGCCTCAGCAATGGCAGACACCCCTCCCTCTGCCAAGCTCCAGCATCCCAAGTCGATCTCAGACTGCTGCGCTAGCCACGAGAATTTCAAGCCAATGGATCTTAGTTTGCTAGGCTCTGTGGGCGTGGAACCTGCTGAGCCAGGCACCAGAGGGAATCTCCTGGTCTTCCGGTTGCGAAGACCATGGGAAAAGTGCAGTATCTGGGGAGGAGTGTACTGTTCCTTCTGGTACAGTCTCTCATGGCTTCCCTTGGCTGGGAAAGGGAAATCCCCTGACCCGTTGAGCTTCCTGGGTGAGGCAGCACCCCACTCTGCTTCGGCTCACCCTCTGTGGGCTGCACCCACTGTCCAATCAGTCCCAGTGAGATGAACCAGGTACCTCAGTTGGAAATGCAGAAATCACCCATCTTCTGCATCAGTCTCGCTGGGAGCTGCAGACCAGAGCTGTTCCTATTCAGCCATCTTGCTGGAATTCTTGTTTTTTTTTGTTTTTTTGTTTTTTGAGATGGAGTCTCACTCTGTCACCCAGGTTGGAGTGCAGGAGTGCAGTGGCATGATCTCGGCTCACTGCAACCTCCACCTCCCAGGTTTAAGAGATTCTCCTGCCTCAGCCTCCCGAGTAGCTGGGACTACAGATGTTGCCACCACGCCAGGCTAATTTTTTGTATTTTTAGTAGAGATGGGGTTTCACCATGTTAGCCAGGATGGTCTCAATCTCCTATTTACATACATTATAAGTATATAAAATAATTATTCAAAGTATTCCAAATAAAAGTAGTGCCTATTTGGGTGGCAGATGTGGATGATTTTTATTGTCTTTTTGCTCCATTTTCTCCTTTTTCTGCATCAATTATGTATAACATGTATAATTAAAAATGCTTGACACTCAGAATCAAGCTGTATCAATTCAGAGGTTGATGGCAACCCCCATTTGCTCTGTCTGCTCAGCCTTCACCTGGGTCTTCATCCTTCTTGCCTTGAGACTTATGCTCCCTGGCACACTCTGTACCCTGGGTCCCTCCGATCATGCTCTGGTGCTCGGGGCTGCATGTTCCTCTGCCCAGTGAAGCAGAACCAGAGAACCAGGGCTTGTTGGCAGTGGATTAGACTCTAGAAACATTGTAATCAGGCCCCAGCATATGTCTTTCTGCTTCTCTCATCCACCTTCCTCCCCCATCTTGGTTTTTAGCATAAAATAAATCTCCTTTTTGGGTTTGTTCACTCACCAAGGTTTTGGCTGGTCATCTTTGTTAATTACAACTAGCCTGGGAGAGTACTTTCTTCCTAGTCTGTAACACTGTATATTCTGTAATTTTCTGAATACTTTTAGGCCTTATAGTGAGTATTTATGTCAACATCAAAAGCAATAATGGTTCCGTATGTACCAACTTGGAAAAAGCGGAAAATCTATTCATGGAGCCAGTTACTACTTTTATGAAAATAAGGGTTGTCCAGGGTACAATAATATATATATTTTTTCTTTCACTTACTGTGTTTGATTATGGGCCAGATGAAGGGTGGGTTGGAAAGTATGTTTGTGTTTTAGGGTTAGAGAACTTGATGAACCAGGGAACAGGTAATAAGGAAAGGCATTAGTTAAGAGCCTCTTTCCAACTAGTTAATGGACTCTTTACATGAGATTGACTGTTTTAAGCAATGATCAGTGACCTTTTGGGGAGCTTTTTTTGTTTTGTTTTGACAGGCTGATTCTGGCTGCTTAGTTTCAGGACCAAGAATTTGAAGCAACGGAAAAGAGACTTTCAGAGCTGTTTGAACTTGAACTATTTTGTGTAGATATGGGAAAGAGTGGTAAAATCTGATGACTAATTTTGAGGCCTCATGGAGATGGGAGCTGAAGCTGAGAAAATTGTGTATTGGGGAGGCACAAGAGTAAAATTCCATTTCTTAATTATTTTGTAACTGAACAAGACATTGCTGTTTATTTCCTCTCAACATGTCTTCCTTGTGCTGATTTCTTGCAGACTTCTCAAATGAGAAGCATTTGATACCCTGGGGTTTTGGCTTGCTCTCGACTTCCTCCTTCACTTCCAGCCTCTGGTGATAGACTTGTCTTCCTCCACAGCCTCTGCTCAGACCTCCCACTCCTTCCTGTTGCTGTGGCCCCAGCTGGCTACAGTGGCCTCTGTGGCCCAAATTGTATGGGAACAATTGCGGACTCCACCACAAGCATCTTTCTTTCCAGTCTCTTCTCAGTCTTATTGTGGACTTGCCTTCTCCAGCGACTCTGAAAACACCCACCCTTCTTGACTCACCTGGCCCCATGGTCTTTTCAGGCTACTACTTCTGACTTACCTGTCCACATCTCTTCTTTATTTGGGCACATCTAGAAATTCATATGCTCCATGCCCTTACTGGACTTCGCCTTCTTTCTCTAACCCCACAGTGTGAAATCACTTCATATTTCATCTACTTCAATCATGCTGTACATCTGCATGGAAAAGGCAGAGAGCTATTAAGAGAGAGGTCTTGGGCAGGTTAATGGGATTTTATGGGGACCTTTTATAATTCTACGTGGGATTGGAACAGCAACTATGGATTAAAGGGCATTGCATTCATTGTTTGTGGGTTTTCCTATTAAAGTGAGTCACCACCTTTTTAATCTTTTTCAAATAAAACAAGGCCTATGTTTACATGAGGATGCTAATTAAGGACCCACCACTTTAGTAAGGCATATTTAATGTAAAAGAAAAATAACGTGAAAAAGAAAAGGTAGGAGTCAATTATGTGAGGAATAAGTGACTCTGATGTGTTTACAATTTACTAAGATTTGTTATGCAAAGAGAATATTGCCTTGTTCTCTCTCATCCTATTGTTTCTAGTGACTTGGGGCTGCTTTTGAGAACATTTACTGGAGAGATATGAACTAAGTGCTTGTCTGTTTTGACAAGGTACTTATTACCAAATAGGAACCCGCTGATCCTGATCATAGATTGCAGTTTTGATTGTAGATAGCGCACATGTTTCCTACAAGCTTTGCTGATCACCATTGCTCATCTTCTCAGCCTTTTATTAAGAGATAGGAGAAAGCAGACTGTTGGCTTCCTTGGACAGATGGAAGCCTAGTTGACATGAAGTTGGGGAATTCCTGATCCTCTGCCAAATTAACATTTATGAATCATGTTGGCTTCAATCTCTGACAACCAATATGATTTGGCAGCTGGAAACTGAAATGCACACTCCTTATGGAAGGGGTGTTGACTTTAGCAGTGTCCGACACATGTGCAGCCAAGATGACTGATGTTTATTTGCTTCTATAGTCCTCAAGGCTCAAGGCACATGACACAGTTTTGATAGCTGTCCAGTGCATGGCTCTGAAATGCTGCAAACTCCTGGGCAAGCTGCTGAGTTCTGCTCAGAAGCTTTACCATAAGTAGGTGAATGCATGCAAGATCTAGTTCTCAGTTGTATCAGGAGTTTCTGTGGGCATCACTTTTTTGTTTTTTTGTTTTTTGTTTTTTTGAGATGGAGTCTTGCACTGTTGCCCGGGCTGCAATGGCACGATCTTGGCTCACTGCAACCTCTGCCTCCTGGGTTCAAGCAATTCTTCTGCCTCAGCCTCCCAAGTAGCTGGGATTATAGGCTTCCACCACCATGCCTGGCTAATTTTTTTTATTTTTAGTAGAGACGGGGTTTCACCATGTTGGACAGGCTGGTCTCGAACTCCTGACCTCATGATCTGCCCACCTTGGCTTCACAAAGTGCTGGGATTATAGGTGTGAGCCACCGCACCCGGCCGGGCATCACTTTTGCCTGAATTCCAGCATGAAATGGTCATTGTGCTGTATACTACCCTACATCCTCCCTAACTGAGACAGTGACAGTTTTCAATCTGGGCTGTGTCAGCAGCCAAACTAGATAACTTAAAAGCAACACAGTAAGGATCAAATTGTCTTCAATTCATGAGACAATTCGTTTTCCAGTTTTGACAGGTATAGGTATTTATTGGGGAATTTTTAAAATATATGTTAGGCATGTTCTAGGTACTGGGAATCCAGCCATGAAATAACATAGGCAAGTGTCCCTCCTGCATGGAGCTTACACTTTAGTAGTGAAGACAAATAATAAACAAATGAGCAAATGAGACAACTTCAAATAGTGATAAATATGCTAGGAAGAAAATACAACAGCCTAATTTATTATTATTATTATTTTTGAGATGAAGTCTTGCTCTGTCGCCCGGGCTGGAGTGTACTGGTGTAATCTTGGCTCACTGCAACCTTCATCTCCTGGGTTCGAGTGATTCTCATGCCTCAGCCTCCTGAGTAGCTGGGACTACAGGCATGCACTGCCACACTCAGCTAATTTTTGTATTTTTAGTATAGATGGGGTTTTGCCATGTTGACCTTTCCCCACTTTATGTTTTTGTTTGCTTTGTCAAAGATCAGTTGGCTGTAAGTATTTGAGTTTATTTCTGGGTTCTCTATTCTGTTCTGTTGATCTATACTAGTACCTGCTTTTATACTAGTACCATGCTGTTTTGGTAACTATGGCCTTATGGTATAGTTTGAAATTGGATAATGTGATGCCTCCAGATTTGTTCTTTTTGCTTAGTCTTGCTTTGGCTATGTGGACTGTTTTTTGATTTCATATGAAGCTTAGAATTATTTTTCTAATTCTGTGAAGAATAATGGTGGTATTTTGATGGGCATTGCATTGAATTTGTAGATTGCTTTTGGCAGTATGGTCATTATCACAATATTGATTCTACCCATCCATGAGCATGGGA
Organism: Homo sapiens; assembly: GCF_000001405.40. Classification (NCBI taxonomy): domain Eukaryota; kingdom Metazoa; phylum Chordata; class Mammalia; order Primates; family Hominidae; genus Homo; species Homo sapiens. The sequence goes on along the minus strand of NC_000010.11, from coordinate 89,501,177 downwards.
TGTGTTTCCATTTCTTTGTGTCATCTATGATTTCTCTGAGCAGTGTTTTGTAGTTTTCCTTGTAGTGGTCTTTCACCTCCTTGGTTAGGTATATTCCTAAGGTTTTGTTTTTTTTGTTTTTTGTTTTTGCAGCTATTGTAAAAGGGGTTGAGTTCTTGATTTGATTATCAGCTTGGTAGCTGTTGGTGTACAGAAGAGCTACTGATTTGTGTACATTAGTTTTGTGTCTGGAAACTTTGCTGAGTTCTTTTATCAGTTCTAGGAGCTTTCTGAAGGAGTCTTTAGGGTTTTCGAGGTAAACAATCATATCATCAGCAAACAGTGACAGTTTGACTTCTTCTTCACTGATTTGGATGTGCTTTATTTCTTTTTCTTGTCTGATTTCTCTGGCTAGGACTTCCAGTACTATGTTGAAGAGGAGTGGTGAGAGTGGACATCCTTGTTCCAGTTCTCAGCAGGAATGCTTTCAACTTTTCCCCACTTAGTATAATGTTGGCTGTGGGTTTGTCATAGATGGATTTTATTACATTGAGGAATGTCCCTTGTATGCCGATTTTGCTGAGGATTTTAATCATAAAAGGATGCCGGATTTTGTCGAATGCTTTTTTTTCATCTATTGATATGACCATGTGATTTTTGTTTTTAATTCTGTTTATGCGGTGTATCACATTTATTGGCTTGCATATGTTAAACCATCCCTACATTCACACTCCTGCTATGAAAACCACTTGATCATGGTGGATTATCTTTTTGATATGTTGTTGGATTCAGTTAGCTAGTATTTTGTTAAGGCTTTTAGCATCTATATTCATCAGGGATATTAGCCTGTAGTTTTCTTTTTTTGTTATGTCCTTTCCTGGTTTTAGTATTAGGGTGATACTGGCTTCATAGAATGATTTAGGGAGGGTTCCCTATTTCTCTATCTTGTGGAATAGTGTCAACAGGATTGGTACCAATTCTTCTTTGAATGTATGGTAGAATCCTGCTGTGAATCCCTCTGGTCCTGGACTTTTTTTTGTTGGTATTTTTAAAATTACCATTTCAATCTTGCTGCTTGTTATTGGTGGGTTTCTAATTCTTCCTGCTTTGAGCTAGGAGGTTGTATCTTTCCAGGAATTTATCCATCTCCTCTAGGTTTTCTAGTTTATGCCCATAAAGGTATTCATAATAGCCTTGAATGATCTTTTGTATTTCTGTAGTGTCAGTTGTAATATTTCCCATTTTGTTTCTTATCGAGCTTATTTGGATTTTCTCTCTTCTTTTCTTGGTTAATCTTAGTAATGGTCTAACAATTTCATTTATCTTTTCAGAGAACCATCCTTTTGTTTTATTTATCTTTCGTATTTTTTTTGTTTCAATTTCATTTAGTTCTGCTCTGATCTTGGTTATTTCCTTTCTTCTGCTGGGTTTGGGTTTGGTTTGTTCTTGTTTCTCTAGTTCCTTGAGGTGTGACCTTAGATTGTCTGTTTGTGCTCTTTTAGACTTTTTGATGTAGGCATTTAGGGCTATGAACTTTCCTCTTAGCACTGACTTTGCTGTATCCCAGAGGTTTTGATAGGTTGTGTCACTATTGTCATTCAGTTCAAATAACTTTTTAATTTCTATCTTGATTTCATTTTGACCTGATGATCATTCAGGAGCAGATTATTTAATTTCCTTGTATTTGCAGGATCTGGGCTCACCGTAACCTCCACCTCCCAGGTTCAAGTGATTCTCCTGCCTCAGCCTCCCGAGTAGCTGGGATTACAGGCACACACCACCACACCCAGCTAATTTTGTATTTTTAGTAGAGACGAGCGTTCTCCATGTTGGTCAGGCTGGTCTTGAACTCCTGACCTCAGGTGATCCACCCATCTCGGCCTGCCAAAGGGCCAGGATTACAGGCAAGAGCCACCGTGCCCAGCTTGATTGATTTTAATAAATAAAAATATTTATTTCATTGATATCGCTTTTTTTGATTTCCTTAAATTGGGCTTTGTCTTTCTCTGGTGCCTCCCTGATTAGCTTAATAACTAACCTTCTGAATTATTTTCCAGGTAAATCGGGGATTTCTTCTTGGTTTGGATCCATTGCTGGCAAGCTAGTGTGATTTTTTGGGGGATGTTAAAGAGCCTTGTTTTGTCATATTACCAGAGTTGGTTTTCTGGTTCCTTCTCATTTGGGTAGGCTCTGTCAGAGGGAAGATCTAGGGCTGAAGGCTGTTCACATTCTTTTGCCCCATGGGGTGTTCCGTTGATGTAGTACTCTCCCCTTTTCCTATAGATGTGGCTTCCTGAGAGCCAAGCTGTAGTGATTGTTATCTCTCTTTTGGATCTAGCCACCCAGCAAGTCTGCCAGGCTCCGGGCTGGTACAGGGGGTTGTCTGCACAGAGGCCTATGATGTGGAGCGTCTGTGGGTCTCTCAGACATGGATACCACCACAGTATTTGGGGTGTCTCCCAGGTCCTGCAGGAGCAATCCACCTCCTTCAGAGGGTCTGTGGGTCCTCTCGGGTTTCCTGATTTATTCCTGCAGTCATTCTGGAACAAAAATTCATAATGCGAGTCTCCTCAAGCTGTTCTGTCTGCCCGAGTCGGAGCTGCAAAAACTCTCTGATCATGACTGCCCTTTCTATTTCTTAACATTTTAAAATATAATATTCCAGGTGTTTTGTAAATATTTTACATACTTGATAAAAATGAGGTCAACCATTTGTTGTTTTTCAACTTCATTTGTTCATATAATTTTTGGAACACATTCCCTTTGTATCTATATTTCAGCCAATTGTACATAAACAGGGAATCATTGTTAATGTAATTAATCTCAATCAATTGCACTAGAAATGTTTCCTTCTCTTCTCTTCTCTTTCAACACAGTCTCTTTTTGTTAACCAGGCTGGAGTGCAGTGGCATGATCGGGGCTCACCACAGCCTTGACCTTCTGGGCTCAAGCCATCTTCCCACCTCACCCCCACCCTCTACCACCCCTACCCTACCCACCTCCGAGTAGCTGGGACTACAGGCACGCACCACTACACTTGGCTAGATTTTTGTATTTTTAGTAGAGTTTGGGTTTCGCCATGTTGCCCAGGCTAGTCTTGAACTTGTGGGCTCTGCCTGCCTTGGCCTTCTAAAGTGTTGGGATTACAGGTATGAGCCACCGCGCCTGGCCCCTACTATCTTTATTTTTACTAGTTATAAAGATAAGAATTGTTTCTTGTTAAGTTTTCAAATAGTACAGACGTAGATAAAATAATTATACCTACTTCTAACTTTATCTCATGTAGTTTGTGTGCCCTTATGATTTAAGATATTGGAGGTATAATTACATAGTAACATACATACATAAAATATAGCTCTGAGACCTCAGTAGGAAATGTTGGTTTATATCTTATTAGAAAGAATCCTCTTTAATGAAGATCGACTTGGCCTTAATGAAATCATGTTGGGTTTTTTTTTCCTCTTTCTGATCTCTACCCCTATTAATTCTTTAATCAGTAACTGCACAGAGGATAGAAATAGCATGATGAGGATGTATGCTAGATTGGAAGTCAGGAGACTTGAGTTTAATTCTGTTCTGCCTCTCACCTGCTATGTAGGTTTAGGGAGATTTGAGTTCCAGAGGCCCTAATACAGTGCTGTTTCCCCCACACCATGTAGAATTCTTCCTCTGTGCTTTCCAGTTATCCTTTTGTACCACTGTGCTTTTATTTTTCATTTGAAAAGACCTGGTCTTTGAGTTCCCAGCAATTTGGTCCAAAAAATATATAATCACACTAGTTCAGTTTTAAAACATATACATTTTTGTTTGTATAAATAGTATACGTTAACCTCTGAATTTCTTTGTTTCTACCTGTATTTTTTGAGAATAAATAAAAACCAAAAGAAACTTGCTTTTTAAATCAATCTGATGTGTTTGTAGTGATATCTCATGTGTGTATATGTGTTTAATTAATAGACTTTATTTCTTAGAGCAGTTTTAAGTTTACAAACAGAAAGTACAGAGTTCCCGTATACTCTGTGTCTGCCCCCATATCCCACTCTCTGGTTTTTCCTGTCATTAACATCTTGACTTGGTGTTGTACACATATTACAACTGATGAACGAATAATGATACTTTATTATTAACTAAAGCCTATACTTTACATTCAGGTTCACACTTTTCTCATTGTGTTTTAAAACTGTATTTCTCTGATTAAAAATGAGCATCTTTTCATGTGTTCATTGGCCATTGGGTTTCCTTTTGTGTGGATTGCCTGTCAAAGTCCTTTTTCTATTGGAGTGTCTTTTTAATAGGAGTTCCTTTTACATTCTTGATAGGAGTCCTATGTTGGTTATACATGTTGCAGATATATTCTTCCACTCTCTGTCTTGCTTTTTTATTGTCTTAATAACGTCTTTTGAAATTATTAATTTTAAGGTAGTCAAATGTGAAAGTGTTCTTCTCCTTTATAATTGGAGTTCTTTGAACCCTGTTTTAGAATTCTTTCCATACCTCCAAATCATGAGGATGTTAGCTCCTTAAAGCTTAATTATTTTGCCTTTTCATATGCAGTTGTATAATACACCTGAAATCAACTTTTGTGAATGGTGCAAGATTGAGGGCTCTGAGTTTTTTCAGTAATTTCATTGGACGCTCAAATGTGGGAAATGTTTTTATAGCATTTCTTTCATCATCTATTTCCCCTTGTTTTCTTAGTTTCTGGGACTCCTATTAATTGAATATTAACTCTTCTGAACTAATTCACTAGTTTTCCTGTTCCTTCTAATAGTCTACATCTTTGTGTTCTTGTTTACTTTATGGGATAGTTCTTCTTCTGATCCTTCCATTAAATTTTCAATTTCCACAATTATATTTTAATTCCAAGCATTCTTTTTTAGTTTCCAAATGTTTCTTTCTTTATAGCCTCCTCTTCTTGTTTTATTTATGCATTATGTTTTCTTGACCTCTCTGAAGATATTTACTGTAGTTTTTTTCTTTGAATTTTTCTTTCATGTCCTTGTATGTTCTTTCATGCCCTGAATTGTCCATGTTTCCTCTGAATTTATTTCTTTCTCTTCCTAAAGCCCCCATCCCACTTCTTATGTTAATTGTTATAATAATTATTAGTTATGTTAATAATTTCCTAATTATATGGTAATTTCTTAACTATTTGATGATCTTTGGTTGTTCATTTATTTCAGAATGAGACATTAAGAAGCTGATTAGAAGGAAGGATTTGTGGATTGGCCAGTTGCATGTAGAATGAGCAGCTCTGGTTCAACTTACAAATTTTTGGCTTTACAATGGTGCCAAAGAAATACACATTCAGTAGAAACTGTTTTTCACATTTTGATTTTTGATCTTTTTTTGAGCTAGTGATATGTAGTAAGACAACTTTCTCATGATGCTGGTCAGAGGCAGCAAGCCACAGCTCTGTCAGCCCCACGATCATGATGGTAAACAACTGGTACTGTACTCTACAGTGTACTGTATTCAATACATTATGAGATATTCTACACTTAATTATAAAATAGGGTCTGTGTTAAATGAGTTTGCCCAACTACAGGCTAATTTAAATTTCCGAGCACATTTAAAGTAGGCTAGGCTAAGCTAGGATGGTCAGTGGGTTAGGTGTATTAAATGCATTTTAACTTGGGATATTTTCAGTTTTTGATGGATGTATCAAGATTTAACCCCATCATAAGTCAAGGAGCATCTGTAGTTTCTGAGTAACACTCCCAAGGGTTAATACCTTTTCTCTTAGCTTGGTTAGTTTCTCCAAAGACAGTTGTCAGTGTTTTGCGTGGTAGCTAGAAACCTGGTTCCTAGTGTGATGTTTGTTTGTTTGTTTGTTTGTTTTTTGAGAGACGGAGTCTTGCTCTGTGGCCCAGGCTGGAGTGCAGTGGCGGATCTCGGCTTACTGCAACCTCCGCCTCCTAGGTTCAAGCAATTCTCCTGTCTCAGCTTCCCAAGCAGCTGGGACTACAGGCGCACACCACCACTACCAGGTAATTTTTGTATTTTTTAGTAGAGACGGGGTTTCACTATATGTTGGCCAGGCTGCTCTCAAACTCCTGACCTCAGGTGATCTGCCCACCTCGACCTCCCAAAGTGCTGGGATTACAGGGGCATGAGCCACTATGCCCGGCCAGTTCCTAGTGTTTTTAGAGTAATATAGGGCCAGAGTTGTGGGACAGGGCATTTCACCATTCAGTATGATATTCATTTAATCCTCTTGTTTTTGTGTGGTGCTCTGCCTTCCCTTGCTACTTCCGCTGTATCTGCTATCTCCAAGAACAGTATGTAGCATTTCCACAGACTAAATACCAGTTTTCTTCCAGGGAGGGGAAGGCTAATTGTCTGAGGGGTGGGAACTTCTACAAACTTTCCATCAGTCCTATTTTTAGCTTCATTCCCACACTTGCTGTCTTTAGAAATCTTCTGTTCCTTCATTCCTGAGTCTTTCTGGGATTCTGCAGTTTGGCTTCCTTCTTACCGTCTCCCTTCCATGTTGGATTAGGTTTCAGTGTTCTCTGTTTTGCTAAATCAGATCCCATCTGTTCATTCACTTTCCGGCTTCCAAAATGTGTTTGACATCTTTTGTTTGCTATTATGTTCTCTCCTGTTCTCTTTATCCTTGTGGTTTATTTCCTTTGATTCCTTTACCACCAGCAATGTTTTAGGAGGAGAGATAAACATGCGTGCTCAATCTGCTGTACAAAATTGGAAGCTGAATGTACCACAGCTTACCCAACTGATTCCCTGCTAATGGAAACATATTCCAATGTTTTGTAGTTACAAATAATGCTAATGCATTCTTATATGAGCATATTTGAGCATTTGGGGAGTGTTAACTATAAGACAGATTCCTAAATGTAGAAGCATTGGGTCAGAAGTTGAGTACGTTTGAAACTTACTGCCAAATGTCACTCCAAAACAATTGAACCGGTTAATACTGCTGTCAACAGTGTGTATGAAATAAAGCACGTTTTTATTAATGAACTAGCTACGTGTCCTTTTTGATGCTGGACCAATGGGTTTCTTTGCTTGATTTAAAACATTTCCTCTATTTAATAATCTTGGCTGACACTTTCGTGTTAGATAATTGAAAAACTCAATACTAAACATTACTGTATTATAGTTCTTCAAGAAGAAATATAGCGTGGGGGATTAAATTAGTTTACCAACAGGAATGGGGCCAATATGATTACTTCAGTTTTCTTTATTTCTAATATGTATTGTGGCTCACAATCCTTCAATTTCACAGGCTTCTAGAACTTTTAACATTAGAGGAACTGATGATCGATTTTTTTTTATAGTTTGCTTTGACAAAATTACCTTGGTAGGAACCTTTCATTTATCTGCTTAATGATACACACTCATTCTTTTTATCACCCTGCTTCTGACACAGCTCCTGGCCCATTTGTTTATTTAGGTACTTGGGCAAAAGAGATAAAAATGCATTTGTTTAGGCCTGTAAAACACTGGTAGTATAACTATATGGAAAGGGGAGCCAATCCGAGGAAGGAAGAGGAGCTATGGACTGGGAGTTTGACAGCTCTCTTAGCTTACATTCTGGCTCAGCCACATATTTCTATGTGATCTTGGACAATCATATAAGCCCTGACCATATTTATAAGACAAGAATAACAGTGACTTTAAAAAGTAGGACTTTAGGGTGCAAGTGACAGACATTAAACTCAGGGTGACAAAAAGTAAAAAGCGAATTCATTTGGGAGGCCAAAGTGGGCGGATTACCTGAGGTTGGGAGTTCAAGACCAGCCTGACCGCCATGGAGAAACCTCGTCTCTACTAATAATACAAAAATTAGCCGGGCATAGTGACACATGCCTGTAATCCCAGCTACTTGGGAGGCAGAGGCATGAGAATCGCTAACACCCAGGAGGCGGAGGTTGCAGTGAGCTGAGATTGGGCCATTGCACTCCAGCCTGGGCAACAAGAGTGAAACTCCTTCTCAGACCAAAAAAAAAAAAAAAGAAAGAAAAAAGGTGAATTCATTTATTTACTTAACAGAGAACCTCAAGGGTGGGATTTAGATATAGCTGAGTTCAAATGTTTAAACAATTTCAGCAACACGTATTTCTTGAACTCTTTCCTAGGCTGGCTTAGTAAAGAGAAAAATGGCCACCTGCAGCTCACTGTTGGCATGCTGTGACTTGGGAACCCCATGAAAAGAAGCCACATCTTCCTTGTTGTTCTAGCAAATGTCTTATTTGGTGACTCTTATGGGTCTAGCCTGGTTCATAAGTCTCTGAATGAGTCATGCCTCTGATTGGCCAGGCCTCCCCAGGAGGAGATAGGTTCAAGACGCTTGAACTGAGAATGGGAATACTGAGGTGTTGTTTCCTAAAGGAAAGGGCATAGATGTTGGGTAGACAAAGGCAGGAGATGACTATTAACCTTCTCTACCTTTCATACTAGATTGGTCTGAGTCTTAGAAAGAGTAATATTTGTGAATATAAACTCCATGGTGCTATACAACAAATGTAGATTGTCTTTTTTATCTTATGAATACTTAATTATGACTTAGTTCAGACTTGCCCAAATAAATTACTTGCCATGTCGGCACCATCGCACTCTTGTGTTTTTAGTAGAGACTAAAAATACTCTTGTATTTTAAGTAGAGACGGGGTTTCTCCACGTTTATCAGGCTGGTCTCGAACTCCTGACCTCAGGTGCCTCAGGTGATCCGCCCGCCTCAGCCTCCCAAAGTGTTGGGATTACAGGTGTGAGCCACTGCGCCCAGCTACTTATAGCTATTTTTTTTTTACAAGTCCTTTTAAGCATAGGTGAGTTGTCCCCATTCTTGTTCCTAAAAAACTGCTCTTATCTCGGGCGACATATAAAAGGGAAGATCAAAAATAACCTTTAGTGGATAATTATATACATTTATCACCATCCTTGTAGTGTCATGTTTAAAATGCTTTGGCCAATGAAGTAATAATCATGGCAGATTATTTTATCTTGGTATCTATTGGTTGTGATCAATTAACACATGCACAGCTTTAAAATATTGAAATTGATCTTTTGTTTGTTTGTAAAACAAATGACATCATAAACAAATGAAGCCAGCGGGAGAACATTGATATCATGTCAGTCTCAAAGGTGACAACATCTTCTGAATATTTCCTCCTCGTCATAACTTATTTTGATATTATCCATGAATTGATCTAAACTTTTCCATAATCTATTTATACTTAAGTTGGTATTGCCTCTGGAGATGACTTGCATACTTTTTTTTATAGCTCCTGTCTATATGTTTTTCTCCCTTTTGTGTATGTGGTATGGTGAAGAAGCATCATTTGCAGAGTATAGTAAAACTGCAGCTTTATTTTTCGACTTCTACTTTCCCTTTAAAAATTGTTCAGTGGGAACAGCCTTTCCCCATCCCTGGATGAACACGTGGACAGGTCCCATGGCTTTCTGCTCATTGTTAGGTAACAGACCATCCTCTGGGTCATTTTAAGTCACAAACACAGTCTCAATTTAGAAATTAAAATATCTAATTCACACACATGATAAAAACTTAGAATTTAGTTTTAATGTCAATTCTTACCTCCTCCCCCAGGCAGGGCCACTATAAAATTGTCTGTTTGTAGTGGGAGAAGGAGGCATGATTCTTTCCTCTTTCCAGCTTAATGTTTTTTCTTTCCCAGCTTTCTGGAATTAATTTAAAAAAAAAAAAACTCCTCTAGGGTCTGGCTCAGTGGGAGAAGAGATTAGGAAAATAGGGCACAATCTTACTTGGTATGCGCACTTGTTAACTTTTTATGTAGTAGGTGATTTTATGTTTTGTTTTGTTTTTTGTTTTTTGTTTTTATTTTTATTTTTTTATGGAGGCTCCCTGCTTGTCCTTCTAGGCACACACCTGTGAGGCATGTAGTATATCTCTTTTGCCTGGTTGCAACTCAGCTCCTGGTTCTCTTGTGGTTATGGACCTTTACTGTTAGAAAACCATCCCCTCTGCCAGCAGGCCCTCTTGGGCAGGATTATAATGGCTCCAGGCAGCTCTTTCCCCAGAAAGCTCTGTAACTGGCTCATGAGAAACTGACGCATCTTTTGCCTCATGGAGAGTGGGGGTGGTAGTATAGTTGCTATTCATGGGAGAAGTCATGTAATAAAATAAGAAATATGTATTTGGCTGCCTAAAACTCTTGGAATTTCATAAGTGTTAATATGAGTGATAGGGGCATCTTTTGTTATAGTATTTGGTTTTTGTCTCCAGTTCTTGAAATAGCTCTGGAGTGAGAGAATTGTCTTTTGTTATTCATAACAAGCTAACTTCATCCAGCCTGAGCTTTTGTTAATGAGATGATTTTTGAAAAGGCCCTAAAGATGGGAGACTGCTTGTCCCATGACTAAAGGGTTGGACTTTCAGCAACTGCTCCCACTACCTCCAGGAGTAGAGAGGGGCCGAAGGTTGAGTTTATCTGAAATGGTCAATGATTTAACCAATCATGCTAACTTAATGAAGCTGCCATAAAAACCCTAACTGAAGGGATTCAGAGAGCTTTTGGGTTGGTGAACACATGGAGTTGCTAGGAGGGTGGGATGCATAGAAGCTCTGCGTTCCCAATCCCGGCCCCCCATACCTTGCCTTATGCTTCTCTTCCATATGATTGTTCCTGAGCTGTATCCTTTATAATATACCAGTAAACATAAGTAAAGATTTTTCCCTGAGTTCTGTGAGTAATTAAAGCAAAGTATTGAGGGGGTTGTGGGAACCCTTGATTTATAGCTGGTCCATCAGAAGTTAGAAGGGAGGCCCAGACTTGTGACTGGTATCTGAAGTGGGGCAGTCTTGTGAGACCGAGCCCCTTAACTTGTGGGATCTGACACTAACTCAGGCAGATAGCATCAGAGTTGAGTTGAATTGTTAGACATGGAGTTGGTATTGGAGGATTTGAAAATCACAGAGTACTGTTTTACATATAAACCGACATGACCTCCTCCAGGAGTTGCCAGCAAGTTCTGAGATTTGATTGCAAGTCCAGGTTCACTGTTATCTGCTCATCATGATTTTACAATCTTCAGGCTCATCCATCTTTGACTCATTTCTTTGCCTATTGAAGAAAAGCCCTACTTTTACATTCCTCTTCATATAAAGACCCTTCATACCTTGAGTCACTATAGTTATCTATCTTTGACCCTTCAGAAATTGTTATAGTTTTTTTGATTTTCAAGTGAACAGAGTTTATGTAGCATTATGGATGCTAATGTTTTACACAGGAGAAATACATTGTTCAGTTTGTTCCTATTTCCCCTTGATGATGACTAGTGACTATAATGACTTTTTTGATCCTCAAAGGACATTAGACATATCTTTAGGAACCAGTCAGCATTAATTTTTATACCTTTTTTCATCATATTTGAAATAACAGACCTTATTATGTGTTTACAGGTATAAACACATGTAATAAAATATTGACTCAAAAATATAGTGTAAAATATATTCCAAATGATATTATCCCTTTAAAAGTATTCACCTTAGGTTTTTAAGGTCAAGCTGTCATAGTTCACAGTTTTTAAGATCTCATTTAAAAAATTACTTTAAGGACTGGCACGGTGGCTCATGCCTATAATCCCAGCACTTTGGGAGGCAAAGGTAGGTGGATTGCTTGAGTACAGACGTTGAACACCAGCCTGGGTAACATGGGGAGAGCCCGTCTCTACAAAAAGCACACAAAAAGTTAGCCGGGTACAGTGGCATGAGTCTGTAGTCCCAGGTAATCGGGAGGTTGAGGTGGAAGAATCCTTGAGCCCGGGAGACAGAGGTTGCAGTGAGCCTAGATCTCGCCATTGCACTCCAGCCTGGGTGACAGAGTGAGACCCTGTCTCAAAAATAAATAAAATAAAATAAAATAAAGTAAAATAAGTTTAAATCTTTAGTATATAAAGAATAATCCTCAGCAGTGGCCAATCTCCAAGAAGGTGAATATGATTTTTGGAAACATCAAAAAGCCATTGTGAACCAAGTCTAATGTGTGATATTCACGACCAAATTGGGCAGTAACGTTGGGGTCAAAATAGCATTAATATGTCTATGAAATGGTGAGCTTGGTTTTCTTATTTAAATGATTGAGCCGTGAAAACAATAACAGTAGTAATTTCAAAGATTTTTCCCAATGGTTATGTGTTATAATATGCCCACATTTCTAGAGATGATTACTTAAAAGTAAAATGTACAAGTACAAAAAATATGATCACCTTTTCTTTCATCATGAAAGAACTCTCCCTGAAGCTGTACACTGGCTAGCTCTGATAAAGCCACTCCCCAGTCGTTTCCTGATACGTCAGTTTTCTTTTTGACTCTTGTCATACAACATCCTGGACTTATCCTGATATTATGCAGAATATTCCTAACCAGATCTCAATATCTCTGTGCATAGCATCTGTCTAGTTTACAAGGAGCTCTCTGCATCCTAGGCTCTATCCTTCTTCCTAACATCTTTTACAAGGTTAGGGGTTGGTCCTTCGGGAATCCCCCAAACTGCTCAGAGAGGAGCCATCTACAGATTTCTAAGGCATCATTTGGTGGGAAACTGTTACTATTGTCAGTTAGTCGTTGCTGCTGCTTTTATCCTAGGCATAGGCATTGGAGTGACCCAATATATTAAAGCTAACTTATTTGAGGTTCACTGAACCTCTCCCATAGCCTATCAATTAGAGTGTGAGGCAGTTTGTTTCCTAAGTCCTTATTAGCACTCCTATAGGCATGGAATTAATTCAGAAAGGAAAATGAAATTCTGCTGTGCAAGGTGTGGTACCATGCTGCTGAGTTCCACCAACAAAGAGCTGGCATCCACATCCTCTTCCAAATGACCATAATGCATGTGACTTCCTTAGCACTGACCACAAATCAGTGCTGAAAAAATAGTAGCTGCTATTCATTCTTTAAAAAGTTCCTCAAAAAACCTTCCTTATGATTAAGGGATTTTTTTGATGGATCTTTTAAAAAAATTTCTGTAGACTCAGGGAATACATGTGCAGGTTTCTTATATGGATATATTGAGTAATGGTAAGGTTTGGGCTTCTAGTGTGTCCCATCCTTGTTGCTGCAGAAACATGATTTCACTCTTTTTTCTGGCTATGTAGTATTCCATGATTTTATATATGTGTATATATAGATAAATAATATGTATTATACATACACATATATATTTAATATATATTAATATGGTATAATAAATGTGTGTGTGTATATATATATATATATATATATATATATATACACACACACCACATTTTCTTTATCCAATCATCTGTTGATGGACACTTGGATTGATTCTGTGACTTTACTATTGTGAATAGTGCTGTAACAAACATACAAGTGCAGGTGTCTTTTTGACAGAGAAATAACACTTCCTTTTTTTTTTTTTTTTTTTTGAGACAGAATCGCTCTGTTGCCCAGGCTGGAGTGCAGTGGCGTGATCTCAGCTCACAGCAAACTCTGCCTCCCAGGTTCAAGCCATTCTTGTGCCTAAGCCTCCTGAGCAGCTGGGGCTACAGGCGCGCACCACCACGCCCAGCTAATTTTTTTTTTTTTTTTGTATTTTTAGTAAAAGTGGGGTTTCTCCATGTTGGCCAGGCTGGTCTCGAACTCCTGACCTCAGGTGATCCACCAGCCTCGGACTTCCAAAGTGTTGGGATTACAGGTGTGAGCCACCATACTTGGCCAACAATTTCTTTTCCTTTGGGTAAATACCCAGTAGTGTGATTGGTGGGTTGAATGGTAGTTCTATTTTTAGTTCTTTGAGAAATCTCCATACTGTTTTCCATAGAGGTTTTATTAACTTACATTCCCACCGACAATGTATGAGAGTTCCCTTTTCTCCACATCCTTGCCAACATCTGTTGTTTTTTGACTTTTTAGTAATAGCCATTCTGATAGGTGTGAGATGGTACACTATGATGATGTTAATCTTCAGAATTAAAAATTTGAGTTCTCTTTTTGCCACACCATTCTGGGCATTTCCTTTAAACACCCAATTAATGAGTTAGATGTGATTTCCCCTTAGAGAAGGCTTGTTGCCTTGCCTCAGGATGGTTGTGTTCATTCAGAGGAATCTGACCCTTTGTATGGAATCCGCAGAGCCCACAGCTTTCTTGTCAGTCAGCCATAGAAGGGATTGCTGGGGATCGTCCTTTTGAAGCACTGCCTATTGGAAGTGAAAGGGTGTATGTTTCGTCCCATACTTCCAAATTTTCTCCTGGAGTGTCTTTTGACTTCACTGGTTGATTTGGTACCAGCCCACACATATCTCTCTCTGAACACTGTATCTGTTGCTTTTTGATCTAGAACCTTTGATTTACTAAGCAGAAAATCAACTTTTTCCTCAAAGAGTCACAGTTATCTTTATTGGAAAACAAAGGAGAGAAAAAGAAAAACAAGGTATCCAGGACATCCCTTTTTCTGTGATATTCATTTCCTAGTCTTTATTTCTATACTTATTTCTACTTATTTCGTTTTTCTCTTTTTTTCTTTCTTTCTTTTTTCTTTTCTTTTCTTTCTTTTCTTTCTTTCTTTCTTTTCTTTCTTTCTTTCTTTCTTTCTTTCTTTCTTTCTTTCTTTCTTTCTTTCTTTCTTTCTTTTTTTTTTTTTTTGAGACAAGGTTTCACTCTGTCACCTAGGCTGGAGTACAGTGGCTTGATAATAGCTCATTGTAATTTTGAATTCCTGGATTCAAGGGATCCTCCGACCTCAGTCTCCTGAGTAGCTGGGACTACAGGCACATGCCACTGTGTCTGACTAATTTTTTTCTATATTTCGTAGAGAAGGTTCTATAACATGTCACAGTCACATAGTTTACTTATATATTTGACTCTGTAAATTTAATGATATTTTTATGAATTCTAAGTCTCCTGACTGAGTGATGGAGCAGGGAGGCCAATTCTCAATCTTTGTGGTCTTTTTCTTTCTTTTTTTAGATAAGAAAATAAGGGAGCCATATGGGGCTTTTACATACAACCTAGATCATCCTCAGTACCAGGCAGTGAGCTCACTGCCTTCCAACCCTGCAAGACACGGGTCATCTTCCCCAGAGTATAGAATAGAGAACTGAGGAGCTTATTGATGAAAAACTATTTTGACTGATTCCCATAAATGCCAGGGATTTCTGCCTCTTCTTTTGTTATTTTACATCTTCAGAAAATACTGCTTGTTGAATGTACCTAATCATGGATTTTACTGATAGGGCAGAATTTCCACTCTGTCATGATGGCTTACCAAGGAAGTTTATATTCCCAAAGGTACTTTTCTTATATGCATGAATTTTTATAAGGATGAATTAGGCTTAGTACAGTCACAGATATGTGAGTCTTTATTACAATTGTATGTCCTGATGCATCTTTCAAAACTGTTACCTCTTAAATTAATTTCTTTAACTTCCCCAGTGTGCACCTACTGATCTACACACGCTGCTCTCCTTTCTGCACACAAACACACTATGCTTATTGGGGCTTCTTTGCCCTGACTCATTTCTTCTTTCACCTGCATTGTTCTTCCCCTTTCCATGGGCGTTTCTCCAAATGCCCTCTCAGTCTCTGTGTTTAATACACTCTTCCCCATGCCTGAATCCCTCTTCCTGCCATCCTGAGTTGTTCTCCCCCAAGCCTATCTCAGATATCTTTGGTTGCAGGTAGCATAAACTCATTAAACTGCTGTTAGGAAATGGAGAACTTTTGTGGAATGGTAAGTGGACGTGAAGAACATTGGCCATAAAGGACCTCAGGGCACCTGGAGCAGGATGAGCCGTTAGATGTCATAAGCAGCTGAGTTCAGGACCTGGGAAGCCATTGGAGCTAATGCAACTCATTTCTCCATCTCACCCTTTTGTTGAAGCCACATAGTTTCTTGCTCTAAGTCTATATCAGGCTTTCTCAACCTTGTCACTGTTGACATTTGGGCCAGATAATTGCTTTTGTTTTTCAGGATGTCCTGTGGAATGTTCAGCAGCATCCCTGGCCTCTGTGCCCTAGATGCCAGTAGCACACCCTGATTGTGACAACCAAATATGCCTCTATAGACATTGCCAAATGTCCTCTGGGGAGCCAAATTGGCCATTGTTGACAACGACTGATCCATAGGAAACTGCTTCCTTGTTCCCCTGGTTCTCGGCTGCTCTATATACAGGCAGAAGGTGGCTCCTCAGCCTTGTTGTGCTGCACCTCCCAGCTCCAGCCTGACTCAGTTGCCTACTCCAAAGACATAGAATCTCAGAATTTGATTCGGTCTTTGGATTGGTTCCTTGGGATGATGTGTAGACTCCTGGTACAATCGGCAGGGCCAGGGAGGTGCAGAACAGGTAGCACAAACGTGGCTGTCACTCACCTGCCCCAGATCATGCTGGGGAGTGGAATTTCCCTTGTATCTGAGTGCATACTCCATTAAGTACCTAGTATTTCCAATTTACATAGGAAAAATTCTAAAAATATTTTAAGGAAGCAATGCCTTCTTAGATTATATTGCACACAAGTAAAACGTATGCAACTTGTGGAGATGGGGCAGTGCAGTGGTTAAGAGCACAGGCTTCGGAGCTACACTGTCTAGGTTCACATTCATCATACTGCATGCCAGCTGTGGCTTGGACAGACTATTTATTGGATCTCTCTTTGCCTCATTTCCTCACCTACACAATGGCAGTGATAATAACAACAGTAATAATAATAATTATCACTTGTGTATTACTCACTGGATATGCCAGGTACTGTTTTAAGTGTGTTAAATTAATTTACTACGTACCCACAACTGTGAGTTGAAACTCTTTTCAGAAATCCTTAGGACAAGATTTTTTGTTATGGTATGGAGAGCAGATATTTGTAACCCTCTAGCAGGATCTGAGGGAGTATCTGGTAATCAATCATAAGATATTCTATAATAGAACATAGGAATATTCTACTAAAAGAGATATATACGTAGTTTAGGTCTTGTCACCAAATAATTACACTGTCAATATCTGGGAAAATTATGGGTTTGTTCTCAGAACTTTTTGGAATTATACATTTGTATATTTATCTTCATTGTACAGATGGGGAAAACTGAAGTTCAAAAAGACTTAGTAACTTTTTTCTTTTGAGACAGTGTCTTGCTATGTTGCCCAGGCTGGTCCCAAACTCCTGGCCTTAAGAGAGCCACCCATGTCAGCTTCCTGAGTAGGCGGCTGGGATTACACTCATGTGCCACCACACCTGGGTTCTGAGACTTAGTAACATGACCAAGTTTACACAGCTAGAAATGCAGAAGCTGAGATTTGAACTCAGCATTTGGATGCCAAAAGACTATGCACTTGACCACAGCATTATAATACATGTATCAGAGGGTTTTTGTGAGAATTAAATGAGTGAACATGTGTAAAAAGCACTAAGAACAGGCATAATACACAGTGAATGCTATGTAAGCATTAATTGTTATCAGGATTTTCTTCTTCCGTTTTTTTTTTTTTGTTTTTTTTTTTTTTTAGAGGCAGCGTCTCACTATGTTGCCAAGGCTGGAGTGCAGTGGCTGTTCACAGGCACGATTATAATGCACTACAGCCTCAAAGTCATGGACTTAAGCTATCCTCCTGCCTTAGCCTATTAAGTAGGTGGAACTACAGGCATGTGCCACTGTACCCAGACAATTTTCTTCATTTTAGAGGGTTATTGCAATTTATTATTATAATGGTTGGCAGGGCAGTGATGTATTCAATTTGATAAGGCAGTGCTTCCCAACCTCTCTTGGGGAGGCAGACCTCAAAAATCATCATCTTTCTAAACCACATTGGAGTAAACCATGATGCTGTTACTGGCCCTGGCGACTCTGGGGTATGGCCACCAGAAGATCTGCCCAGCTGCCTCATGAGCTGAGGGTCCTGTTATGGACTCAATGTTTGTGTTCCCACCAAATTCATATGTTGAAGCCCTAACCCTCAATGTGATGTATCTGGAGATGGGCCCTCAAAGGAAGTAATTAAGGTTGAAGGAGGCCCATAAGGGTAGGCCATGATAGGACTAGTGTCCTTAGAAGAGATGCCAGAGAACTCACACCCCCTCTCCTCCAGCACATGCACATGCACTCAAGAAAGGCCACGTGAGCACATTGCAAAAAAAAAGGTGGCCATCTTCAAGCCAGGAAGGGAGCTGTCCCCAGAAACTGAATTTGCTGACACCTTAATCGTGGACTTCTAGCTTCCAGAACTGAGAAAGTAAATTTCCGTTTTAGCCATCCAGTGTCTGGTATTTTGTTATAGCAGCTGGAGTAGACTAATACAGATTCATGTCACACCTGGAGCCCGGCTAAGCAACTAGGAAGCTCTGGATTAAGAAGGCATATTGATGTGTTTCCTTCTACACAACATGATTTCACTCTGCTAAATTTTGTGGGTTTTTTCTTCTTTTTTCTTGGTCTATTCTATTAGACATTTTTTTTTTTTTTTAGACAGGGTCTCACTCTTGTCACCCAGGCTGTAGTTCAGTAGTGTGATCTTGTCTCATTGCAACCTCTACCTCACAGGCTCAAGGATCCTCCCACCTCAGCTTCCCTAGTAGCTGGGACTACAGGCCCACGCCACTGTGCCTGGGAATTTTTTTTTGTATTTTTTGTAGAGACAGGGTCTTGCTATGTTGCCCAGGCTGTTCTCAAACTCCTTGGTTCAAGCAATTTGCCCACCTCAGCCTCCCCAAGTGCTGGGATTATAGGCGTGAGCCATCACACCCGGCATCTATTAGACTCTTAACTATGACTTCTCATCCTTGGTTATACATTGACCATGATACTGTTTTCTGCCACACTGTGATTAAAATTTATTATTGATGGATCTAAAACCCATGACCTCAAACTTGTTAGTGTAGAGTACATTGTAAAAATACATTGACTACACTGGCCTTTGGAATGCTTCTAAGAATATATGTTAACTTTGTACCATAGTCTGTAGCTATACTTTAGCCTTTTTTTCTTTTCTTCTTCTTTTTTTTTTTTTTTTGGTGTATTCTTGAGAAATGATAATCCAAAGTAAACTGAATTTGTACTATTTGACACTCTATTCTAAGTGAGGAGTATGGATTTAAGACACAAATCATTAAGTACAGACTAAATTGTACTTTTCAATCTTTTAGATGATTAATTATTTTTCGAAATTCAAAAAATTTATTTTCTCTGTTTGGGCTATTTCATTCAAAGATTCTAAAACTATTCAGCGTAACTCATGCCTTTACTTATTTTTATCCTGAAAATATTAACTTGTTTTTCTCCTAGCTTCCGGTGAAGACAATTTTATCATTGTCAGCATTCTCTCAAGAAGTTTATGAAAGAAAAAGAGAATGATTTCCTCATGCGAGCCTGAAATGCCATGAGAAAGAACATTGCATTCTCATTCTGTGTAGTGCAGTTGTCCTAAAGTGGACTTTTTCATTCCATGTTATTTAGTCATCAAATGTTGCATCACTTTGTAAAAGGAAAACAATTTTTGAAAGTTATAGTGAAAAACCATGCTGGAATACATTTTTTTTTGTTTTACACACACACACACACACACACACACTCTCTCTCTCTCTCACACACACACACACACACACAAGAAAAAAAAAACAGTGTCAATTAGATAGTAGCCAACCTTAAAAAAATAGTCATACAGTTTATCTATCCATCAATAGATTCTTGTTTTTGGCTTCTTGGGCAGATAAAAAGTGAGGGGGAAACTTTTAATCTGTGTATGAGAGTAGTCCCAAAAGCAAAACTCTCAGGTATTAGTGGAATGATAAAATCTCAATAAGTTTAAATAAAGAGAGCAAACCTAAACATATATATATAGACAAATGTCAACTACGCCAAGTATATAGACAAGCGGATGTGAACTGATGTTAAATGGAAAAAAAAATGTACACACTTAGTTGCCACTATGTACAAGTGGTTTTATTACTTTGTATAAAAAGAGCATGAGTATTCCAGGAAATTCAGAAAATACAGGAAGAGCTCATTCATTATCTCAGTTTCCTCACACAGCTATTTTCTATTTTGGTGCATTCATTTCTTATTTTGTCCTTATGCATATGTATTTCTACAGTTGTACTCATAGCACATACATTTTGTGTTCTGATTTAGAGTTAATATCCCAACATAGATGGGCATTTTTGTGTGCTGATACAGTCCTCAGAGCTGTCATTTATAGAGGCTTTTAATAGTTCAGGGATTGGACATAGCATTTGTGTACAACTTAGGAAAAATCATTAAAAAGGAAAGAACGTAGACACAGATATTTAGTATACAGATATTTGTCTGTAAAGAATTTCGGTGGAAGTTCAAAATAAAGAATCAACTAAATACTGCAAAGAAGTGAAAATTAGTTTAAATGTTCAAGAAACATGGCATTTCTTGGATTTATAGTTCTCCCTCTTATTTTCATTTTGCCAGTCTTCCTCACTCCATTTAACTCTTTTGTGTTGTCTGCATAGCATAAGGGAAAATTGACTTGGAAAGATGAAGACACTGGGTCTGTTTTCCTTTTGATACTCCAAGAAAAGAAATATGTGTGTACTTTTAGTGATGATTAAGCTATATATTTACTAATTTTCTAATCATGTTACTATTTGATCTAGTAACTGGTATATGTAATAACTTAGTTAAGCATTTTTTTGTACCTACTATATGCTCCTGTATAGCTACTGTAGTGAACAGTCTCTTACTTTTTAGTTTGGAAAATTATTGAAAGAAATCAATGAAGATGAAAAATGTATTTGCTGGTATTATATAGAAAGAAATTAGTATTTGTTAATATGTGAATATTTAATAGGTATCAGATGCTTTTACATGTATTTTGCCATTTAACCCTCATTAAAGCCCCCTTTAAAAGGAAATATTCACTGCAATGTACACAGCAGGACAGATTCAGAAAGCTAAGTTGCATGTCAAAATCACAGAGCTAGTAATTATCAGAGTAGAGTTTCCAAGCCAGATATGTCTGACCTCATGCCAAGGGCACTGTTCCATGTGCTTCAAAATGTAATGTGGTATTCATATTTGCAGCAGTTTTAATGGCCTCAAAGAGTAGTAGTATAACTGAGGGTGGAGTGGGATGGCAAAAAAACCCTGGAATTATTGAGAGAGGGGTGTCCTGTCAGAGGAATGTGGGTTTCTTTTTTATTTTTAAAGATCTTTTTCTGAGCCATGTTGTGTTACTATTTACAGCTGCATCATGACCTAAAGGGCCTCTTATAAGCCTCCTTCTCAGATAAATTATCTTTCAGAACATTTTTCACACCCAGCCTCAGGAGACATGTAAATGCCTCTATGTAAAGTCTTTGGATAGAGAATGGTGATAGAGCTTCTTTTGCAGTTTATGAAGTTCTACTTGATATAACTATTATTCTCCAACACTATCGTGATATATAAATCATAATAATCACAGGATATTGAAATTTTAAGTTTTTTATCCCTTATGTAAGGCTCATGGAGGCAGTCTATAATAACAATAGTAGTAATAGCTAACATTTATTTGAATGCTTACTGTGGACAGGACCTATGCTTTGTGATATAATATGGGTTACCTCATTTCATTTTCTCAACAACTCCGTGGGGTAGGAGTTGGGATTTGAAAGGACCAATACAAAACATTCATATTTTCCCTAAGTTCTAAGCCAATTTAGAGGTAGAAACAGGAATTAAACAGATGAAGATCAAAATGCCACCCTAAAGGCTAATAATACTGATAGTTAAGGCACGAGGCTTAGGACAACTAGCCAAGTAGGGTTGCAATACTTTGCTCATGAAAAGGAGCCAAGTTGTAGTCACTGTCAGCTCTTAAACAACCACAGGCCTCCTTGCAAGGGCATCTTCCCCTATTTTACTTATAGCACAGAATTGCTGAGGAAGATAAGCTTCTCTACAAATAGGCAGATCCCACATGAAAAAAAAAAAGAGAAAGAGTGTGAGGTGAGTGTAGGCAATGATTTCTCCCAAGGAAACAGATAAGCAACCCCTCTTACAGCGAAAAGTGAGGAGAAGGAGAAGAGCCAGGAGTGTTAAATCTACTGGAGTCTCCACCCCACAGGATCATGGAAAAGGAGGTCTTTGTCCCCAGCTGTAGGTACTAAACATGCGGCTATCCTGCAGATAAGGAATGAGGCACTGAGACACTAAGTGACAGTTCACTATTAGTAAGTGGCAGAGAAGTCTAAATAAGGTCAGTCCATAAGTAAGAGGTAGAGTCAGGGCTGAACAAGCCAGGCTAGGACGGGCTCAGGCTCAGTTCAGGAACAAGGCAATGGAAAATTAAGATGGGAGGGCAGATGTGAAAGGGATTACAAAAAATAAGTGATAAGAGTTGGATTCACTTGTAATGAGAGTTGGGATAGAGTCAAAATGACTCAAAGCTTTTAGCATTTCTAGTTGGAAACAATGAGAGCATTAAGAAAACAGTGTTTCCAGGAGTGAATAGCCAGTGTTTTTGGACATGAGAGTTTGAGGTACCCTGCAGACTATTGGAAATTTGAGTCTGTAACTTGGGAGAAAGATCGGAAGCAGAGATGCAGATTTTATAGTTGTCCATTTAAATAAAGGTGATAGGTGGCTGAAACTAAGGGAATGCTTAAGTCTGAGCAGTGAAAGAGGAAGTTGGTTTCACAGATGAGTTTCATCTTTGAAATACACTAAAAGATTTGAGTTGGTAAACATCAGCAACTTGATCTAGTTTAAAGGCAAAGCCCAGCGTGAGCTCAGGACTTGACTTCACCTTTTTACCATAGCCCTAGAATGCTGCAAGGCAAGCTTACGGATCACACTGGTATGCAACACAGTTTTTGTTTCCCCCTGCAGGTTCACTGTCCATCCCACTTCCACCCTGTTCTCTGACCTGGGAGGCTGAAAACATTTATGGACTGCATCAGTTGGGCTCCCATTGGGTTCAATTACCTCTGAGACTTGGAATGCAGGAGTAGGTGTGGCTGATGTGTTTACCTCCTTGGTTCTTTCACTGTCAGATCCTGTGGACTGACTGCTTCCCTTCAACAGGGACTTTCTACGTCAACTCTCCAAGATTCTAGTAACTGCTCTCTCCCTCTGCCCCCTTAAGTCTAGAGGTGGTAATAGTTTCCCACTGTTACTAGACCCAAGGCACTCCACTTCCTTTATTAAGTTCTACTTGATGTAACTGTTATTCTCCAACACTATCATGATATAGTGTTGTTAGATATTATTAACACTGCTTATACCTTTATAAACAATGTCTTTATTGAAGTCTTCCCTTCCCAGTTCCTTAAATAATATACCCAGTAAACCAGAAAGAACTCATGTTCTCCAAGGCACAAGTCCTACTCTTAATAAACAGAGGGACTTCATCGGGGTGGGGGTGGGGGCGGGGGCAGGGCAGGGGCCGGTCTCAGAACTGGGAGGGAACAATAGACTTAGTACAGAGACTGTAAATCCATATGTACATATAATATTGTTGGTGGACAGAATATCTTACACAGTTACATGATTCTTCAAATGTGTAAGTGCCTTAGTGATTCATAAGAAAATTTATTTGAAAATTCATCAAATTTATTTTACTTATTGTCTTTATACAGATTCTTAACTAACAAATGGCTTATGGCTTATATTAAGAATATAACTATTGCTGTGTTTGGCTAAGGACATCTTTTTTTTTTTTTTTTTTTTTTTTTGAGACAGAGTTTTGCTCTTGTTGCCCAGGCTCAAGTGCAATGGCACAATCTCGGCTCAACGCAACCTCCTCCTCCTGGGTTCAAGTGATTCTCCTGCCTCAGCCTCCCGAGTAGCTGGGATTACAGACATGCACCACCACGCCCAGCTAATTTTGTATTTTTAGTAGAGATGGGGTTCCTCCATGTTGGTCAGGCTGGTCTTGAACTCTTGACCTCAAGTGATCCGCCCACCTCGGCCTCCCAAAGTGCTGGGATTACAGGCGTGAGCCACTGCGCCTGGGCTGGACATGTTTTTAAATGTACAGACTGTACTCACATGCAAAGAATCTGGGAATTACTTCCAAGGACTTTGTTAAAAGTTCATCAAACTTTCTTCGGTTCCAAACTAGAGGGAGGTGGAATGAACTGGTTTAACAATATCTATTTCTATCAGGATAGGAACAAAAACGACCATCCGTATCTTGAAGGAATTTTTGTAAAATCATTTCTAACTCATTTCACAGCAGAAATTCAAGCCCCCGTCTTACAAAAAAATAGTACACCACATTCTCAGCCTTGGCAACACCTTGTCCTTTGTGTGACCTGCTGTGGCTCAAGCAGTGAGCAGAGTCTACAGAACACAAAAATAAACATCTCTACAGGCCTGTGGAATGTGATGGCCAGCGTGATGTGGGGCAGACTGTGGGCCGAGTGCCAGGCCCTGTAGGTGAGCCCTCCTGCGGCCCACTTTGCAAAAGCAGAAAGAAGGGGCAAATCTGCCAGTGAATTTCTGTTTCCACCTTTGGCCTGGTCTGGGGTCAGGGCCTAGGTATGTGCCCAGAGAGATGTAGTCAGTTAGGGTTCTATGACCCCAGTGCTGGGAAGGCTGGTTATGGTGGATAAAAAGATCAAAGAAAGGGTTTCTTGTTACCATTCTTCAAGCTCCGTGTACCATTTCCCCATGTAATTTGAGAAATTATCCTGAACCAGAGAACTGGGAAGTTTGTTCAGTAACTGCTTATTGAGTCCCTGTTCTCTCCCAGGCATGATCCTAGGCACTGGAGATAGTGGGGAGTGGGAGCCTCCAGGGTCCCTCCTCTTAGGGATCTCACACTCTGAGTGCAGAACTATGTTCTTCTGCCTGCACTCCTACAAACACCAGTTCTCCGTAGTACTCCATGACATGAGGGGTTAATTTCTAGCTGACTGAAATAATGGACTCATTGCCCCTCCCATTTCAACAGCATGGCGGATGGCAGCGATTACAGAGTGAAGGAAATATCGTGGTATGGAGAGCAGCACTGTTCTCAATAATAGGCTCTCTGATGACGAACAAAAAGACTCTGTGAAATGCATCTCAAACTCCCAGGTTCTCCTTTACAGCCAAGATGCCTCCGATATAATCTGACTTAATGATGCCATACTCTGTAACAGAGTACAAAATTAGAATAAAAGAGTTATACAAGGCACTGAGTTAGACACAAAAATTTATTCATGGAACTACACAAGTATTGAGCACCGACTTTATGCCAGACACTACACCCAATGTTATACCAGAACCCTATTACTGCAGAAAATGTAGTTGGGGGCAAGCTTCTGGTTATGAATTGCACATTCAACCACTCAGAAGTAAGCATTTTTCTGATGTTGCCTAGAATCGGTGGCTCTGTGGATTAGGAACTGAAAGGGTGGGAAAGAATTTTGCTTTCTACTGTCTGCCTCGTATGTGAATCACGAGTTGTACCTTTTTCTTCCTTTCTGTAGACCAAATACCATATAAATCACTCTGCTGTTTATTCTAAGTCTTATGTAAAGTGTTCCTGTCCTCAAAGCATCACACACAATGTAGAGGCTTTGGCAGTTTCTTTAGCAAAGGTCAGTGTTTCAGTTTAGTGCCCAAAGGTCTCTGACAAACATCCAAAAATTTCTGGTTGAAGTCAGTAATTATTTACTCCCGTTACCAGGATTTGTTTGAGGACTAAGCAGAGAGAAGCAGAAAGGAAAAATAAGCACATCAAAAAAAGCAGTCTTAGTCTCTCTTCACCTAGAACATTATATATGTATTGTCTCATGGCACATGTGTAATGTCAGTAAACAATAAAAATAAATAAATCAATTTCCAGTTGAAGGCATCTCCAGGATCCAGAGGCTCTAAGTGGATGAAAACAATTGGGTGCTTGGGCCAGAGACTGTGCAAGCCTAAGCAGAGAGAGAGGGGTTTCTTAACTTCCCTCCCACGTTCAGTCCCTTTGGAACTCGAGTTTGCCCCTAGGATAGAAGTCTGTAAGGCTACCAGCTGGAACCCTTTGCTACACTGCTGTAAAGGCTGTGCAGAAAAAAATGTTGGAATTCTCTCATACTTGGAAAATTACCCTTTAATACACATGGTTTCCTCTCTGTTTCCTAGCCATAGGCCAGGATGTTAACTGGGGTGGGGTAGAGGCAGACATTTAATTCTTGTTAAGAGGGAGTAATAAAATGTGAAGTGATAGGGAGCCAATCTATCGTTTTCTGAATATCCACAAGAGGCTTACATTTAGCAACAACATTTAGCAAACACATGTCAGGCACTGTTTAGTTGCTGGGGACACAACATCCAACATGACAGTTATGGCTTCTACCAAGACGCAGCTTAAAGGCCAGGGAGAGGCAATGGTTTGCGGTGAATAAGAGCACAAGCTTTGAAATCAGACCTGAGGTAGAATCTTGGATAGAGCATTCCTTACTTTGTCTGTAAAATGGAGATTATAATACCTACGTCACAGGGTCAAGATGAAGATAACATGGAATAACATATATGTAGCAGTGAATTCAGAGCCTGGTGGATTCAGTGCCCCTAAATAGTAATAATCATTGTTACTGTTATTACTTTGTGGCTTATTCTGTGTTCCAAGAGTCAGACACTTGAGCTCTGAGTGCTGGCTGGTACCTCCGTGACATGAATGCCACACTCTGGTGTGCGCTGTTTAGAGAGAAGCTGGTTGTGTTAAATACTGTTCGTTTTCTAGTTATAATGGTTGATTTTCTTGCTTTGTGAAGATTAGACCTCTCTGATGAAGATAAAGTGCTTTCCATGTTTCTTTCAGCTGAATGGCCATTTAAAAACTAGTGACAGTTATTTACACTTTTATTTCTTATGACTTGAGGGGGTTCTCCCTGGTGAAGGCAGAACTTATTTCATTCATTTATTAGGCGTAGAGTAAGCTCTTATTCTGAACCAGGCAGTGTGTTTGGGTGCGTGTGTGTGCATGCATGTATTTTGTTTGGGTTTGGGTAAGGTGAGAGGAATTGGGGGAAGATGCAAAGGTGACTTGCTCTGGGAGTTAAACAGTCTAGTGGGAGACAGAGAGAAAGGTAAATAGATAACAAGAATGTATTTGATAAGTGCCAGGAAAGGCATACACAGAGATCTCCAAAAACCTGGAAGAGGGAGATGCCTGTTTTAAGGCATAGAAGCAGTGGAATCAGGAGTGATAGGTAATTCAGGTGGGGAAGTGTGGAAGAAAGGAATTTGAAGGTAAAATGAATAGCATGTAAAAAGATATAAAGCCTGAGTTTTTCAGTGAGTTGAAAGAAATTTATAGTATTATAGGATAGGTGGGTATGGTAGTGATGGGCTAGGAGTGAGGCTGATATTTGGCTAAGGAGATGATCATATTTATGGGCTGAACGTGGCTTCTGCTGAGGACTTCAAGGACCAGCCAATCCTCAGGCAAACAGATTATGGCTGAGGACACTGAGTTTCCATGATTAGAAATATTATCTGTGTGTTTCCCTCTTGCTTCTCTACAGAGACAGGAGTGAGTGTGTAGATCAAAGAGCTTCAAATGGGACACATTAAGGGTTACAAAGGTACCCTAAAAGAGTACCTCCCCACTGCAGAGGTAATAGTAGAGTTCATTTAGAAATCTTCTCTAGTGAGTTGCGGTAGGGTTGAAACTTACTCGTAAAACAATATAGATACGAAAAAAATTACAACTTGTTTGTTGCTATAATAAATGTAAACTTCTTCATAAGCCTCCATTTTAAATGAAGGCAAGAGTGGGGAGTTTATTTTGCTGCTTTTGTCCTCTCTAAAAAACCTTTGCCTATTCCCAAGTTATAAAGATTTTTTTCCCTCTGTTTTCTTCCATAAGTTGTATAGTTTTCTTTTACGTTTACATGTTCTATCTATAGGTTTGGTATAAATGGAGTGACAATAAGAGTCAAGATTCATTTTTCCCCATGTGAATAAATGTGTAGGTCTGTATCTGAACTTTCTATTCCGTTCCACTAATATAATGTGCCAATATCACACTGTTTTGATTACTCTGGTTTTAGAACAAGTCTTGAAATCAGTTAATGTAAGTCTTCAACCTTTGTTCTTTCTTTTAAAAATATTTTGGCTTTTCTAGGTCATTTGCAGTTCCATATAGATTTTAGAATCAGCTTGTCAGTTTCCATTAAAAAAAAAAAAAAGACTGCTGAGGCCAGGTGTAGTGACTTATGCCTGTAATCCCAGCACTTTGGGAGGCCGAAGCAGGAGAATCGCTTGAGCCCAAAAGTTTGAGACCAGCCTGAGAAACATAGTGAAACCTCATCTCTACAAAAAAATACAAAAATTGGTTAGATGTGGTGGTATGTGCCTGTAGTCCCAGCTGTTTGGGTTGCCGAGGTGGTAGAATCACTTGAGCCCAGGAGGTCAAACCTGCAGTGAGCCATGATAGCGCCACTGCACTCTGGCCCAGGTGACAGAGTGAGATCCTGTCTCAAGAAAATAATAAAAAAGAAAAAAATTTAAAAGAAAAAATACTGACCAGGCACGGTGGCTCACACCTGTAATCCTAGCACTCTGGGAGGCCAAGGCAGGTGGATCCCTTGAGGTCAGGAGTTCGAGACTAGCCTGGCCAACATAGTGAAATCCCATCGCTACTAAAAATACAAAAATTAGCTGGGCATGGTTGTGGGCACCTGGATTCCCAGCTACTCGAGAGGCTGAGGCAGGAGAATCACTTGAACCTAGGAGGTGGAGGTTATAGTGAGCCGAGATCGCCCCACTGCACTCCAGCCTGGGCAACACAGCAAGACTCCATCTCAAAAAAAAAAAAAAAAAAAAAAAGAAAGAAAAGAAAAGAAAAGAAAAAAGAAAGAAGTAATGCTGCTGGAATTTTGTTTGGGATTTCACTGAAACTATCAACTAACTTAAGTAGATATGACATCTTCCAAGTCTTCCAATCTGTGAACAGGGTATCTCTCTTTCTCTCTTTTTTAGGCCTTTGTAAATTTTTCTTATTGCTGTTTTATTATTACATTATTATTAATGTAAAAATAATGCACATGTTGTGTTGAATCTATTTCTTGGCATTTCATATTTTTTGAAGCTACTGTAAAGTGGTATTTAAAACTTTTTAATTTCTAATTATTCACTAATATAGAGAAATGCAATCAACTACAAAAGAAAAAATAATAAATTTCAATTCATCAAAATTAATGGCTTCTGCTCTTCAAAATACACCACTAATTAATGAATAGGTAAGCCACAGAGTGGGAGAAAATATTTCTAACACATATATCCACAAATAACTTGTATCTAGAATATATAAAGTATTCCTGTATCCCAATAATAAAAAACAGACCACCTAGTAAAATATAGGCATAATACTTGAATAGACACCTCACAAAAAAGATATATGAATTGTTAATAATTATATGAAAATTGGTTAATATAATTAGTCATTGGGGAAGTACAAATTAAAACTACAATGAGATACCATTTGATATCACTAGAATGACTGAAATTAATCACACCATAAATACCAAGTATTGCCAAAGTTGCGAAGCAATTGGAACTCTAATTTAGTACTGAAAATATCACACAACCACCTTTAAAAACAAGTTTGGCACCTCCTTCTAAAGTTAAAATACACATTTACCCTATGATTGAGCAATTTCTTTCCTAGGGGTTTACTCAAGAGAATGAAAACATATGACCACAAAAAGACTTGTACACTCATGTTCATAGAAGTTTTATTCATAATGTAAAACTGGAAACAGCTGTAACAATTATCAACAAACAAATGAATAAACTCATTGTAGTATATCCATAACACATAGTAATATTCAGCAATAAAAAGAATCAACTGTAGATACACACAACAAACTGAATGATTTCAAAACATTATCTTGAGTGAAAGAGGCCAGAAGCAAAATAATACATATTGTTTGATTCTATCTTTATGAAATTCTTGACAGAATTCTATCTTGACAGAAAGCAATCTATATTGACAACTAATTTATACTGACAGAAAGCAAATCAGTGGTATTCTGGTGCCAGGGTTGGTGAAGATTGACTGCAAGGGAGCATGAGGGAATGTCTGGGGATGATAAAAATGTTCTTTGTCTTGATTGTGGTGGTTGTAATTACATAAGTGATACATTTGTCAAAACTCTGAAATGTAGGCTTAAAATGGGCATGTTTTATTGTATGTAAGTTATACCTCAATTTAAAAATGTTTAACAGTCTTTGCAAATTTAGTATTTTTCATCTAAGATCAGCTTTCTTTGGATATTATTCAGCCAAATCTGAGGTTACTCTGATTATTAGGGTTGTTTCTCTCCTCTCTTGTGTTTATTCCTCCTTCTTCATGAGTGTGTCTGGTCTAGGGGAGAGCTCACGTGTCCGTGTCCTTGTGGTAGTGGTGGGGGAGGTGGTTAGCAAGCAGGCCCTCTGGTTGTTTTCTAAGTTCTCATTGGTCCATGCAGAGGTTTTCCTAGTATTGGTTACTGGGCATCCTGCTGGCCTCCTGAATGTGCATAGAAAGTGAAACTCATCTTGGTGCTCTCTAGGAGATGGCTTCTGTCCTCATTGTGTACTTTGCTGCTGGGAACTTATGGTTTGTATTCTCCATATGGCCAGGGCCTGGAGGAATTCCCAACCTTTCTTGTTGTAGTTCTTAAGGGTCAACTATGATTTCCATCTGGCTTAGCACTTTTGCCATGGAATCCCTCTTCCCTTTGCCATGGCCCTGGCTCTTATCTCACCTATCTTCCATGTCTCTATTGAGAACATGGGGGAATCCCCCCATCACTTCTGTGCCACCTAGGAGGTGAAGGACAGTCAGTGGGCACTCTGTTTCTCTCTGCTTAGACAGAGGGGACCCCTGAAGTTATGTCTTCCCACAGTTATACATGGGACAAATAGCACAGGCCTCCTTCTTGGCACTTCCCCCTCAGCTACCTAGGTTAAAGGGAAACTATCTCTTCACCATATCACATACCTGTCCTTGGTCAAGACTTAGGGAGTGGGAAACATAGTCCCTAAGAAACATGGGCAGCTCATCACCCTTCCTTTAAAATCCGTTTCCCTTTCCTCTCAGGGTAGGCTTCTACTTTCCCTTTCTGTGTGGTGGGAATGTCCCCTATAACACAATCCCATGATTCCTTGCCTGGGGATGCATTTATTCTGGATGGAGCTTATGTCTCATTCCCTACAGCAATAGGCTTCTTGACTTAGTCTTAATGACATAAGGGAATATTTAAAGGAACCTGGCTTACCAGAAAGGGGCAATACACCAGAAGATTTCTTAAAAAATATTACCTATAGTATAGGAATATTTCAGAAATGCCTAAAAAAAGGAGACTGGCAAATTTCATGATTCTTAAGCAATAACAAAGAGGAATTGTCTCTACCTTGAAAGAGTTATTATGTAAACAAAGAGTAAAGTTAATTAGAGTTTACTGAGAGTGCTTACCTATACCAGTTAACTTACATATTAGGGAAGATGTAGTTAGTAGTCATCTGGTTTAGAAGACAGATATCAGTAATTCAACATCCTGATTTTATTAATGAGGAAATAGCAGCAGGAAGGAAGTGATTCATACAGGGTCACTGGGACTCAGCCCAAATGCCCACCCTTGGTATTTTTCCATCATACTCTATCTCTTTTGTGGCTACAGACAAATTTATAAGGTGAGAATACAGCTAAAGGTGAAGGAAATAGAAGGAGTCAAGGAAGGAAAGAACAAGGGAAAGCCAATGTTGGGGGCCTTCCAAAACAAGTGGTTCTAGGAATACTCTTCCCTTTGTTCTAGTTGCTTACTGACTATAAGAAATTTGTAGGTGTTCTAGTGATAAAAGAAATATCTTCAGAAAACTTTACTGTGGGCAACATAAAAGAGTTGCCCCACAAATGGAGTGCTTTACTGCGAGTTTACTGAATGTTAGCAAGAATTTTTGCAAATGATTTTTCTAAAGTAAAGAGGATAAAGTGAAATTGAGAATATATCCCAACTTGCACTGTAAACAGTAATCTTAGAAGAACATCATCATGTAGTAATTCTTTCATCTCAGAAAATTTTTCCGAAGCTAGAATGGGATGCAGAATACTGTTCCATTTGATGAGTAAAATTCATCAGTCGTTGATGTCAAAATAATATGAATTGGAGGCTGATTAGTAAAATGAAGAGTTGCAAGATGGTAAATGCTTCCTTTGCTTATAGTTTTAGGCTGGGGTGCAGTGGCGTGATCTCAGCTCACTGCAACCTCTGTCTTCTGGGTTCAAGTGATTCTCATGCCTCAGCCCCCCAAGTAGCTGGGATTACGGCATGCACCACTACACTCAGCTAATTTTTGTATTTTTTATAGAAATGGGATTTCGCCATGTTGGCCAGGCTGGTCTCAAACTCCTGACCTCAAGTGATCCTCCCACCTTGGCCTCCAAAAGTGCTGGGATTACAGGTGTGAGTCATTGTGCCCGGCTGCAATACTATTAACTTAATAAAAGACCTGCCCATTATATTTGTCTCTTGTCAGGTGGGTTAATTATTTACAAGAATGCTCAGGTTAATGTTGTGGGAGAATTGCAGACTGCTTCAAAGTCTCCAGGAAACAAGGTTTGCCATGTCTAACCTGCACATTTCTTCTGAATATGTATAAATCTATTAAATGACCTGTTTTGAAAGAAACTCACATGCGTTGTTTTGTGAACAGCCATATAACCTTGTGATAACCTTGTCGGCTTCTCCCCCCTTCCTTTTGTCGTGGTCACTCACATGAATGGTGCTTAAGCGTTAGTATTGCTTGGACATCTTGTTGACAGAAACGCCAATAACAATTTTGAAATCTCAGAGCAGATGGACAAGTGCATCATCCAAAGTCAGCCAAAGCTACTTGCCTCCATTTACACTCACATGCAGTGTTGTCAGGGGAGTCCTTTCATTTCTCTGAGCTTCAGTTTCACCATTGAGAAAGAGAGAAAGATAGCATCTATCCCTGAGGATGGTGAGGATCGAGTGCGCTTATTCATGAGAAATTGTTAGTAATAGTATTGCATACAAATGCTTGCAGAGAGGCTCTTTCTCCCCACCCTGGTGTCCCATGAGGATGTTCCTTGTCCTGTGGTTTTACCCAGGTTGACTCTGTGACTTACAACAGACCTTTGTTCATCGTGCTATCACCACAGCCATCTTGGGATGATTATTTAAATTTTTTATTTGGATTTATACAATTGCATTTTTTGGATATCTTCTCAAATCAGTTCTTAACTTATTACATGTGGAAATGCCAAACAGAAGATGCTCACCTAAAACAAATGAAAAGGGAATCGTGAGTTTAGCAGCAGCAAAGTAAAAATTAATCATGCTTAATATTTTTGTAAAGAAACAGAACATTTTATTTTGCCAGGGGCTTGTTGCCTACAATGTGTCCTCTACTGAATAATCACCTCATTTTCAATGTGCCATATCAATAAATGATAGTTATTTTTAGTCCTTGAAAAACCATAAAAAAGAGACTTTTGTGCTCACCAAAGGAACAGACCTGAAATCTCTATTTAAGAAAATTACATGTAAAATGATATTTAACACAGTTTTGGAAATGAATAATAACTTAATCATACCAGCTCAATTATATTCCTTTTTACATATTCTTCCTACTCTTTGTGACAATTACAAACATACAACTTTTACATAAGCTTTACATAGCTTCCCTCACAAAGTAGATGAGCGTCTTTTTTTGGCTTTAATATTGCATCGTAATAGTTTTCCATATAACAATATTAGCTTCCTGTTTATAATTGTAATGAATTGCATACTCTTCTATTTGTTGAACATGTCATAATTCTCCAAACACTTCCCGGTTGTTAAACATTTAGGTTGTTTCTGTTTTATATATTATTGTTAATGCAGCTATTATTTTTTGCCTATAGTGGCTTCTCTTACATTGTTTTCTTAGGATAACCTCCCAGAAATAGAATTGCTATTGAAAGAATGTGGATACCTTTCTAATTCATGATCCATCACATTATGTTGCTTTTTAAAAGGGCTGTTGCACAGCTCTGGCTGTTTCAGTATTCTTTCACAGCATAGGGCGGCACTAATAAGGATGGTCCTTATGCCGGATGTTTATGGGTAGGTGGATTTATAGTCTTACACTGGAAAACAACTTAACCTTGGGGGTTATTTAAATGGAAAAGCCTAAGAAGAAGCTAGGACTATACCAAGGCAGGAGTTTCTAAGTTGTGCCTTTTTTTACTGGTACAACTGATTGTATCACATCATAACACTTGGCAGTTAATTGTGTCCAATTGGTGAGTTATTCCATTGTGTGTGTTTGTCACAGGTGTAGGTAGACTCTTGAATGCCGGTTCTATTGGAATTGAGAGAAAGAGAGGGTGCTAGGCATAAAACATACCATAAACATGACTCACGTGGCTGTTTAAGAAGCTTTGATTTATGTTAGCACAGTATGGGCAGAAGTTGAAAATCTTACTGCCCCAGGGGCCTGGCAGGTGAAGCACGCAGGAACTGCACACAAATGTGTGTGCAGTTTTACCCTATCAGGGTACTCTATCAGGGATAGGGTAAAGGGGAAGTGCAGGACTTGTCTGAAAGGGGACACTGCTGCTTGGCTCCATCTCATGGCTGCCACAAGGGAATGCAGCCCAGCATCTTTTTAGAGCTTGCAATTTTTCAGAAGAATCTGGAAATTTGGATAGTATCTGATATTTACAAGTGCCAACTAATGTAAACATTTACAAAACACTGTAGGCGTAATAAAATTGTCCTGAAGCCTGATTTGCTTGTTGCTGCTGGTTTGTGGGTGCTCTCATTTGACTATAAGTATGATTCTGTGAAGTAGGCAGAAGGTAATTTTTTGTACAAACAAGAAAGCTGAGGCTTAGAAATTATTGTTCAACAGTTCA
The DNA here is from genome assembly GCF_000001405.40 of Homo sapiens. Classification (NCBI taxonomy): domain Eukaryota; kingdom Metazoa; phylum Chordata; class Mammalia; order Primates; family Hominidae; genus Homo; species Homo sapiens. Next base: position 89,466,405 of record NC_000010.11, on the reverse strand, counting down.
TGAACTGTGCCTGTCCCACTAGGATGTGAGCCTCATGAAAGCAGGGCTATTGTCTCTTTTCTGCAATGCTCATAGCCCAGCTCCTAGAATAGTTTCTAGTGCATATTGGACACTCAATAAATATCTATTGAATTAATGAGTGATGAACAAATGAAAAGAGGTTAAATCACATGGCAAATAATATCTACATTTTTATGCCAGATATTCCTCATGTTTTATCTCACTTTGATATATACAACATTTTGTGAAAGTAAAATTATTACCTCCATTTTATGGATCAGTAAACTGAGGCTCAGAGACATAAAGTAATTTGCTTGAATTCATATAACTCTTAAGATGCAGAGTCAGAACCCAGATCTTCCATCTGGGTATTGGCTCATTAACTTTGTCCTCAAACTAGCTTCCTTCATGGTTAAGAAGTGGCTGCTATAGATCCAGGTATCACATCCAGAATCTACAGGAAGAAGAGGGGCTTGTTTCTTCCTCATGTCTTTTCTTAAGAACAGGGAAACATTTCCCAGAGGACTTCTCTCCATAGCTCATTGGCTGGATACTTCCCGTTCTGTGCCTCATCACTCACTGACATGGGAACGGGAGACCAATCCAAACCCATTCCCTAAACCAAGGGACTGGGCCCAGATGGCCACTGGAAAGAGCAGATAGAGTTGAATCCTAACAAAGCCAGGGTTATGATGGAATAGAGGAAGGGACGGACTACCAGCTCTGTCTTCTCCAGCAGGCTGTGTGTGAAAGCAAAAATACAGGTATGGTAGATCTTTTAAAATAAGAGTTTTTCCTTGAGTGTTTCATCTTGGGGAAGAAAGTAGATGACTGTTAAAGCTACTTATTCATGACACAAAGTTATATTTTGGAAAAACTTATTCTGAAGCTCCAGAGTGTTAAGGACACCTTTAGAGGGTTAGTTTTGCTCTGAAATTTCACAGCTGGTCAAGTCAGTGACCTACAAGAATGTTTCAGGGAAATACCAATGGTACCATTTAAAGAACTGCATTTATAGCTACGTCAGGCTGCAATTCACATCATCCTACTGGTGTGTCATCAGCAAGAATTATGTGTATAATTAGACAAAAACGTTTATGAATTTATACCAAGGAATAAGGAAATGTAGTAGAAGCAGTGCAGGGCATTGGTTAGGAAGACTGGCCTTGCAATCAGACCAAGGTTCATAGCCCATTTCTGCTGCTTCATTATCTAAAGGTATCTTTAATCTTGTAAGGATTAAATGAGATGCTGTCTGTAGTGATGCTTGCTAGCAGCTTGGCCTATGGCAAGTGTTTTGTAAATAGCAGCTCTATATCACTGTTATTTTCACTTAGCCCCAACACCAGTATTTTAACTATTAGTCAATCCTCAGGCCAGTGTTTAGCAATATTATCATTTCCAGTAATAACTTTTATTTTTTTCTTTATCAATAGGTTTAGTATTTATGCCAGTATTGGTCTCCCAATACTTTTGATAGATTTATAATTTCAGTTGTCCACGTAATCACCTTTGTCAGTCTCCCCAAAGTCACAGGATGGTTAACAGCATGAAGATGAAGACCTGAGGCTTCAAAAGGGGCAAACCTAAGTGATGTATGTGGGAATCATTCTTGTTGCCTTGGCCTCACTACCCCTGCTCTGTATGCACTCTCTGAAGTCACAAGCCACCAATTTGTTCCAGTGGCTTCAAAGATGCACACTTATAAATTTCTGTTGTGAGCCATTTTCTTGAGAAAGTTGTGGTCTTAAAGTAAATGTTTTTTATTAGACAATTTATTTTGCCCATAATTTACCAGGTGGTACATAGTCTTTGTTCATCAAATAATCCACACATTGTCATAGTTGAAATGACATTTCATTTAATTAATGTTAATATTTCGTCCAGTGATCACAATAAAATTATAAAAGCAACTGGGTAATTTGCTCAATTCTGTAGCAAAAGTAGATGTTGAAACTCTTATTTTTCCTCTCAAAAAATTCGTCCCTGACTGTAATTAAGAAGCCTGTTTGACAAGCCATGGAATGCCTTAAGAAGCACCTTATCTCACAGTTTCTGTGGGGCCAGAATCCAGAAATAGCTTAGCTGGGTCCTTGGCTAAGGGTATCACAAAGCTGCAGTCAGGGTGTCAGTGAGACTGTCCTTAACTGGAGGCTCAATTTAGGGGAAAATCTGCTTCCAGGCTCACTTGGGATGTTTGCGAAAAAGCAAAAAACAAAAGACCCTGAGATCTTCATGTTTCTTGCTGTCTGTTGGAGGCTGCCCTTGGCATCTACAGGCTGCCCATGGTTCCCTGCCAAATGGCTTTCTCCAGGTGTGCAGCATGGCAGTTTGCTTCTTCAAGGACAGTGGGAGAGTGAGAGTGGCTAGCAGGCCTGAGTCATATATAACGTGACATAATTACGAGAGTCAGGTTCCATCACAGGTGCCATATTCTGTTGGGTAGAAGCAAGTCACAGGTCCCTCCCACGCTCAAGGGAAGGGATTACATAAAGATATGAACAACCAGAGTCAGGACCATAGGGGTACCTTAGAGCCTGCCCACCACAGGGAGCTTTGTGTATTGTGACCACTACTGAATCCTTAGTGCCCTAAAACGGTGCCTGACACATGTTAGGGATTCAATAAATATTTAGAGTTGAATGAATGAATGAATGCAGATATTACTTCTTTGAAGTATGTATTGCTAATGTTTTTTTCCCCAAGCCTGTGGCTTACCTTTTGGTTTTGTTTATTAATCACATGTTTTAATACAGAAATGTTAAATTTTAATTTAGACAAATTAACGAAATTTTTTTTATCTTGGTTTGTTTTATTAGTTTACACCTCAGGGAGTTTTCCTATCTAGAGAACAGATAAATATTTGCCTATATTTTCACTTAGGTTTTTAACTACTTCTTTATTTTTTTACATTTATTGATTTATCTGGAAGGTCAACAGCTAAATGGAGAGTTGAACAGAATGTGGTGAATAATACTTTTTTTCTTCACTGATCTTTTTTTTACCTTATTTGGATTGTATTAAATATTATATACTAGCTTCTGGGCTCTCTACTTTGTCTCATTTATTTCTCATTCTATTCTTACTTCAATTACACACTTAAAAAATTACAGCATTTTAAAAAATGCCAAGAAGTTGCTGTCAGACTCATTCCGTATAATAATTAGTCTATGTTATAAGCTGTTGTAACAGCTTATATACAGAGACACAAATAAAATGGAAGCTTATTTATCTTTTGTGTAACAGTGTAGAGATGTGTAGAGTCCAGAGTAGGAGGGCAGGTCTCCCCAGAGTCATCTGGGGACCCAGGCTGCTTCTGTCTCGTACCTCTGCCAGCCCCTAGACTGATGTCCTGGTCTGTGTGGTTGAAGTCGTTTCATATCCACATCCATCTTCCAGTCTGTTGGAAGAGGGTGCTGGAAGTCCTCAAAAAGTACCTTTGCCTTTGAGTTGATGAACCAGAAGTGGCACACATGACTTCTGCTCACATCCCTTTCATGGAGACTACACTTTATTGCCACAACTACCTTCAAGAGAGGCTAGGGAAAAATGGTATCAAATAGAGTAGACATGCATTTGACTACAATTTGAGAGGTTCTATTTTATTTTTAAAAAAGAAAGCATGTACCAAGGACAACAAATAGTCTGCCCCAGTCTAGTATTCATAGTTACAAATACTCATATTTAATAGGAAAGTAATAATCATGTCTTACCAAGTGAAGAAAAATCAACCTTTGGACATAGCAATAAGATATAAATATGTCCTGATTTTTGGTTTTAGATGGCGAGTAACCCATGGGCCAGGTAGCGTTCTATGCCAACCTTGAATGCCATCAGGAAGTCACTGGACAGCAAACTCTTCCAAGATCATAACTTGGCTGTTGGAGCAACCTGGAAAAGAAGAAAAAAGAAAAACCATGGCAAAAGTAAATAGAGCTCGGTCTACCTCCCCTCCAGATGGAGGCTGGGGCTGGATGATTGTGGCTGGCTGTTTCCTTGTTACCATCTGCACACGGGCAGTCACAAGGTAGGTAGGATTTTCTTCTTAACTTATTAAGATGACCTGGCCTGTCTTTTCTTTTAAATCTGCTTCATTCTCTTTCTGAACCCATCATTGTGAAGATATGTGTGTGTTCATGTGGTGTGTGTGTATTTCCGTTGACTCTTCAGGTATCATTTTCTTTGCAAAGTATGTGATTCTCTGACACTTATGAGTCCCAGATAGTGGTCTTTTCATGTGGGGTGTGTATATTTCCGTTGACTGCTCAGGTATCGTTTCCTTTGCAAAGTATGTGATTCTCTGACACTTATGAGTCCCAGATAGTGATCTTTTCTATCATATCTGATATTTAAACCTGGAGTCTTAGGACATTTGTAGGCCAATGCTGTGACTATTCCAGCCATTCATTTTCATAAGCAGCTCCAGAAGATGTGGAAGGATGTAACATCTATTTCTTTTCACTCTTCATCTTCCACTCTTCAGTAATATGAAATACTTAAAACTCATCACATGTGAAATAGCATGGGAAATGTCCTACAGTATTTTCATAATGAAATCACTTTTCTGGGGATTTTAAAGGATTGGTAAATGCATACCTGAGAAGGTAAGTTAGCTTAAGCTGGCATAGCTCCAGGGGAGGGTAAGATCATTTCTACAAGTGTGTTTCTCCAGAATTTTTAACTGTCATCTTAATGATAAATCTAAATTAAGATAGATCTTATTCATTAAAGTTTTACAAAGCTAATAGGATGTGTGATCTATAATTCATAAATCAAGAAAAACACTATGGGCAAACTGATGGCAAGAGATCATAGTCATAATGGTGTGATGTGGCTTTAAGTCTAGGGATGAGGAAAAGGGGTACCAGGTGACAAGAGTATGATTATAAAGTTTACATTGGATGTGTGAATGTATCACACAGAGTTAATCTTACACAAGGTTAGGGTCTATATTCATCCCAGAAAGGATAAAACATGCAAGGCCAAAATAATCCTGGAAAATTTCTTGGCTCCCTAGGGCTCATTAAGCCCCTGGAAGCTTAAAACCTAGAATTTAAATTATTTTGCTTTATTTTGCATTTTGGCTGTTGTGGTGATGACTTCTAGGTTGAAGGAGAGCACAAACATAGATACAGGGATTCTCTCATTCTTGCCTGCTCTCTTCTCCCTCTTACTTTTCTCCAAAGTCAGTGTTGAATATGCCTAAGTTAGATGCACGTACATTAAGACTCATCCATCTCATTTATATTTGGAGTAAATATGCATTCGAAATCTACATATGTGAGCTCTTTCCTCTACAGGTGCTTTCATTCAAATAGAAATCTTTATTTCTCTCCTCTGGCAGCAGACCATTACAAGAAAGTAATTTGGACTAATTATTTGTTGGCATCATCAATACAGGCATCAGTGTCCCTCCCATAACAAAGATACAGTGCAGGATAGAATAAGATGTTTATCTTTGCTACAGTAACGGTTGGTTGATTGTGTATCATAATAAACTACAGATTTGTTCAAAATAATATAATTGATGCTGAGTGATTTTACACTGTTGGTGGGAATATAAATTAGTCCAACCATTGTGGAAGACAGTGTGGTGATTCCTCCCTGACCTAGAACCAGAAATACTATGAAGTGTGATTTTTTTTTTTTTTTTTTTTTTTTGAGACAGTGTCTCCCTCTGTTGCTCAGGCTGGAGTGCAATAGCATGATCTCCACTCACTGTAACCTCCGCCTCCCAGATTCAAGCGATTCTCCTGCCTCAGCCTCTGGAGTAGCTAGGATTACAGGGATACAAAATTTTGTACTGGGATACAAAAATTACGCCTGGCTAATTTTTGTATTTTTAGTAGAGATGGGGTTTCACCATGTTGGTCAGGCTGGTCTCGAACTCTTGACCTCAGGTGATCCACCCGCCTCAGCCTCCAAAGTGCTGGGATTACAGACGTGAGCCACTGTGCCCTGCCAAAGTATGATTCTTAAGAAGACCTCTGTAAGAGGAATTGGGAGACAATTATCCCTTTGGCATTGTGACTTCTCATCACTGATATGACAGCTCCCTGGACATTAAGAAGTCTAGATTATGAGTCTATAATATGAGTCTGTAAGACTCATCTATATTATGAGTCTTGTGTTCTGGGTTTGAGGAAGTCATGGAGTTAAAAGGAATCCCTATCCTTGGTCCTTCATATAGAAGCTTCCATCATTCCCATGATGAAAGAGTTCTGGAAGTGGGCACAATGCTTTAGAAGGAGGGATCATGCTGGAATCTTAGGGGTAGTTGAGTCTTCATGATGAAGTTGCACTTCTGTGGAATTGCCCATAGTGCTTTTAGATGAGATACTAAGATAAGTCTTCCAATCACATTGCCTCATGTGAGCCTTGTGATTTATTCACCCTCTATTTAATAGATTAGGACACTGATGCTCAGAAAGATTGACTTGTCTACATTTATTTTATTTTATTTTGAGACAGAGTTTCACTCTTATTGCCCAGGCGGAAGTGCAGTGGCGTGATCTCAGCTCACTGCAACCTCCGCCTCCCGGGTTCAAGTGATTCTCCTGTCTCAGCCTCCTGAATAGATGGGATTACAGGTGCGTGCCACCACACCCAGCTAATTTTTTGTATTTTTAATAGAGACGGGGTTTCACCATGTTGGCCAGGATGGTCTCAAACTCCTGACCTCAGGTGATCTGCCGCCTCAGCCTCTCCAAGTGCTAGGATTATAGGGGCGAGGCACCATGCCCGGCCTACATTTCTTTTTGTCTAGTAGGACAGAGCTGGACTAGAATTCTAGTTTGTTTGTTTGTTTGTTTGTTTGTCACTGTGCATACATTCATAATCCATTGACTCTTGAAACACACACACACATACACACACACACACACACACATAAACACAGAAACCGCTATGCCCTTTCCAATACATAACTAAATAGCTTCCTAAACTATTCTCATACACACACCACACTTCTACCTGCCCCTGCATACACACTACACACACACAAACATACACATACACACACAAACATGCAAACTCTGCAGCTTATCCTTTAGAACAATTGTGTATTATAAGACATGGGTTTTTTTTTTTAAAAAAACTGCCTTGGTTATGGGAGTCATTGTCTTAACATGGGCAACTTCTTAATATCCAGCGAGCTGTCATATCAGCGATGCGAAGTCATAGTATCAAGGGAATAAATGTCTCCAAATTACTCTTACACAGGCCCTCTTAAGAATCACACTTCAGACTAAGAAACCTAGGAACCAAGGAATTAATTATCTTTTCTTCTCATAAAATGTATATCTTAGTGCAAAATTCTTCCATAGGAAAAATTGCAGAGGAACAGGTATTCCTGAGTGCTCTTCAACTTTTCTCCTTACTTTTCACAGTGTTTTACTTTACTGTAAACTTCTTAGGCTTGCCCCTCCTCCGACATACCACAGACAAATAGGAAAAAGTTAAACACATCTTACTTGCACAATTTTTTTCCAGTAAGATCAAAAGTTAACTCAGGAGCCTAAAGTGGTTTGTTAACTCACCCCACATTGCAATTTATAGGAAGGGGATAATCCATCCTGATTTACCATCACCCCATGATTCTTTCTATGCTTTGAAATTCATGATTGGATGTATTTTAAGAACTTAAAAACTGTTCAAAAGTGTCAGGAGTAATCACTAATAATGCCTCTTTCCACCTTGTTCCCAACCAAATCGTAATTAAGTAAAGCTCTTCAGTATGTGAACAGTAAAGGCAATTTATTCTATCTGCTTAATGTGAAGCTGTATCTAAGTATGAATTTGATGATGAAGAATCGAAAGGCAAAATCAGTTCACTCCAGAAATACCTTCCGGTGGTAGAATGCCTGTCACTTGAGTCATTTCCTTAATTATAGTTGGTGCGCTTATGCCAAATCTTTCAATTGGATAACTAAGGGAGCTTAACTCTTAAGTCCTCTGTACACCAAAAAAGAAGTAAGTAGATAGCTCCAAAGTGCCTAATCCTGTTATTTTTCAGACAGGTAAATAGACCCAAAGGTCAAATTCTCATACTTCTGTCTGTGGAAGAACCATGAAGAGCATGAAACTCATAGATGCCCAATTTTGTGTTATCACTTGACCAGTCTAACATGTTTGACTGAAAACCCCTGCCTCGTTTGGCCAGAGGTATATGGGCTAACGCATATTGGATTCAATTGGCGATGATACTGGAGGAGATTCTACATAACAGCTACTTAGATTTGGCAGCACTATAAACAATTTTATCTTTATCAACAGTAAATGGATGCTGGTTCTTTAAAGAAGAAAAAATTTGCCAATCCCTCTGTCTGAAAAAGAACATCTATGTTATGCTCCTATCTACAAATAAATAAACAAACCGCCCAGGCAGAACCCAGGACATCCACACATGCTAACATCTTTCATTATTGATCCTCAGGGACACAATGGATGTTCTACAGAGTTTTCCAGGCCCTTCTCCATCTTTAGGATAACTCAGAACACCACAATCACAATCAGACTTGGGGTAAATATGTTTATACTGCTGCTCTCAGTTTCCACTAAACAAATTACAATAGCATTACAGTCTGAATATTTTTGAAAAAGTCACAGGGGGAGAGATCTTTGTTCCAAAAAGAAATAGTAGCTAAAGCAGGATGGAATAAAGGGTGCTTAGTTCAGAAAATTCTGGCTAATTCAGTGTTCTGTGTAAAATTAAGTACATGTGTTCTCTGCCTACAAAAAAAAATGTAACTGGTTGTACATAAAAATATTCAATAAAGATTATAAAAAAAAGAATCACACTTCATGGTATTTCTGGTTCTAGGTCTTTGAGGAATCACCGCACTGTCTTCTACAATGGTTGAACTAATCTATATTCCTGTGAATAGTGTAAAAGTGTTGCTATCTCTCTGCAGCCCTGCTAGCATCTGTTGTTTCTTGACTTTTTAATAATCACCATTCTGACTGGTGTGAGATTGTATCTCATTGGGGTTTTGATTTGCATTTTTCTAATGATCAGTGATGTTGAGCTTTTTTCATATGTTTGTTGGTTGCATAAATGTCTTCTTTTCAGAAGCATCTGTTCATGTCCTTTGCCCACTTTTTAATGGGGTTGTTTGTTTTTTTTCTTGTAAGTTTGTTTAAGTTCCTTGTAGATTCTGGATATTAGACCTTTGTCAGATGGATAGGTTGCAAAAATTTTTTCCCATTCTGTAGGTTGTCTGTTCACTCTGATGATAGTTTCTTTTGCTGTGCAGAAGCTCTTTAGTTTAATTAGATCCTATTTGTCAATTTTTGCATAGAAATACCATTTGACCCAGCAATCCCATTACGGGGTATATACCCAAAGGAATATAAATCATTCTATTATAATATAAAGATATATGCACACGTATGTTCAGTGCTGCCCTATTCACAATAGCAAAGACATGGAATCAACCCAAATGCCCATCAGTGATAGACTGGATAAAGAAAATGTGGTACATATATACCACTATGTATATACTATGCAGCCATAAAAAGGAATAAGATCATGTCCTTTGCAGGGACATGAATGGAGCTGGAAGCCATTAACCTCAGGAAGCTAACACAGGAACAGAAAACCAAACACTCTGTGTTCTCAATCATAAGTGGAAGCTGAACAATGAGAACACATGGACACAGGGAGGGGAGCAACACACACTGGGGCCTGTCGGGGTGGGGGAGTGGGAAGAGGGAGAGCATCAGGAAAAATAGCTAATGCATGCTGGGCTTAATACTTAGGTGATGGGTTGATAGGTGCAGCAAACCACCATGGCACACGTTTATCTATGTAACAAACCAGCACATCCTGCACAAGTAACCTAGAACTTAAAGTAAAATAAAATAAAATTTTAAAAAATGAAAAAAAAAGAATCATACTTCATGTGTAATTGCAGGCTATTCTGTTCATAAATTGGCCACTTGAGTTGGGTTGATACTTAAAAAGCAATGTTTGATTTAAATGTCCAAAACCCTGTCCCCCTCCAGGTCTGAGACCTATTTTTCTCTAAGTCTACTGGGTCCAAATTAACTTAGGTGCAATATATGTCTAGAATCCTATGGGATTGTAGAGTTCTTTTGAACTCTCTTAACAATAGTTGAATTCTTATAATAATTGCTAACTTTAACTGAGCACTTACATTGTGCATGTTGGCATTCTTCAAGCATTTTTTATGGATTAAATCATTTAATCCTCATAACACACAGCAGTTGAAGAACATGTCCAAGGTCCCATGGTTAGTAAGTGGCAGGACTTTTAGCCACTAGGCTGCAGTGCCCAGTAGATCAATTCTAGTATGCCAGATGTTGGCAGCACTCACTGTATAGGAGACAGAGAAAAATTTTACAGCAGAGTGGCAAGATTGAGACAGCAGTCATACTGGCCTCTGAGAGAAGGTATTTTTGAGAATGTCATTTCGTCACAGATGACACTTGGTGATACTTTGTTTCCACATTCTTATGAACAGAGCCTATGAACACTGAAAGTTGTTAGGAGTTGTTTGCTACTGCAGCATAATCCAGCCCATTCTGACTGATGCAGTCATGTTTACCAAAATGCTAATTTTAGAGATAAAGAAACTGAGGCCCTGAGGGATTAAGAAGCTTTATCAAAAACCTCAGTTACCTAGGGTGAGAACCAGGGATCAGGACCCTGCTTCACTGTAAAATATTCCAAAGAACAACCAAAATAATAAAAATAATTTCTGGAGTGAGATGCACACATGCTCCCAATAAAATTTCATTTATTTAATATCATGCCTGTGTTCAGAGGCATACATCATGAAACTACTACTCAAAAAGTTCTGTGGTGCTTTTCCCCTTTGAGAACAGATAAGTGATAAAATATTCTTCCCATATTTCATGAAAGTCACAATCATTCAGAAGCCTGTATGTGGTTATTAGAAAGTTTGCCTTTGTTAAGCCTGCTTACATGTTTAGACAAGAATTTCAGGTATTAATTTTGATTTCTGTATATCTAAAGTTTGATTCATATGACTGATTAAGTCATCTAAGAAAACCAGCAAGCAGAAATCAAAGTAACCTTTAAAAAAAGTGACAAGGGACAGACATGGTTACACTACTAAGTTCCCCAAAACAATTTAGTGAAAAAAAGAGATTATTATTTATAATTTGAAAATATCATCATCTGGGGGCCCTTTTCTCTTAGACATCATGTGATCCTCTTACATCTCCAGCTTCTGCATCTCCCTCTTGTGGATTTGTTTTCTCAGCTTGTAACACTCATTTTCTTCACATCCCTACTTTACCTCACCTAACCACATGTTCCTATATAGCTACCATCCAGTCTTCCTCCTTCTTCCCTTTCTCATTCATAGTTCTTGAAGTTGCTACTCAATCATTTTCACTTCCTTGTCTTCTAGTCACTTCCTCTACCAACTTTAATCCTTCCTCCTTTCCTTCCTTCCTGGCTTGCTTCCCTTGAAAAGTGTTTTATGAACACCAAGTATATGACAGGTACTATACTAGATATTTGGGATTCAGTGTGAGATAAGACAGACATGGTCTTTTCTGTCACAGGGTAACAGTCTAGTGAAGAATATAAACAAATGCAAAGGAAATTGCCACACAGTGTGATAAATGTCCAGCATGTAGTTGAAACACGTAAGAGTGGAATCAAGAGAGACTTGAGTGGTCAGGGAAACCTTCCTGGAGGAAGGTTATCTTGAGACTAAAGAATGTGGGAGGTTGGGAGAGCATGCTAGAAAAGAAAAAAAAAAGTGAAGGCTCAAAGATATTAAAAAAAAAATCATGGGTGATGTGTTAAAAGAGGCAAGCAGAAGTTCAGTATTGCTGAAGTGAAGAGCCCAACAGATGCGCAGAAAGGAGGCACACTAAGAAGGGCTAGCTCATGCAGTCTCCTAAGTCAGGTTAAAAAGTATGAAGCATTAGGATCTGATTGGTGTTCTAGAACATTGGGTGTAGAATGTACTGAAGGTAGCCTGGTGTGAATTCAGGAAGATTAGGAGGGTTTTGGCTGCAGTACCAGAGAAAGGTGCTGGTGTGAATGATGAATGGTAAGGGGGTTAGAGATATTAATATGTTGAGGAATTTGAGGGATATATATGAGATAGTGACTTATGCCTATAATCCCAGCACTTTGGGAGGCTGAGACGAGAGGATTACTTGTGCCCAGGAGTTGGAGACCAGCCTGGGTAACATAGGAAGACCTTGTCTCTAGCTGGACATGATGGTGCACTCCTGTGGTTCCAGCTATTGGAGAGGCTGAGGTAGGGGGTAGGCGAATCGCTTGAGCCCGGGAGGTCAAGGCTGCAGTGATCACACCACTGCACACACACTGCACTCCAGCCTGGGCAACAGAGCTGAGACAAATGAAGGAAGGGAGGGAGCGAGGGAGGGAGGCAATAAAAGTAAAAAGGTTAAAGAGAGAGAGAGAGAGAATAAGTAGAACTTGGCAATTGAGTAGGTCAGTGGTTCTCGGGCAGACTGATTTTGGTCTCCAGGGTGCATTTAGCAATGTTTGGAGACATTTTGGGTAGAAGCCAGGGATGCTGCTAACCATCCTACAGTGTGCAAGAAAGCCCCCCACAACAAATAATTACCTGGCCCAAAATGTCAATAGTGCTTCCACTGAGAAGCCTTCGGGTAAGGATAACTAGACTACAGTCATGTGTTGCTTAATGACGGGGACGTGTTCTGAGAAATATATCATTAAGCAATTTCATTGTCATGTGAACATCATAGAGTGTACTCACACAAGCCTAGAAAGTAGCGCGTACTGCACACCTAGGCTATGTCGTATAACCTATTGCTCCTAAGCTACAAACCGGTACAGCATGTTACTGTATACTGAATACTGTAGACAATTGTAACACAATGGTAAGTGCTTGTGTATATAAACATAGAAAAGGTACAGTAAAAATATGATATTATAATCTTATGAAGTCACCATTGTCTATGTAGTCTATTGTTGATCAAAATGTCATTATGTGGTACATGTCTGAATTTTATAATGAGGGTAAATCCAATAAATCATTATTCACTTAAATTGAAGTCCTAGTGGTTAGGAGAAAATAATAAACTTTTTAGTATTAGACTAGCAATTTTTAAAATGTTAAGAAACATCATAAGGTTTTTGTTGTTGTTTGCACTGAATTAAAGCTAGTTTGACTGTTGCAGTTAATCAATGCCAGGCAGTTTATGTTACCATTCTCTCTGTCGTTGGGTGTGACTGTTTAGTACTCCAAGTTCTGATATAATTATTAATCTAGCGTCAGATCTGCTGCAGCATGTCTGGTTTCTTAAATCACTGGATAGAGAAGGACCACTTTTTATACCCCTTTGACAGAGAATTACATAGAGCATTCGTGTGGCATACAAGAATGGGACTGCGGTGAACACAGAGATGTGCCACTCATTTGGCCTTAGCTGCAGGGTGTACAGTCAGCAGAGCCTGCAGCTGTCAGTTCTTAGGTCCCCCTCACCTGCAGAAAGCTGCGTCTCCCAAGAGCAGACCCCTGGGCGTAGAGGGGGCACCCACCGCCAATGGCTGATTGAGGACGTGCATCAGGGCTGAACCATTTCATTTGGGATTGACTGAGAATTTGTTAGGCCTGCATTGCAGTTCGACCTCTCTGCCTAATCCTGCATCCTTCCCTTTCCTTCTACAAGTGTTGATCCTTACTGTATGCCCTGCATGCCAAACTTCATCCCACCTTCTGCTGGGACTTAGAATTTAGCTCACCACACTGTTCCATTTTTTCTTTCCTACCACAAGGATCAACAACAAAATTATAGGGCCCAGTGCAAAATGAAAATACAGGGCCCCTTGCTCAAAAAGCAGGGGAAAATGCTGTTAAATGTACTAAAATAGAAAGCTTCTTCCTTTCTTCAGTGGTCTCTTTAAATTTTTCATGATGTTTAAATTTGCTATTTAATGTTATTCTAAGTAAAGAAAATGAGAGTGTGAAATAATTAGAATGAATTGACCACACATTTTTATGTTATGCAATGTCAGCTTTAAATGCAAATATGAGTCTTGAACTCATATATGGAATCACTGAAGTCAAGCAACTCTTATTTTATAGCTCATACATACATACATATTTCATTTTCCATCAGAACAGTAGAAACCCTGCACAAAACTAACTCAACTGTTTTTATTTGACTTCCTGAAACTTGCACATCCTATCGACATTCTCCTACCTTCAGCTTATTGATGAGTCAGGAAGGACTGAAAGGGAATGGAAATATGGGTTGGCTGATCTTTCCATTTCCTTCTATGCCATCACCCTCAACATTAGTGGTTTGTTAATACAAGGAAGTGATATGAATGAAAAAGGATATGATAGAAATCCTTGGTCCTTTGTGATTCTTATAACACCACTGCCTTCTTTCTGCATTTGAAGCAGGTTTTGGTTCAAAAGGAAAGCATAGCCTCTTGGGGCTGGTAGACACTTCATTCCCTATCCCCAGGCCTGCTAAGCTGTAGATGTAACACACTTACCTCATACTGGCTTTGAGTCCTAACTGAACTCTCTCAAATCGTGGGCCTAGCAGAACACTGTGCTTATGGGACATCTCTAACACTATGTGTGAATGGTGCATCACAGAACTGCAGAAACACATATTGCACGTATCTCCGCCACTCACATGAAGTCTCCATTGTTCCATTGCACTGCACTTATGAAACAGAAATTCAAACATAAAATTATTAAGCTTGTAATCCCAGCACTTTGGGAGGCCGAGGTGGGCAGATCACCTGAGGTCAGGAGTTCGAGACCAGCCTGACTAATATGATGAAACCCTGTCTCTACTAAAAATACAAAAATTAGCCGGGCATGGTGGCGGGCGCCTGTAATCCCAGCTACTCGGGAGGCTGAGACAGGATAATTGCTTGAACCTGGGAGGCGGAGGTTGCAGTGACCCGAGATTGCATCATTGCACTCCAGCCTGGGCAACAGGAGTAAAACTCTGTTTCAAAAAAAAAAAGTTCAGTCAGTGACAGCCAAGCATTAAATCAAGTTTCATGCTTCTAAGTGCCAGGCTCTATGTGACTGTGTAGGCTGCACTCCCATGAAGCCGGCCCTGCCTAACATGGCAGTCTTGTTTATACCTGGTTCTCTCCCTTCTTCTCCAAGCTCTTCACCACCTACTTTCACACCCAGCAGCAACTGGGGAGGAGAGGGAGAGTGAACATAACAGGTTACTATGGATTGTTAAAGCACAATTAATTGGAACTTAGCTCCAAAGAGATTAATAACCTCTTATCTCATCCCCAAGCCACAGGCCTGATTTCTTCCCTACTGTTATCACCGGGCTATAAAAGCTTCCTGCCTGAATGAGGACGCCATGCTAATCCATATAAGGCTTTTCCAAGTTGCACAGTGATGCAAACTATTGCTTCTGGTTCACATGTCTTTCTCTAAGTAATTAACTATTTTTCAATATAAATATTTCTTTCTCTTTCTCTGCACATACACACATACACACACATATATACACATTTCTGGTTACATAAGAAATCATGTTTATTGTAAAGTAATTGAAAATGCTCTATAAAGATTAAAATAATTATTTCTAATCTCACCATTTACATATAATGATTAGGTACATTTTAGTGTATAAGCTTTCAGGAAATTTTCTTTTTTTTATTATACTTTAAGTTCTAGGGTACATGTGCACAACATGCAGGTTTGTTACATATGTATACATGTGCCATGTTGGTTTGCTACACCCATTAACTCATCATTTACATTAGGTATTTCTCCTAATGCTGTCCCTCCCCCATCCCCTGACCCCACGACAGGCCCCAGTGTGTGCCGTTCCCTGCCCTGTGTCCAAGTGTTCTCATTGTTCAAGTTCCACTTATGAGTGAGAACATGCAGTGTTTGGTTTTCTGTCCTTGCGATAGTTTGCTCAGAATGGTTTCCAGCTTCATCCATGTCCCTACAAACGACATGAACTCATCCTTTTTTATGGCTGCATAGTATTCCATGGTGTATATGTGCCACATTTTCTTAATCCAGTCTATCATTGATGGACATTTGGCTTGGTTCCAAGTCTTTCCTATTGTGAATAGTGCCACATTAAACATACGTGCACATGTGTCTTTATAGTAGCATCATTTATAATCCTTTGGGTATATACCCAGTAACAGGATCACTGGGTCAAATGGTATTTCTAATTCTAGATCCTTGAGGAATCACCACACTGTCTTCCACAATACTTGAACTAGTTCACACTCCCACCAACAGTGTAAAAGAGTTCCTATTTCTCCACATCCTCTCCAGCACCTGTTGTTTCCTGACTTTTTAATGATGGCCATTCTAACTGGTGTGAGATGGTATCTCATTGTGGTTTTGATTTGCATTTCTCTGATGGCCAGTGATGATGAGCATTTTTTCATGTGTCTGTTGGCTGCATAAATGTTTTCTTTTGAAAAGTGTCTCTTCATATCCTTTGCCACCTTTTTGATGGGGTTGTTTGATTTTTTTCTTGTAAATTTGTTGAAGTTCTTTGTAGATTCTGGATATTAGCCGTTTGTCAGATGACTGGATTGCAAAAATTTTCTCACATTCTGCAGGTTGCCTGTTCACTCTGATGGTAGTTTCTTTTGCTGTGCAGAAGCTCTTTAGTTTAATTAGATTCCATTTGTCAATTTTGGCTTTTGTTGCCATTGCTTTTGGTGTTTTAGTCATGAAGTCCTTGCCCATGCCTATGTCCTGAATGGTATTGCCTAGGTTTTCTTCTAGGGTTTTTATGGTTTTAGGTCTAACATTTAAGTCTTGAATCTATCTTGAATTAATTTTTGTATAAGGTATAAGGAAGGGATCCAGTTTCAGCTTTCTACATATGGCTAGCCAGTTTTCCCAGTACCATTTATTAAATAGAGAATCCTTTCTCCATTTGTTATTTTTGTCAGGTTTGTTAAAGATCAGATGGTCTTAGATGTGTGGTGTCATTTCTGAGGCCTCTGTTCTGTTCCATTTGTCAATATCTCTGTTTTGGTACCAGTACCATGCTGCTTTGGTTACTGTAGCCTTGTAGTACAGCTTGAAGTCAGGTAGCATGATGCCTCCAGCTTTGTTCTTTTGAGTTAGGATTGTCTTGGCAATGCAGGCAGTTTTTTGGTTCCATATGAACTTTAAAGTAGTTTTTTCCAATTCTGTGAAGAAAGTCATTGGTAGCTTGATGGAAATAGCATTGAATCTATAAATTACTTCAGGCAGTATGGCCATTTTCAAGTTATTGATTCTTTCTATCCACGAGCATGGAATGTTATTCCATTTGTTTGTGTCCTCTTTTATTTCGTTGAGCAGTGGTTTGTAGTTTTCCCTGAAGAGGTCCTTCACATCCCTTATAAGTTGGATTCCTAGGTATTTTATTCTCTCTGTAGCAATTGTGAATCGGAGTTCACTCATAATTTGGCTCTCTGTTTGTCTGTTATTAGTGTATAGGAATGCTTGTGATTTTTGCACATTGATTTTGTATCCTGAGACTTTGCTGAAGTTGCTTATCAGCTTAAGGAGCTTTTGGGCTGAGACGATGGGGTTTTCTAAATATACAATCATGTCATCTGCAAACAGGGACAATTTGACTTCCTCTTTTCCTAATTGAATAACGTTTATTTCTTTCTCCTGCCTGATTGCCCTGGCCAGAACGTCCAACACTATGTTAAATAGGAGTGGTGAGAGAGGGCGTCCCTGTCTTGTGCCAGTTTTCAAAGGGAATGCTTCCAGTCTTTGCCCATTCAGAATGATATTGGCTGTGGGTTTATCATAAATAGCTCTTATTATTTTGAGATACATTCCATCAATACCTAGTTTATTGAGAGTTTTTAGCATGAAGGGATGTTGAATTTTGTCAAAGGCCTTTTCTACATCTATTGAGATAATCATGTGGTTTTTGTCTTGGGTCCTGTTTATATGGTGGATTATATTTATTGATTTGCGTATGTAGAACCAGCCTTGCATCCCAGGGATGAAGCCAACTTGATCTTGGTGGATAAGTTTTTTGATGGATTTGGTTTGCCAGTATTTTATTGAGGATTTTTGCATCAATGTTCATCAGGGATATTGGTCTAAAGATCCCTTTTTGTGTGTGTGTGTGTTTTTGCCAGACTTTGATATCAGAATGATGCTCACCTCATAAAATGAGTTAGGGGGGATTCCCTGTTATTCTCCTGATTGGAATAGTTTCAGAAGGAATGGTACCAGCTCCTCTTCGCACCTCTGATAGAATTCGGCTGTGAATCCTTCTGGTCCTGGACTTTTTTTGGTTGGTAGGCTATTAATTATTGCCTCAATTTCAGAGCCTGTTATTGGTCTATTCAGGGATTCAGCTTCGTCCTGGTTTAGTCTGGGGAGTATGTGTCCAGGAATTTATCCATTTCTTCTAGATTTTCTAGTTTATTTGCATAGAGGTGTTTATAGTATTCTCTGATGGTAGTTTGTATTTCTGTGGGATTGGTGGTGATTTCCCCTTTGTCATTTTTTATCGCATCTATTTGATTTGATTCTTCTCTCTTTTCTTCTTCATTAGTCTTGCTAGTGATCTATCTATTTGTTGATCTTTTCAAAAAACCAGCTCCTGAATTCATTGATTTTTTGGAAGGGGTTTTCTTGTCTCTGTCTCCTTCAGTTCTGCTCTGATTTTAGTTATTTCTTGCCTTCTGCTAGCTTTTAAATTTGTTTGCTCTTGCTTCTCTAGTTCTTTTAATTGTGATGTTAGGGTGTCGATTTTAAATCTCTCCTGCTTTCTCTTGTGGGCATTTAGTGGTATAAATTTCCCTCTACACACTTCTTTAAATGTGTCCCAGACATTCTGGTACATTGTGTCTTTGTTCTCACTGGTTTCAAAGAACATCTTTATTTCTGCCTACATTTCGTTATTTACCCAGTAGTCATACAGGAGCAGGTTGTTCAGTTTCCATGTAGTTGAGTGGTTTTGAGTGAGTTTCTTAATCCTGAGTTCTAATTTGATTGCACTGTAGTCTGAGAGAGAGTTTATTGTGATTTCTGTTCTTTTACATTTGCTAAGGAGTGGTTTACTTCCAACTATGTGGTGAATTTTGGAATAAGTGTGATGTGGTACTGAGAAGAATGTATATTCTGTTGATTTGGGGTGGAGAGTTCTGTAGATGTCTGTTAGGTCTGCTTGGTGCAGAGCTGAATTCAAGTCCTGGATATCCTTGTTAACCTTCTGTCTCGTTGATCTGTCTCATATTGACAGTGGGGCGTTAGTCTCCCATTATTATTGTGTGGGAGTCTAAGTCTCTTTGTAGGTCTCTAAGTCCTTGCTTTATGAATTTGGGTGCTCCTGTATTGGGTGCGTATATATTTAGGATAGTTAGCTCTTCTTGTTGAATCGATCCCTTTACCATTATGTAATGGCCTTCTTTGTCTCTTTTGATCTTTGTTGGTTTAAAGTCTGTTTTATCAGAGACTAGGATTGCAACCCCTGCTTTTTTTTTGCTTTCCATTTGCTTGGTAGATCTTCCTCCATCCCTTTATTTTGAGCCTATGTGTGTCTCTGCACATGAGATGGGTTTCCTGAATACAGCATACTGATGGCTCTTGACTCTTTATCCAATTGGCTAGTCTGTGTCTTTTAATTGGGGTATTTAGCCCATTTACATTTAAGGTTAATATGTTGTATGTGAATTTGATCCTGTCATTACAATGTTAGCTGGTTATTTTGCCCATTAGTTGATGCAGTTTCTTCCTAGCATCGATGGTCTTTACAATTTGGCATGTTTTTGCAGTGGCTGGTACCGATTGTTCCTTTCCACGTTTAGTGCTTCCTTCAGGAGCTCTTGTAAGGTAGGCTTGGTGGTGACAAAATCTCTCAGCATTTGCTTGTGTGTGAAAGATTTTATTTCTCCTTCACTTATGAAGCTTAGTTTGGCCAGATATGAAATTCTGGGTTGAAAATTCTTTTTCTTTAAGAATGTTGAATATTGGCCCCCACTCTCTTCTGGCTTGCAGGGTTTCTGCAAAGAGATCTGCTGTTAGTCTGATGGGCTTCCCTTTGTGGGTAACCCGACCTTTCTCTCTGACTGCCCTTAACATTTTTTCCTTCATTTCAACATTGGTGAATCTGATAATTATGTGTCTTGGGGTTGCTCTTCTCAAGGAGTATCTTTGTGTTGTTCTCTGTATTTCCTGAATTTGAATGTTGGCCTGCCTCACTAGATTGGGGAAGTTCTCCTGGATAATATCCTGAAGAGTGTTTTCCAGCTTGGTTCCATTCTCCCTGTCACTTTGAGGGACGCCAATCAAATGTAGATTTGGTCTTTTCACATAGTCCCATATTTCTTGGAGGCTTTGTTCATTTCTTTTTATTCTTTTTTCTCTAAACTTCTCTTCTCATTTCATTTCATTAATTTGATCTTCAATCACTGATACCCTTTCTTCCACTTGATCAAATCGGCTACTGAAGCTTGTGTATGCGTCACGTAGTTCTCATACCATGGTTTTCAGCTCCATCAGGTCATTTAAGGTCTTCTCTATGCTGTTTATTCTAATTAGCCATTCCTCTAATCGTTTTTCAAGGTTTTTAGCTTCCTTGTGATGGGTTCGAACATCCTCCTTTAGCTCGGAGAAGTTTGTTAGTACTGACCTTCTGAAGCCTACTTCTGTCAACTTGTCAAAGTCATTATCCGTCCAGCTTTGTTCTGTCGCCGGTGAGGAGCTGTGATCCTTTGGAGGAGAAGAAGTGCTCCAGTTTTTAGAATTTTCAGCTTTTCTGCTCTGGTTTCTCCCCATCTTTGTGGTTTTATCTACCTTTGGTCTTTGATGTTAGTGACCTACAGATGGGGTTTCGGTGTGGATGTCCTTTTTGTTGACGTTGATGTTATTCGTTTCTGTTTGTTAGTTTTCCTTCTAACAGTCAGGTCCCTCAGCTGCAGGTCTGTTGGAGTTTGCTGGAGGTCCACTCCAGACCCTGTTTGCCTGGTATCACCGGCAGAGGCTGCAGAACAGCAAATATTGCAGAACAGCAAATATTGCTGCCTGATCCTTCCTCTGGAAGCTTTGTCTGAGAGGGGCACCTGGCTGTATGAGGTGTCAGTTGGCCCCTACGGGGAGGTGTCTCCCAGTTAGGCTACACGGGGGTCAGGGACCCACTTGAGGAGGCAGTCTGTCCATTCTCAGAGCTCAAACACTGTGATGGAAGAACCACTGCTCTCTTCAGAGCTGTCAGACCGGGACATTTAAGTCTGCAGAAGTTTCTGCTCCCTTTTGTTCAGCTATGCCCTCCCCCAGAGGTGAAGTCTGGTTGAGCTGCAGTGGGCTCCACCCAGTTTGAGCTTCCTGGCCACTTTGTTTACCTACTCAAGCCTCAGCAATGGCAGATGCCCCTCCCGCAGCCGGGCTGCCGCCTCACAGTTTGATCTCGGACTGCTGCGCTAGCAGTGAGCAAGGCTCCATGGGCGTAGGGCTTGCTGAGCTAGGCACAGGATAAAATCTCCTGGTGTGCCATTTGCTAAGACCATTGGAAAAGCATAGTATTTAGGTGGCAGTGCCCCAATTTTCCCAGTACAGTATGTCATAGCTTCCCTTAGCTAGGAAAGGGAAATCCCCTTGTGCTTCCTGGGTGAGGCAATGCCCCACCCTGCTTCGGCTCCCCCTCCATGGGCTACACCCACTGTCCAACGAGTCCCAGTGAGATGAACCAGGTACCTCAGTTGGAAATGCAGAAATCACCTGTCTTCTGCATCAATCACGCTGGGAGCTGCAGACCAGAGCTGTTCCTATTCGGCCATCCAGGAAATTTTCTATTTACATAAACTGTTTTTACAAAAATAAGTTCCTACTATATGAACTGTTTGGTAACTAACTTATTTTTTACTTAACATTATATTGCAAATTTATTTCCAAATCAATATATACAGATCAACATCATCATTTTTAAGACTTACTATTTTATTTTATTGATATGCCATAATTTATTTAGCCACTCCTTTATTGATGAACAGTTACATTGGTTATGATATTTGGCTATTCTCCAGAATATATCCTCTTATATATCTATTATTATTATATCCCTCAGAATATATCCTTTTATATACACATATATATAATTTTATAGACTAAATTAGTTCTCCAGAATATATCCTTTTATCTATCTATCATCAATATCACCTGATTATTTCCTTTATATAAATCCTAGAGGTGACATTGCTGGTGATATATAATTCTTTATTGTCAAATCTTAATTTGTATAATAACCTCTCAGAAGAAGTTAGCAAAATACAAAAATAAATAAGAATCCATGTTCCTGACCTGCTTTTGTTTCCATAAAACCTTCCTTAGAGCAGTAGTTTTCACATCTACTTGGCTTTAGTAGCCCCTGTGGTGGTTGAACACTTGTTCTTCTTGTTATCCAGCATGGCCCAAATGGTCAGCTTCTGATTTCCCACTTATTATGGTCTAGCAATTAAAACCCTTGGAAACAGGAGCAGCTAATTGAACCAAACATTTTAAGTTCTGGCTCAAATGCATGCTCATTCATTTTTTGTATAAAATGCCTGCATTGTATTTTTCAGATGTATCTCAATTTTTTTTGTGGAGTTCCAGACATACTTCACTCAGGATTACGCACAAACGGCATGGATCCATTCCATTGTAGATTGTGTGACCATGCTCTGTGGTGAGTATTACTTACTAGGATAGGGAATTACTGGCCACTCTTGAACTGTATATGACAATGACATTCCACTGACTTTGATTACTAGTTTTCCTAAGTAGAAGGGCTACATTAAAAACTGGCTAGGACTATATAATATAAAGAAAAGATCAATCCTATCTTCAGCCAAAGCCAACCAGACTTGCTCTTGTAATTAATGGTCTTGGCTGATGTCAGGTAGAACAGTTAGATAATACACTCAAAAGAACACGTAAGATTTGGTTCTTCCATATAGAGATAGGACGCTGAGCATTCTAGAACACGTCCTGATTTTGGAAGCAATTTATAGTATATGCTTGGCTTCTCTCTTCCAAATGCTATGGCCTTCTCATTCTCAAGTTGTGTAAATAGTTATTGATAGTACCATGAGCCATTTTTACATAGTCATAAGTGCCAACAGTGTTGTATCACATCTCAAGTCTTGGATTGCATTCTGTTCCTCCCCCAGGGCTTGACATTTGGCTCATGGATTTCATCTTTTTCATATATAAATCTTCATGCTTAGAGAAGTATTGGGGAAGGATAGGATTATGTCGTCATGAGATAAACATATTCATTATGGGTGTAATTTCATTCAAGGAACTCCGAAAGTGTTATATAAGGTATGTAGGGTGTTCTAGAAATGTATGGAATTAACATTCCATCTGTGTAGTAGAGGACAACAAACCTGGCATTTGTTTAAAATAAATTTCAAACTCACGTTATTAAATTGATGTCTTAGAGAGTTTCTAAGATTAAATCAAATTGTTTGTAGCTTAGACCCACTTAATCCATTCATTTCAATGAGTTCTGAGTATTTTCGGAAATTTTCATCTCTTCAAGCCATGTCTTAGTGGCAAAAGGGAAATAATACCTGTATTCAGTAACTCATAATAACCATTTTATTCCATTCTAGGCACTGACTCATATTTCTTTTTGGAAAAAAAATTCATTTACTCATGAATCAGTTAAATTGTACTGAAATGTATAATATTTGTTTGGTTGGGAGGAAGTTGAGAGCAGTTCTAAGACTAAAAGCAGGTTTCATGAGAAGGCTAAATCAACTCAACTCTTTCAACTAAGAAGAAGGTCTTAAGGGATCAAAAAATCATATATTCGAGTTATAGAGCTTGTCTTTTTTTTGAAACCACTTGATTTTCAGGGTCACATTATTAGTCACAGCATTTGCATCAGCACACCAAAGAAGCCATGTTTGTCTTCTCAGAGGATAAAAGTGACTAATTTCCCTCATTTCTATCTTTTGGAGGATATTCATAATCCCCCAAATAGGAGGAAATGACCTTAGGTGACCAATATGGTCACACAGTCAATATGGTTCACACAGTCAAGCTTTGAGTAGGGTTATGTCAGAAGCAACATATTTAAATTCTATGCAAGACCAAGAGGCCTGTTGTACACAATTACCATATACCTACCTGCTCACCTTGTAACATAATATTAGAACATTAAAGTTCAGAG
Source organism: Homo sapiens (assembly GCF_000001405.40). Taxonomy (NCBI): domain Eukaryota; kingdom Metazoa; phylum Chordata; class Mammalia; order Primates; family Hominidae; genus Homo; species Homo sapiens. The sequence continues at coordinate 89,442,261 of NC_000010.11, read as the reverse complement.
TATGGATGAGAGTCTGCAGAATCACATGTGGGACACCCACTGGGAACAGATCTGCTCTGTGATGAACAGAGAAGGTAACAGTTGACCCCCAATTTCAGTCTGATCAATACAAAAATGATCATACTCTTCAGACACCTGGAAAATCAGGTCTTCTGATCTTGCTACTAAGAGTTACTGATGTCAGCATGAATTTTTCCTTAGAAGGAAATTCACATGCCTTCCTCACCCATCACTCCTGCCATTAGTCTGAGAGACCCAAAGAGTAAGGGCGTGAAATAACCTCACACTCGGTGTTAGGTGCTCTTGTTGGTGACCTTGGGCCATGCCATATACCCCTGAACTTCAGTTCCATTTTGGTCTCTGGTTTTACTTAATATTCTATGAGCCTTGAGGCCAACATAATTCTGATACACTGGTAAGCCACAAACCAAGTGAGACCAACCAGAATGTCACCATGGGCATGAAGCATTTTTCTTAGATTTTCTGGGCTTTGATATCTCAACCACAGGGTGTGCTGAAGCCTGAAAACTGGGCCAGATTGTGGAATTTGTCTATGATCTCTCTCCCTGGTCTTTTACTGCATAACCCTGCTGGTCACATGGTGTTATCCACTTTCTTTCTCCAGCAATTAACTGTCACCATTATTGCTAATGATATATGATCAACACTATAGTAAGCATCCCTGTGCAAATGACATGTAATTTAGAGAAAGTTGATCCACTGTTTAAAAAACACCCTACCGTCCTGCCATTATGACTATAATAGAATGAAGAGGATTGAGCCCTGAAATGCAGGTCAGGAGACTTGAGTTCTATTCCAACCCTGCTGCTTATTATCTGTGGGACCATGGACAATCACTTCCTTTCTCTGGGCCTCAGTTTCCAAAGCTGCAGAATTAATAGGGTGGGCTCAATGCTTTAAAGGTTCTCTCCTCTGTCAATGCCACATCACAGCCTTTCACAGTGCCCTCAAGGCCTTTCTGTTGAACCTATTTCTTATTGTTTTTGAAGCTCCACTTGGGAGTGTTGTCAGTAACCATTTATCCTGTCAAGTGGGAATCATGCTGGGTGGCTTGCTTGCATCTACTGGACTCATCCTGAGCTCATTTGCCACGAGTCTGAAGCATCTCTACCTCACTCTGGGAGTTCTTACAGGTAAGGGCACTTTGTACCACCTGTCTCACCCCACTCCATTCAGGGGTTTCCAAGCACATCAACAGAGAAGTAATTCATAAAATATTCATTTTGTTAGATGCATAATTTAGTTGACCTAGCTTATGTCTACCTACCTAGCAGTTAAACAGAGCTGGAAATGAGATTACATTACCCTAATGAAAATGCATCTCCACTGTAATTCAGCCAGATGGTAAAAGCAACTGCAGCTTTCTCCTTGGAATTAGTGTATGACTGAGATTCTGTACTCAGAAGAAACAAGATATTACCCAGGGCAACATGAATTTTCAGCAATGGTCATTCTTCCAGCCATTGCCAAGACATTAAAATACTATTGACGGTCAATCTGAGTTGCTCCTGCTTTATAATGAATATTGCTGTCCAATAAATGGGAGTTTCTAATTTTAAAAAACCCTTTATTGTGAATATTCTTATATTACACATTCTTTCTCAATGCTGTGGAAGTATCACTTTAGCAAATCATAATAAATGCCATGGAAAAAAGCAACATGTACATTCAATAAATCACTCTTACAGAGACTGCATAGGATTGTGGGACTGCAATGGGAGTTTGCCTATCACTCAAAGGGGTGTGGAGAGTAGCGCCAACTCCTGTCTGGGCATTGTGCCATTGGTGTGGCGTGAATAAGGTCAATAAAGGACGTAACCTCATAGTGAGGCTATAAATTTGGCTATGTTAGCTAAAGAAGGTACACCCACCCCTAGTAACCCAAAGACCCTGACTGCTGCTATGGTGACCAATGGATCCCAGTTTACCAGGCACTGTCCTGGTTTTAACACTGGAAGTCCCACATCCAGAAACCCCTCAGTCCAGGCAACTCTGGGTTGCTGGCTACTGTGCACTGCAGTTGGAAGCAGGAGCTTCTGAAGGTGGTTCTCTTTTTCCTTCTCTGACATTCTAGTTGCCATAAAATCCAGGCTCACAGCCCCTCAGATTTTCTTCACTTAAAAAGTAATAGAAATTGATCTTTTTTTTTTTTTTTTTTTTTTTTTTTGAGACAGGGTCTATCTGGCTCGGTCCTCAGGCTGGAGTGCAGTGGCGCAATCTCAGCTGCAACCTCTGTCTCCTGGGCTCAAGCCATCCTCCCCCTTCAGCCTCCTGAGTAGCTAAGACTACAGGTGCATGCCACCACACCTGGTTAATTTTTGTATTTTTTTTTGCAGAGATGGGGTTTTGCCATATTGCCCAGGCTGGTCTCAAACTCCTGAGCTCGAGTGATCTGCCTGCCTCAGCATCCCAAAGTGCTGGGATTACAGGCATGAGCCACTGCACCCAGCCCAAAAGTTGAAGGTCTCTAAAAACTTTCTAAAGTGTCAACATTTGTCTGCTGACCTTAAGAGATATTTTCACATATATGAAAATATACATTGCTATGTTCACATATAAAATTGGCATGATGTTTCCCAACTATGTAAAATTACCCTGGAATTTTCATAGTTGTACATGCTATTTGAATCCAAATTCCAGAGTGGTGCAGATTGTCAGTGTTGTGTCTTCATAGGCAGTGAAGCGTTTAGGGAATTGTCTGGATAATTTAAGTTAAAAAATGGAGGAAGTGATAAGTTTCTTTGGTTGGCATTATCCAGATTTTCTAGTGAATTCCAATTTAGTTTGTGTAATTATTTTTATGTTCTTCATTTAATTTTGTTTATGAAGTCATATTTCCTTAAGGGTGTTCTCCCTAAAAAGAAAGTCATATATATTCTACATTTTCCAAATTGTGAATGACTGGTGAGGGGAGACTCATTTTAAGCTTGGTGTAAAAAGCAGCTTTAAAAGGGTTTAATGAGAGGTCAGATTCTCTTTAATATAAATCATTGTATTCTGAGATATCATTGGCTGTTTATGGTACTTCAGCACTCATAGAGTTCTCTTTATCCTCAGGTCTTGGATTTGCACTTTGTTACTCTCCAGCTATTGCCATGGTTGGCAAGTACTTCAGCAGACGGAAAGCCCTTGCTTATGGTATCGCCATGTCAGGAAGTGGCATTGGCACCTTCATCCTGGCTCCTGTGGTTCAGCTCCTTATTGAACAGTTTTCCTGGCGGGGAGCCTTACTCATTCTTGGGGGCTTTGTCTTGAATCTCTGTGTATGTGGTGCCTTGATGAGGCCAATTACTCTTAAAGAGGACCACACAACTCCAGAGCAGAACCATGTGTGTAGAACTCAGAAAGAAGACATTAAGCGGGTGTCTCCCTATTCATCTTTGACCAAAGAATGGGCACAGACTTGCCTCTGTTGCTGTTTGCAGCAAGAGTACAGTTTTTTACTCATGTCAGACTTTGTTGTGTTAGCCGTCTCCGTTCTGTTTATGGCTTATGGCTGCAGCCCTCTCTTTGTGTACTTGGTGCCTTATGCTTTGAGTGTTGGAGTGAGTCATCAGCAAGCTGCTTTTCTTATGTCCATACTTGGAGTGATTGACATTATTGGCAATATCACATTTGGATGGCTGACCGACAGAAGGTAAAATTCATGAAACCACAATTGGTTCCCCACCAGGGGACTTTAAGCCTTGAGTTTCTCCTCAGCCCCTTACCCTGTGGAGTACCTAGGTCTGAATAATGTTAACAAGTCTGCAGTATCTGAAGGCATCTCCCTTGCTGGTACTTCTAGATCAGAGGTTGGCAAAATTTTCTGTAAAGGAACAGATAGTAAACATTTTTGGCTTTGTAGGCCAAGTGTTCATCATAACTACCCAACTCTGCTATTATAGTACAAAACAGCCACAGACAATATGTAAACAAAAGAGAGTGGCTACGTTCCAATAAGACTTTATGCACACTGAAATGTGAATTTCTCTTATAATTTTCATGTGTCACAAAATATTGTTCTTTTGATTTTTTCCAACCATTTTTAAACGGAAAAACCGTTCTTAATTCACAGGTAGTACAAAAAGATGTCATGGGCCAGATGTGTCTAAATTGCAGAAGCCTAGGGTAACTACAAGTTCTGGCGGTAGATTTAATTCCATCCCAAGACAAGTCAGTCCTCAAGCAAGACAACTTTTGGCTGGGTGTGGTGGTGTTAGTTTCTTTTGAACCAGTCCTGACTGGCAATGGAAAAAGGAGCAGAATTCAGTTTAGGCAGGAGGGCCAGGTGCAATGATAACACATTGTCTGTAGCCACATATTCATGTTTGACAATGCAAATTGCAAGTAATTTCCTTGTAATTGCAGGCTTAGAAACCAAAGTTATAAGAAATCTACCAAGTAATTTCTTCAGCAAATGCTCATCTGTTTGGACTGAAGAGTGCAGGCTACTCATATTCTCCTAAATGATGAACCATTCACACTTGAGATATGACCTGCAGGGCTAATACCATCATGTAGCTTCTCACAAATTATGTTTTTGGTAATTAATCAGGATCCAACTGCCATTCTCCAGTGTTATGAATATGATATTTAGTATTGATTCCACATTTTTAATGGTTAAAGAAGAAGTGGAAGAGCAAAGATTACCTATTTTCACAATCAAATAACTCAGCAAGAAGCAGCCAGGTGTAGGTCTAATGGAGGCATCTCTACTCTGAGGCATACTAGACCTAAGTTCTTGCACTGGCTTTGCTCCTTATTAACCCTGTGACCTACAGAAAGTCACCTAACCCTCAGATCCACAATGATCTCTATCTGTAAAATGAGCCAGTGCAATATTTGCCTGTTGACCTTATACTATTTTGTGATGTTCAAATGAGGCTGTGAGTAGAAAAATGTTTGTAAAGCATAAGCTGTTGGAGCTGACATTATACAGATTCTTTGAAATTATTGGTATCATAAATGGGTTTGGAGTTATCAGGAAAATTAATGGGAATACCACTTGGGAGATCTTGAAATATATTAGACTTCATCCTAGTCCAAGACCTCCATCATCTCTGGCAAATCATTTTAATGTCTTTGTATTACAGTTTCCCCTTTGTGTAACCACTTGGGTTATTGAGTATTTATGATCTATGACATGCCAGATACCAATGGATAACATACCTAAAAGTATCTAATAAGGTAGACTGCTAGGAAAATTACCCTTCTGATCCTTTACATCAAGCTTGTCCAACCTGTGGCACATGGGCTGCCTGTGGCCTGGGATGGCTTTGAATGTGGTCCAACACAAATTTGTAAACTTTCTTACAACATTTTGAGATTTATGCACTCTTTCTTTTTCTTTCTTTCTTTCTTTCTTTCTTTCTTTCTTTCTTTCTTTCTTTTTCTTTATTTCTTTCTTTTCTTTCTTTCTCCTTATTTCCTTCCTTCCTTCCTTCCTTCCTTCCTCCTTTCCTTTCCTTTCTTTCTTTTTTTCATCAGCTATCATTAGTGTTAGTTTATTTTATGTGTGGCCCAAGACAATTCTTCTTCTTCCAATGTGGCCCAGGGAAGCCAAAAGATTGGAGACCCCATTTTACATTTTATTTCTATTTTATTTCACGACTAATTTCAGAGTAACCCTGTGAGATAAGTAACCTTTCCATTTTATAGCTAAAGAAATTGAGTTAGGCAGGCAGTGGGTGGCAGGACTAGTTTTAATATTCTACCTTTCTAATTTTGAAGTATATATTCTTTCTACCACACCATGCTTCCTGGAGAGATGAATTCTTGCATTTGCAAAAAAGAAAGATAGGAAGACAGCATACATAACACACAATGGGAAAGCCATCTCTGTAAATAACTGCAATGCTTACTGCTGCATAGCCGTGGCTCTAAAGCTCTTTTACAGAATGTGTACCTCCTGCACTTATTCTTGTTCTTCAAATCTACAGGTGTCTGAAGAATTACCAGTATGTTTGCTACCTCTTTGCCGTGGGAATGGATGGGCTCTGCTATCTCTGCCTCCCAATGCTTCAAAGTCTCCCTCTGCTCGTGCCTTTCTCTTGTACCTTTGGCTACTTTGATGGTGCCTATGTGACTTTGATCCCAGTAGTGACCACAGAGATAGTGGGGACCACCTCTTTGTCATCAGCGCTTGGTGTGGTATACTTCCTTCACGCAGTGCCATACTTGGTGAGCCCACCCATCGCAGGTAAGTTTCCAGAGAGAAACCCCAACCACCTTTTCTCTTTGGCATATTGATGTGAAAACAGCAAACCCACATGCAGTCAATGAGAAGGACTGTCAAGAGAGTTGGGGAAGAGTGAAAGAGAAAAGGGATATAAGAGCCCCCAAAACCATCATGGTCCCACCTACATCCTTGTTTTATAATCTTCTTCCAACCAAGTAAGAACCTTAGCCTACCTGGAAAGAGTAAGTCCCAAATTAGGGTCTTGATTCCTTTCCATATTAATGATGGGAGCAGGGGGATGGAGCAGTTGTTCAGCCTTATAAATAAGTAGGGTGCATTCAGAGGGAAGTCTCAGGGGAGAACAGGATTCCAACAGGGGGCAGTGGGTGATGAGGCTGAAATTATAAACGCCAGTGTCATAGTGGAGTGTTTTGGGTGCCAGACAGAGGAACTGGGCTCTATTCTTCAGAGACTGTGGATAGTATTAAAGTTTTTATGTAAAAGGATAATATGGTAAAGTATATATGTTAGAAAATGTGATCTAGCAATTGATCTAGTAACTTAGGAGAGAGGTAGCTAAGATTCCATTCTAATAGTTTAGGAGGCAGCTGATAAACGCCTGAGCTAGGGCTGCTGCAGCAGAAATAAAGATGAGCTCTGGGGGCAAGGAAGAAGTTTTCAAAACAAAATTCAGCAGAATTTAGCATACAGAGGTGAATGAGAGAAAGAAGTCAAGGATGACTTAGAAAATAATGTCATGGTTGAGAAAATAAGGAAATTCGAGAAAGTGGCTTTGCCTGAAAAATAATGAATATGGTTTTTAGATATGTTGAGATTTCTGAAATATACAGGTAAAAATGCTCAATAGAGCTGTTTAAAGATGAAATATGAGCTTTAGTGGATGGCCTGGTTTATATATAGATTTGGGAATCATCATATAAAGCACATAGAATGTTTTATAAACTCTAAAATGCTATAGAGTGAAGCATGATTAAACAATTTGACAAATATTTATTGTATGCATTAAACAAGTAATTCAACAAATACATATTGCATGTGTAACTAGCATTGTGTTTATCATGCTGGAGAGACAGGAGTAAACAGGTCAGAAGCTGTTTCTCCTTCCTAAAGCATGTGGTCTACACCACCTGCATCAGAGTCTCCTAGGGACCTTGTTAAAAATGCAGATTCCTTGACACTCCCACCTGTGATCTGAATGTTGAGGATGAGTTCCAGAAATCTGCATTTTCAACCAGCTTTGTTGTGATGCTCATGCGAGGTAAATATTGAGAATGACTGTTCCATATTATTATCTGCCTAAATTAAAACTGAGAGAGTGAACAAGTTCTCTGAAGACAGGCAAAAGAGAAATAACCCAAAACTTTGCCTAGAAAGAAGGCAGGAATTTTTTTGAGGAAGGCAGAGTTTCTGCTATTAGCTATTATTGTGAATAGACAGTTTCAGGCTATTTCCAAATCCAGCAATTGGGGTGGAATAAAAACAGCAAACTAGGGGAAATTGTGGCCGCTTGAGTGGTGCAGATGACAAAACCCTGTTCAGTTTGAACTCCATGATACAGATCTTTATGTTTAATGCTCCATTTTTGAAAACTGCCCCCAAAATATTCCCACATCCTCCTTTCATAGCTTATTTTAGTGCTCACCAACCTTTAGAAACAGTGTCATTCTATCAAAGGTCACAGGACACAAATGAAATTGGGATTCAGTTCGTGGCCTTCATTGGCAAATCAGACATGATACTCATTACTGGAAATTCGAGGATTAATTCTTATTGTATCATTTTCTTATTTATTTACCTTTCAAATGACAACTGTGTACTCAGTCTTTTTTGTTTGGTGCTATAGAATTGCACAAGTAAATCAAACAATAACTAAAATATTTGAGAGCAGTTTAAATTCAGGAAATTTTGTGGGGCTTATAACAACTTCTACATGCTATTTTTGACGAATGGATCTGAAGTGGGTAAGAGAAGAAATCATATACTTCTCTGGTGGGTTTTCTTGGCAGATAAGGAAAGTTTGAAGGAATTTAAAAAAACCTTTGTTAATTATAAAATAATTGCCTGACGAAGTATAATGTTATTCCACTGGTTTTCTGTCATTGTGGACCCTATTTTGCATATCATATGCCCGGTTTTCCTCAAAATTTAGAGCTGAGATAGATATTGAGATTAATTTGTTGCAACAAGAGATAAAGAAAAAAAAGCTAGTTTGCATTTGCAACTGCTAAAATAGCTGAAAGTTCTGATTTTCAAACTGGATAGAGTACAATGACTGAATCCAGTTGAAAATGTGATACTGCTTTGAAGCATGTCATGTTACTCAAAACAGTGTATGGGTGCTGTGAATACTACTGGCATTTTGTACAAATATGTTCTCTTAACACCCTAGGTAAATTATTCCAACCTTAATAATTTAAATGATGCTATTTTTATCTTTTTACCAGATTTCATGGGGTTAATAGTAACTAATATTTACGTTGTGACTACTAAGTACATGATGCTTTTCCAAGCACTTTACAGAACAACAATCAATTCACTCTAGAAGTTTTCCTGGAAAACAGAATGTATTTTTCAGTTGCTGCACAATATTTTTAGGTGACCTCTTTTTGTTTCAAAGTTACAATTGGTGGTGCTATCGATCTATTATTATCCTTACAAATCATTAGAATTTGAGAGTGGGTAAGCAATTGAATTTTCAACTCAAAAATAAAATTTTGCTGTTGTTTGTTACAGGACGGCTGGTAGATACCACCGGCAGCTACACTGCAGCATTCCTCCTCTGTGGATTTTCAATGATATTTAGTTCTGTGTTGCTTGGCTTTGCTAGACTTATAAAGAGAATGAGAAAAACCCAGTTGCAGTTCATTGCCAAAGAATCTGATCCTAAGCTGCAGCTATGGACCAATGGATCAGTGGCTTATTCTGTGGCAAGAGAATTAGATCAGAAACATGGGGAGCCTGTGGCTACAGCAGTGCCTGGCTACAGCCTCACATGACCAAAGGCCTTGAGCCCCAGAATCTTCAGGTTTGAGAGAGGTGGGGCCACCAGATTCTTCATGTTTCTGAAACTTTTTATTTTGGCAGAAGGATTGCCTTCCAAGGAAATTATTATTATTGTTTTGTTAACATATTAATATTTATAAGGGAAAACAGCACATAATAAGGAAAGCTGGACTAGCCCAGAGCCTTCTCATTTGGGATTTGTGCTCATAACTGAACTCGTATCTTTTGGTCAATGGGCATAGCTCTGTAAGAAATGTAAGGACACAGCTGATATAATTAGCTGTAATTAGGGATAATTTCAAAGCATAACCAAAGCAGATGACACTGGGCAGCAGCTTTGTTCCAGTCTCAGGCCCTTCATGTTCCCTCCTCAGAAAGAAAATGGAAACATTAACGTGTAGCTTTGCTTACCTTGTTCTGGTTAGAGAAGGGAGGTCAGCTTGGGTGTGGTGGTGAAGAGTGAAGATGCCATACTTTTTCATGGTGGAGTTTCTCATTAGGGTTTTACTTGGGATTGTTAAAGAATACTTGAGATTCTTCAAAAAGTGGTGATTAATATAGAAAGAAACTCTTATTTTTTTTTTCTCTTAGTCTTCCAGCCAGCCCTTGCCTCTGCCCAAGGGTAGACACCACTATGAGAATCCAAATAATCATGGAATGCCATGGTTGGAATAGATCTTAAAGGGCATCTGGTAAGATCCATTTGAAATTGTCCACTGGAAACCGAAAGCTCTTTTCCTAAGACTGGGTTCCAGGCTCTCACATTTGTTACCATCACATATAATACTTACTCTAAATTTAGCAGAACACACTTAGTCACAAGGACAACCTCTCAATCTTACCTGAAATGTCAACAACACCAAAACTTCCCGTCTTTTACCTTCAGAGAAGAAGCTCTTACTTAGACTGCAGACGCATTCCTGTTAGGTTGGAAAAATGTTGGCAGTATTCCAATTGGGCAGGAACTGAATTCTTGAATCAGCAGGTCTCTGGTGAGAGTTTTCTTTGCAGATCAGACATTTAGTTTTATCATTACCCAAAAGAGGATTGGAGGGAGTCAGTTGTCTGAAAAATATTATCCTAGAGATATTCTAAAGGTGAGATTCCTTTCTCCCTGTGTTAATTCTTGTTCCACTATCCACTGCTCTTCATCTCTTTATAGATAATAATTAGAAATCTACTCATTGGATTATAAGTTTATTCATTCTCAAATACTCCACTTTTCTATGGTTTGGGATAATTTCTGAGTCTTCAGATTGAAGAGGGAAGGCATGGAGGGAAGAAAAAGTCCAGATCCCCCAGCTTGTTTCCAACCATTTTAAGTCCAAAGAATTATAATCCTGAATCTCACAGTGTGTCACACCTGTAATAGGAGTAAATTATGCAATCAATTTTAATTACCAGGAGTTTAAAATCCAAATGTCAAGGAACTGTTTTGACCCTGAAGGCTATTTAATCCACTGTCCCCTACAAGGCCTCACAAGTGCTGGGGGAAAAAAAACAGCAATGAGGATGATCCTGAGTTAATGTGTATGCTCCGCAAGAGAGCTTGCCTATACCTTGATTATTTCATAAAATCACATGTTAATACATTGCTTTCAGAATGAAATACTGACTTGATCTGATAGGAGAAAATGGTAATATTTCATAGTTGTTTTCCAAAGACAAATTTAAATGTTGTCTGTTATCTCCTTACTTAGTTTAAGAATTTAGTTTTGAACCCCATTGACTTTGTCATTTGCAATTTTAAAAATATTTGGGACTGGGCATGGTCGCTCACGCCTGTAATCCCAGCACTTTGGGAGGCTGAGGCGGGTGGATCATGAGGTCAGGAGATCAAGACCATCCTGGCTAACATCGTGAAACTCCGTCTCTACTAAAAATGCAAAAAATTAGCCAGGCGTGGTGGCGGGCGCCTGTAGTCCCAGCTACTCATGAGGCTGAGGCCGGACAATCGCTTGAACCCAGGAGGTGGAGGTTGCAGTGAGCCAAAATCATGCCACTGCACTCCACCCTGGGCGACAGAGCAAGACTCCATCTCAAAAAAAAAAAATTGGAAGGTATCTGTAAAATGTCAAAGTTAAGATGAAGTTATATCTGTTTGGAATAGCACTTTGCCCTAAATATCATTTCTTGAATTTTCAAGCCTAAAGATGTTTAAAAATATGAATAGTTACAAATATTCTTATACATATTTTTTATCATGATCACAACAAAATTTTGTTTATGTGGTTCTGCAATATAATTTCTGTGAAGTATTACAAGTATTTATGAAAAATAAGCATAGTGATCAGAAATTTTAAAGATTTTGTATAAAAACATTTGGGAGATTTGACTTTATACATGCATAGATTTGCATTTTACTTTCCCTTTTGAGGCAGCATTTTTAGAAAATCAGTAAGAAAAATGTACATCTTAAGGTCTACTATTTTACATTTCTACACAGAATTTTAGTGTTAATGTTCCATGTGTCTATACTGTTTATTTCAAAACTGAGAAATTCATGGGAATGATGTATTTTGTGGAATCAAGAACAAAATTATAGTGGGATAATTTTACATCTTAAATATTTCTTTCTACTACTGTAAGCTCTACTTTGGAATTATCTGAGTAGAAAATCAGAAGACATTATCTAACTTTGTAGATACACTGTATGATTGGGCTTTTTGTTCAGATTGTAATTTCATTAATAGATGAAATATTTATGCTAATATTTTCTTATTTCAAAAGCAAAATAAAATGAATTTATTGTCCTGTGTTTGGAAAGACATTTTTCCCTCGGACAAGAGGTTTGGACTGGATGGTGAGTGGGCCTGTCTGGATCATGCTAAGATGTGGTCAGCATTTTAAGATGTGTTAAATAATCAAATGATTTACAAAAACCAGAAGTCTTTATTGAGTTCTTCCAATGTGTGAGCTATTATGCCAGGCACTTCCTATGCATTGTCATTGTCGAATTTAATCCCCATAGTGACCTCTATTATTATCATTTTGTAGATGTGGAAACTGAGGCACCAGTTCCCACAGCTCAGTATCCTCTAGTGTGAAATCCTGTAAAACTGGGATGCTGCTGATGCTGAAGCCCTGTGTCCTTCCCCTGTGCCTACTTGGATTATCTTATGTGGGTTCAAGAAGCTGTTGGGAAACCGACGCTCCCTTGGACAGATAAAATCCTTTGGATTATGCTTCAGTCTTCTAATCAATATTGAAGGAAGATTCTAGATTGGAGATTTCCAAGAGTTTTCCCAAGAGGATCTATCAAAACCACTACTTTCAGGCTCAGTGGTTTAATTTGCTGTTGATTGATCCAGGCTTCTTTTGGGGAGCATTTAGGGTTGAGGGGGTGAATTGGGGAGCATATTTTGTCCCAAAAGTGAGCTAGTTCCACTGTCTGCTTTCCACATTACCAAAGTCAGGCTTTCTCAGTTAGGAGTTGAGTTCTTTTTGAATTGCCTTCACCACTGCCAGTGATAATGAAAATGGTAATGTCTATTTGACACTCCCCTTCCTGGTCCCAGTAGGTCTAATTCTGAAATTGTTTACTGAAATGAAATAGTACAAATTCAGGGTGGATATCTGAGTTTCTTTTCTCACACTTGAAAGTTTGAGTAAAAAAAAAAAAAAGTTTTTTTTTTGTTTTTTTTTTTAACTCCGTCAAGCAATAGATTTTTATATCTGTTGCCAGCGTAGCTACCAATGACAGATAACTGAGGTTTTGTCCCATAGCACGGAAAACTATTTGGTTGGGGAGTGGGAAGATATAAATAATGATAAAAGGACTGACATTTAAGACAAAACATGATGGTACTTTTCAAACATATACAAAAGTAGAATGAATAGTGTAAAGAACTTGAGGTACCTATCCCCCCACATCTACAATTATCTACCCATTATCCTCTCCCTTGAGAAGCAATTTGAAGTATATTAACATGTGGGCAGCTCATGTTTCCTTCAGCTGCCAGGGAATGCCTGAACTTGGCAAGAATAATTTGTTCCTGCTAACGGGGACATGTGTGGTTAGTATCACCTATTAATGAGCCACATCATTACTTACAAAGCTGATTGGGGCTCCTTTCTTGATATGGGCTTTGAGTGTCTCAATTGAAGATTAAAATTTTCTCCTTTTCTCCCCAGCCCCTAAGGATCTATCTACCTGAGGCCCAGGGCTGTATTAAATAAGTTAAAAGAGGCTTTTTTTTTTTTTCTCTCCTGACCCAAGAGAGTCAAACCAATGAAAAGGGATTTTGAGGTTTAGATGAGAGTGATCATTATTACTCTCATTATTGCTCTTAATTGTTTAAGGGTCAGAGGTCTTTTTGAGGGATCTGGGACCTAAGATTGGTCTAGAATTAAGTAAAAAGCAGTTTATTTTTGAGTTGAGTTGGCACTAAAAGGCTTTAGAATTAGCATTTCAAATGCAGCCCTTTTCACATTTTTCCATAAATATGTTTCTTTTGTGATGACAAGTTAGGCCTTTTCCCACTGACCAGTGTAATGATGGAAGAGTTCAAGGACCTTGTCCTACGAAAGATGAAGACCTATGTTCATTCTTGGATAGCTTATTTTTGCAACTGTGGGCAGAGCAAGGTGTGGGTATAGGTCAAGGTAGGGAAGAGTTCGGGAGTGGGAGAAAGGTTGGGGGGCAGCTTCTGTGTGGTTACCTGAGGTTCCGGCCCACGTGCAGGTGGATGAATCCAGATTTCTGACCCTAAGCTCAAACAGGGAAGAGCAAACAGCTCAAACAGCTTTCTAAAGCTCAAACAGGGAAGAGCAAAGCCTTTTTCAGAATCGCAGAACTGACAGGGCTGGTGTGAGCATTCAGTGCCCACACTGGACCTACGAAGTCTCACAGGGTGTAGTTCCTGACGTTAGGCTACATCCCCCATCTTCTACTACAATCTAGCGCCCAGTTTTTCTATCAGTTCCTTCAAGTACCAAGCCTCCCCTTTATACCCCTGACCCTGGGGCATTTTGCATATGTTGATCCCTGTGATCACTCTCTTCTCATATTTTGGGTCTCAGTTTAAATGTCACTGCCCTAGAGAGTCCATCTTTAACCACTGCCCTTATCTAAATTATACATCCCTCCCCCGCCACTACCACCCACATTCTTCATGCTCATAGCATTCTATTATTTTCCTTCAAAGAACATCTTTTAGTTATGATCATATATATTGATGTGTGTTTTTATTTTTAAATTTCATCTGCTCCACAAAACCACAGGCTTTCTGAGGATACGGATCATACTGACTCATTCACTATTTAGAGCAGTGCCTGACCCAGAGTAGGCATTCAATGAATACTTGGTCAATGAATAAATGAGTGTAAAGAACAAATAAATGAAAAAACTGCTAAGGAGAATTGTAACATTAGCGAGGGTGGGGCGGATTGAAGGGTTGGGGTGCAGGTTTGTTTGGGTGCAAATTGCTCTTGTACCCAGAACAGACAGGATACATTAGATGTTCCTAATTTGGTGTGTCAAAATAGGACACCTTGTTAGAAGTGTCACAAAAACAGTAGAAGCTCTGGAGCATTGACCATTATGGAGCAGGTTTTGGAAAGGGAATAAAAGTGGCAAAGTAAAGAGTTGATCAAAAGATATTAAATAACAAACTTTGGATTGAGGCCTGAATGTAAAAAATGATACTACTGTGTTCAACCCAGACAGGCTTAATTAAATAGCTGTTGTGCACAAATGAACGGAAACCCAAGGGAAGAGGAACTGTTCACACAAGGGAGCCCTGGAACGTTGGGAAAATGTGGATTGCACCTGCCCCAAACCTGAAAAGACAGGGTTTCAATTACAGGCACCACACAAACTGCTTTTACACAAAATATTTATGCCAGGGTTTTGCTAGGTGCAGAAGATGTTTCTGACTGAAATCTTTGTCCTGACCAGACCTATGGCTGCCCCTAACTCATAAAGCATTATTGAAAATTAGACAGTATGCTGGCAGACATTTTTAAGAGATGGTGAAAGGAGTTAATCAACCAACTATTTATCAAGCACCTCTTTGGAATCTGGAACCATGTTACATATGGTGGAGAATTAAAAATACACATAGGACCCCCTCCATGATCTCAAATTTACTACCTAATTGGTAAATTGAAACCAACTCAGGTTAGAACAACACCAAGAAGTTATTAAATGTTGACCTGAGGCTAAGGGCATGTGTAGTACTTTGAGGGTTAGGAGAGGAAGAATTCATTATGGGTTGAAGAAATTTGATTCTGGGGAATTTGAAGACAGGATTGAACAGATTGGAATCAGCCCTTACTTTTTTCAGGGCAAGAGGCTGGGAGTGAGGGAAAGAGATGTGAGGCAGCTGCTTTGTGTGGCTCCTTGAGGTTCCAGCAGGCATCTCAGGCCAGTGCAGAACCAAGCACACGTGGACATAAATGTTCCGATGACGGGTCCATAAAGGTGTCTGGGACTTTTGGGGATTGCAGTTGCCTTCTTTAAGTACAAAGCAGGGATTTTCAGGGCATGGGGTTATAATTCAATATTCATCTCTCAACTGTAAAGAGTGTCATTCTCTTCTTAAGGATCCAAAGTTTGGATCCTTAAGCACAGAAAAGAGTTTTAAAATTGACATATTATGCAGCACTGCCATCTGCTGGAATTAGCAAGAACACTTCCCAGGAGTAGGGGAATCTCCAATTGTTCAACTCCCCAAGGCCTACCTTAAAGGCACAAACATTAAAGTTTGTCATTGTTTCCTCCTCTTCCAACTCCCCCTTGCTCGTTACCCATCCCACATTTATCCTGTTCCTCTTGCAAGTATAAACACGGGGATAAAGATGCTGTGTTGCAGTTTTCAGCTTTTGGTTACCTATATCAGTTCTGTAACATAGAGTATCAAAGTTAATATGAATGATGATTTTGACTGGCTTGACTAGGGATAGCCATTGGTAAAACATAACGTAAAAAAAATTTGAAGTCCTCTGCCTTTCTCTGGAACCCAGATTGTCAGCCTTCCATTCTTGTTCCCACTGTGACCCCTACTAATGTGTTAATTTATTTGATGTGAGTTGATAAAGGAGTTAAAGTGTGAGACACAGAATCTCAAAGTTATACCAGAAGCCAAATGTTAGAAAATGTTGAAACCAAATGATACAGAAGAATGGATTCCATGTCAATTTGAAAACATAAAATATCGGATTATACTGTACAGCAAATATGACAAAGTGATTAAATTTACTTTAAATGTGTAGTGCATGTGAAATCGTGGGGATTCTATTTATTTATAACTGAAATTGCTTTCAAAGGAGAGTGGATCATGTTAAAATGAAAGTTCTTATGTAGAACTAAGAACTAAGCAACTCATAGTTGGGTTTGTGACTGAGTATGAGGATAAGAGTTAGAACTGAATTGCTCTGTTTAAGAAAAATGGAGGAACGGTTTTGAAGGGAGAAGAGACACAGGGAAACAGGCAAAGCTCAGAATCACAGAAAGAGGCAGGCATATCAATAAATGGTTGGGGATCTTTCCTTCTTTTCTTCTTTCTTTGCTCCCTCCATTCCTCTTTTTTGTTTCCTGTCTCCCCTCTCCCAATATCCCTCCCTCTCACTTCTCTCCCTTTTTCTTTCTGAAAAACAGAGATTACCTAATATTAACTTTAAAGTTGTAGATTCTTCTGTCTCCTAAGATCTTCTCAATAAAGGGTTTTTATATAGAAATGACCTGTAAGTGATTTTAGTTTTGGTGTTTTGGTTTTTATATTTGTTGTTGTTTGTTTGCTTTGGTGAGATTTGCTGGAGTTGATGTGGTATGGAAAGGAAAAGCATGTGAAGAGAGATGAAGTTACTCTTGAACAAAATTAATATTTAATAGAATTAGGGACTCGCAGCCACATTCCAAAGTCCATGGCCTGGAGGCTCAAGGCAAACTCAGGGGATGTTAAAGCGCAGGTGACCCCAGCCCTAGTTGTTACACGTGTTCCAGCGCCCTCCACCCCTCCCCATCCCCTCCCCGCCCCTTCCCTTTCCTTTTTAAATTGACAAATAAAAATCATGTATATTTATCATGTACAACATGATGTTTTAAAATATGTATACATTGTGGAATGGCCATATCAAACTATCTCCTTGCCTTCTTATTTTGCTCTCCACACTGGGTGAGGGTCTGATGCTGGTTGGTGTGTGCACAAGGGATATATCCTTCCTTCCAAGGACAAAGGACTGGGTACGTGTTCTGGCTTCTAATTGTTTACTGGTTCTTCAGTCTTCCAAAATATGTGGCTTCCTTTTTTTGAGGAATTTATTCCAAATCTTTGAATTCCAAAATCCAATTCTGGAAACAAACCCTCACTTAGATGGAGTCCGTCAGTTTCTTAGGTCATTCTCCCTGAGGTTTCAGAACAGCTTTTAATCCCAGCATCAAGAGGCAGCTAATGTACATAAATAGTTCCCTTTCCTAGTTCCTTCCAGGGAATTTCGGGGTTCTGTGTACAATAGTGTCTGGTGACCTATGATTGTAGAATGTGGGCTTGGTGTGATCCTCTAGAATCTCTCTCCTCTGGTCTGTAAAGATTTGGTCCTATCTTCCCATATCCTTCATTCCAAATTTTAAGACTATTTAGAAAGTATTATATAGTAGTTAAGTGCTAGATTCTAGAACCAGACACCCAGAGTTTGAATCCTTTTCCCACCTCTTATTAGGTATGCGACCTTGGGCTTGCTTAATGTGTCTAAATCCTAATTACTCATGTGCGAAAGGAAAGAATAAAAATGCCTATTTTAGGGGGGTTTGTAAGGATTTTACAAGATTACTACATGCCCTGCACTTAGAACAGCACCCGGCAGATATTGTGTACTATGTAAGAGTTAGCTATAACTATCATTGCATCACCGGAGTCAAGAACGCTAGTGTTCTATGTTAAGTGTTCAATCCAAGTGGCCTCAGTCTATGCTTGCCCTTCAGAGTTTGTTGTCTGTGAGGCACCTGTGTGCTCCCATTGAGGCATGGCTTTCCCAAAGCTTATTCATGTCACCTTCATTATTTCTTTAGTTACTCAGCTAGGTGCCATCATGAAAGGAGGTATTGAGAAATCCAGTTCATCACTTACAGAGGAACCCCTCAGTTCAGACAGTTTTGGGAATATATACATGGCATTTCTAGTACATTTCTAGTAATTAGATGCTGTTTTATTCCTCAAAGTGAAATACAAAATGTTGAATGAACAAATTCAACTTAGTAAATATGAAGTTTCCGAAGAAGGGGGTAGTTGTGTTTGGGGTGGGATCCAGTGTGTGTGGCTTGATCTTAGGAAAAGAGAAAGCTAAAGAAGAAGAAACCACATCCCAGTGAGGCAGGGAACTTTGGCTCAGAAGAGAAGTAGAGAGGAATGCGGAGGCTGGAGTCCTGGGAGAAAAGGGGATGTACAAGCAGAAAGAGAGGGGATGTATGAGCAGAAAGCTAAGTGATAAACTTGTTTTAAATATACACTTGCTATGTTGTTCTGAAGGGATAGAAAGAGGAAGAAAGTTAGTTTTGTGAGAAGGGGCTATCCCAATCTGTGATGGTACGTTTTATAATGTTATTTTTTGATCTGTTTAATATAGACTTTATCTATTGGTTTTCTGCTATGTTGTTAGGATTTAATTAACTGAATTTAAAGAACTCTTCTCATCCCACAACTCAATTTTTACTTAATTTGTTTTATAAGTTATACTAACATATTTAATTCTTACTCCATAAAACCTTAACTGTATCTTTTGAGTCTCTATTCTTCTGCTATGGTTTGAATGTTTTTGTCTCCTCCAAATTCATAGATTGGAAGCTTAATCTCCAATGCAACAGTATTGAGAGGTGAGGCCTAAGGAGAGATGTTCCTGAGGGCTCTGCCCACATGACTAGACTAATGGTCTTATGAAAAGGGCTTGCAGGAGTGAGTTCTTGCTCTCTTCTGCTCTTCTGCCATGTGAGGAACAGAGTTCCTCCCTTCCAGAGGGTGCAGCATTCAAGGTGACATCTTGGAAGCAGAGACCAGGCCCTCACCAGACACCAAACCTGCCAGCTCCTTGATCTTGAACTTCCAGTCTCCAGAACTGTGAGAAATAAATTTCTGCTTGTTAAAATTACTCAGTCTTAGGTATTCTATTATAGCGGCACACCAGAAACTAAGACAATTTCCCTTACCTCTCTTCCCCATTCTCTTTTCCAAATCAAATATTATAACATTGGAAAGATTTATTTCTTTATTTATTAGACAGAGTCTCACTCTTGTCGCCCAGGTTGGAGGAGTGCAATGATGTGATCTTGGCTCACTGCAACCTCTGCCTCTTGGGTTCAAGTGATTCATGTGCCTCAGCCTCCCAAGTAGCTGGGATTACAGGTAGGTGCCACCATGCCTACCTAAGTTTTGTAATTTTAGTAGAGATGGGGTTTTGCCATGTCGGCCAGACTGGTCTTGAACTCCTGCCTCAAGCAACCTGTCCGCCTTAGCCTCACAAAGTGCTGGGATTACAGGCATGCGTCACCACATCCAGCCATGTTTTGTTCTTTAATCATAATTACTCATCCAGAAAGTTGAAGAACAATAAATGACATTTATATTATGTAAACATTATTCACCTACTGCCAATTAGAGTCCTCTAATTAAATTTCTTTCACTAGATGTGTCAGTTTGATCCAAGATGGGATGTTGAACATGCAAGAAATGTAATGGAAACACCTCTGAGAAAAAACGGGAAGAGAGCAGACAGAGGCTGGGAGAGCCATCCAACTGTGATGCAGGTCTGACCCCATATGTAGGAGAGACAGAAGGAATAAAAGTTGGGTAAAAACATCTTAGATTACAGTATTGTTTTAAGGAATATTTGGCAAGGCTGGTGGGGAGTCCTTGAGTTTAAATTGCTCATCAGAGGAGTACTGCATCTCTCAGGAGAGGACATGACTTAGTAACCTTGCCACACTGGGAAGCATGGCCTCAGTGTAAATGTAGTGATAGATTTCAATGTGTAGAGATGGGACCTTCAGACAATTATAATCCTTGTAGCTAGAGATCTGAGAGGTGCTTCTCATTGCTACCACATTAGGGTTACAATGTTATTACACTTGAACTACTCAAAGGAGACTGTTCTAATTGTCAAGGCCAAATGGATTTTCATTTCTTGTAATTCACCAATTATATAAAAACATGCCACATTGTTTTATAGGTCTGTCATGTTCCTTAATCTCAGTAATGAACATATTCCATAAAGGGACTATCCTTGGGCCTGCCTGTGTTGTAGGTGATGTCACATAAGCATAGTCACATCATGGCCAGATAAACTCTGTCAATTGAGTTTGACAGACTCCAACAAATGGAGTTTGTTGCCTCCAACAAATGATTATCGGTAGAAACTGTAAAATGGGCATGAGTGCTACTGAACCAGCAGCCAGGAGAAAGAAATTATGGTCCACAAATTAGTTGTGAAACCTTAAGTCATATCACCAGTCCTGGTCTCAATCTTCATATCAATAAAGTTGGTTGGAGTAGGGATTTTCTCAAGGTCCTCCTGATTTTAAAGTTCTGTGTTGTCTACAAGGTTGTTCCTGAACTGAAGTAATCGGCATCGTTGACTCAATCTAGAAAGGAATAGTAACAGCTTATATTGCTTTTGAAACTGGCTGATAGCATGTGATCAACAGGTAAGACTATTTCTGCACCCAGAGAGGAAGCAAATATCTTTAAGAGCTCCATGACTGGGAAACCAGTTTTTCTGCCAGCTGATTTATCATTTGTTGAAAGGGCTTTTCTCAGCTTTTGTGAGTCAGGGAGCGTACCTTTAGTGCTGAATGAAGTAGTTTCCAAGAGCACCTTCAAGATTTGGAGAGGCAGCACTTCTTTTCCGGAAGGGTCAAATTACCCTGAAGAGCAATCACAGCCACTTTTCTGGGCATATTTATGAGTTTGTCTAATAGGCAACAAAACAACTTGGGCCTGGCATCATAGGATTCTTATCAGGCTTGACAGGATGAGTTCATCTAACTAAGTAGGATTTGGACCCATTTCAGAGACTTTGAGTCAGTTGATAAGGGCAGTTTTCAGAGGTAGGTGCAGGACAATATACAATTCAACTCAGGCAGCTTTTATTAGAGTATTATATACCAAGTATATGATGAGGAGTCCAAATGCAAACTGGATATTCAAGGAACTTAGGATTTCCTGGGTTAAGCCTATTAGCCTAATTAATTTTATTCCATTTATACTTACTTTTCACATGTCCATCAGTAGCTCCCAAACTTTGCTGCACAAGTTCCAACTGGGAAATCTAAAAATCATGATGCCTGGACTGCACCCCATGCCAATTAAGTCATTCTCTATGGGGCGGGACCCAGACATCCATGTTTTGTTTTAACTTTTTAGGTGATTCCAATACGTAGCCAAGTTTGAGGAACAATGCTGTAGACCTTACTACTCAAAATGTAATTAGAACAGCCACAGCATCCTCACCTAGGAGGAGCTTGTTTAAAGTGCAGAAATCTCAGGCCCCTTCTGTGTATGAACACAGCCCTGATTTATAAAAACAAGTTAACTGATGAAGCAAATAATCTTTTCTATGAACTGATGAAGCAAATAATCTTTTCTATGATTAACTGTCTGAGTAACCGCTTAATGTGAGTTCTTTTAATTATGTGGCAAGTGATAGAAGTTATGTACTTTCAGGTGGGAGAAATGGCCTGCTTTGCTAGAATATCCTAAAATATCTGAAAGGGACAAATGTGTCTACTGATAGGTCAGGACTTCAGTGCTGACTTTCTGAAATTCTTGAGTAAAGATCATTCCCTTCCTTGTTCTTCCTTAATAGATCAAACAAAATAATAATAATAATAAAAACAGAATTAAGTAAAACAAAAGATTTTTAAAAATTAATACGTGAGATACACTGCAGTATATATGTATGTCTGATTACGCATAGAAAAAAGATCTGGAAGTTTACATATCAAATTATAAGTTATAAGTTTACCTTGAGGGTGTGGAACTGTGGTAGGGTGAGAGGACTGCTCTCATTTTTAAATTCACATACTTTTGTAATTTTTTTTTGAAATTTACAGTGAGAATTCATTATTTTTATAATAATCAAACCATAATAGAAATTTTAAAGATGATAAAAAACAAAAAGTAAAACACACACACATACATAATAATTTTAAGAGTTACATTGGAGGAATGGAGAATTAAATCACATGGTACTTTTCCACTAATACTGTGATGGTACATAATTGTGTAGTCGGTAATCAAAGAAACTACATTAGAGAAGCCACATTAAGTAACATCCGAATTAAAAAGTCCCCTGGGATAAGAGCCCTCAAGCAGCGACCCCTCAAGGTGGATATTAAAACTGAAAGCAGTGCTTAACTCTTCCTGGAGTATCTACATGAAAAAAACAACATTCTGAAAATTTCACATTAAAAAAAAAGCTTCATAGAAGTCACTTTGAAATGCTAAAATAGCCAAAGGCCAGAAATTGAGGGTATAAAAACTCCATTCAGAACAGATTCAAAACTAGTACACTGAAACCTTGGTAATCTATGGGTGTAGGTTAGGGACATCTTCTTTTTCCATTTGTTTATCATTTCTCCCAATTTCCCAATGGCTGCTTTATATCTCAATAATTTTAACCTAAAAATATTGTAATTTTAGTTGGAAGGAATAAAATTAATTGCATCTAGATTCATTGCAGATTTGTTTTAGTTAAAAAAAAAAAGAGAACAATTTGAGACTCACTATTTTCCATTATTCATTTTTTTCCACATAATTATTTCTAGCTACTTAATAAACATTTGGGGATTGAATCCCTGAAGTTACATATTTAAAATTTGAGGAAATCCTTTTTCTCCTCTTCTAGTTTTTTCTTTATTGAAGTCACTAGAGATGACAAACTTTTTTATTATAAACTTTTTTCCAACAAAAAAGATATTTTAGGTGACTATTAGATTGATAGCTAAATATCCTCATCAAAGTCAAAACATCTGTAACTAAAAAGTGCTGTCTTTTGCAAGCTACACAATTAAGAGCTTAACTATCAATAATGTAATTTTGTACTCCTGGAAGAGTATTCCTGATCTAGGTATCAAAGGTTTACGTAGGAATATATTTACTATATAATATGAGAAATTCAAAGAGCAGAGATAAAAAGCACAGATCTAATGGCCATACCATTTTTAGAAGTTACAATAGCTAGAATATTGCTATTTCTCAATGGATTATAGTATTTTAATTAAAAAGAAAAAAAGAAAGAAAACCGCACAAGATTCATCATAATGCATATAAAGTATTTAGCACAATGCTTGGTACACAATAACTATTCAATAAATATTAGCTCTATAATAAACAAGGGATTAAAATAATAAAAAAAAAACAAACAGGAGAACCCAAAATGAAGGGAAAAACTTAGAGCTAATTTCCTAGAGTATGTATTTAAATGGAAAGTCGGAGCTCACAGAGAGCAGTCAGGAATTCTGCATTTTCTGGATCTATCTTTTGTGCCTTCTCATAGTACTCAGCAGCTTGCCTCTTTTCTCCTTCCAGCTTGTAAACAAACCCTAGGGCACTTAAACTCTGCACATCTAAAGCATTGTGACAAAGTCTCTTGGTAGACAATTTCTTCAGAGCACTTGTCAGTTTGGTGCGAAGGGGTGATCTGTCTTTGACCTTTAAGGCTTCTAAATAATGATGGATGGCAGTATTTTCTGATTTACGGTGAAATTCCTGAAAGCGGCCATAGTGGTAATGGATCTGATGTTTGTGATCATCGGTTATGTTCTCCAGACGAAGAGCTTTCCGGAAAATGTCCTCAGCATTGCTATACTGGCCTCCTTCAGCGTACATGTTGGCCAGGTCTGTGTAGGCAAATGCAAACATAGAGTCTCGTTCCATGGCTGCTTTGAAATGAAATATAGCAGATGAAATCAGCTCATCAACCTTTAGTTTATCCTTTCCTTTAGGTCTGTTGTGTGTGGCCTTCTTGATTTGGATCATTTGTGCCCTGTAGCAAAGTCCCATCTGGTGATGCAGGAAAGAAGAAGTTGGTGTCACCTCCAAGGCCTTTTTTAAAAGTTCGAGAGCTTTGTTCCAGGAATTTTTTCTCCTATAGAACTTGGCTGCATAACGAAGGACGTAAGGCTGGGATGATATTTGGTCCAGGATTTCTTCAATATACTTTTCCCCTTCAGCTTCTGCATGTACATCTTGAAGCTTCAGTGCCAGAAAAACCTTAATATAGCTGTTATCTGGGTTCAGGGTAACAGCCTTTCTCAAAGGCCCCAGAGAAAAGCTCTTTACAGACCCTTCTCTATCAGAATCATCCAGCCGATACACTGTGATAGCATAGCCGATGTTAAATTCTGGATTGTCAGGCTCCACTTCCAGAGCCTTCTCAAAAGCCGCTTTAGCCTTTTGATAATACTTTCCTCCAAATTTCAAGAGTGCCCAGCCTTTCTCACAGTCAGTCTCAGGACACTCCAACTTGTAGTTAGAAGGACTGGACAATTTCTTACAGACATTCCCTATCTTACCTGTATACTTCTGAGCTTCTTCAAGCTGGTCCATGTGATAATACACCCAGGCATAGTTTCCCCAAGTGACCAGGCTTCGTACTTCTTCTTTGTCTGAGTGTTCTTGCTGGATTATTTCTTCTGCTTGTTCCAAGCACTCAAGGGCGTCTTTATTTTGGCCTTTTAGGTGTTTCACATAGGCCAATAGGTTATAAAGAGCAAGTCTAGATTTTGTGGTAAGAAATTCAAGCTGTTGCCCAATTGTATCTTCTACCTCAAACAGATCAATGTCTTCCTTAAGTAAATTCCATGTAAAATGACATTCTAACTCCAACAGAATGGCCTTCAAGGTGTCCTTACGAATTTCACTGTCAAAGATAAAATACTTTTTAATTTTTGAAGAAATACAAGAAATAATTTTCTAAACCTTAAATATTGTTCTTTGCATAACAACTAATTTTATCCCTATTTGATCTTACAGTTAAAACATAAGTTTCCCATAACTTTATACTAGAGTTTCTTCTATATACAGTTATGTCCTAGAAATATTTCATTTAAATTCTCACTATTTATTGCAAAAACAGTTCTGGAGAGATGACAGAGCTTTCTGTATTACATGTATCTATTTCCTTTTGGCAATCACTAAACCATTGAAAATTAGGAATGAATATATACATATTCAATAATTAATATGAAAATTCCATTTTTGTATTATGAGTACTGATCCTGACTAGGAAACCTGGTAAAATTGCTCCTTGGTAATTGTTCCTTTCTCTAGTGTAATTGTACCAAAAATATGGGCAAGACATGCCATGTCCTTACAGCCTGCTTAAATCCACAACAACATGGCTTTACCAGCCCCCTGCCTAAAACAAACACCTGTTTTGAAGGTCTCTACCAGCCCAGCCCAAGGAGGATGAGGAGGGCTGCTCAGGTATTATGGATTTGGTTGTAAGATCTCAAAGGGACATTCAATCAGGTACTGACGTGGTTTGTCCAGGCTCTGGAATTTATGCACAACTGGACACCATGAGAATTTTTATTGTTTAAACTTTGTCTACTTAATTTTGTAACTTTGTCTTTGGGAAGCTAATAAGAGAGAAGCTATTGCATCAGAAGAGGTAACACGTATCTTTCGGTAATTCTGTTCTTCTGCTAGGAAGAAGCAGACTTTCATTGTCCTTGGGAGACAGTCCCCAATGGGGCTGAGCCCTTTTCCTCCCCATCCTGCATATATACGGTGCACGCCACCGTCTTTTTCTGTTTTTTGTTGTTGTTGTTGTTTTGTTGTTGTTGTTGTTGTCAAGCCCCTTCCTGATAGCACTCTCCTTTCTTACAAATGTTAGATGTGGCCAGGCGTTGTGGCTCACGCCTGTAATCCCAGCACTTTGGGAGGCTGAGGCGGGTGGACCACGAGGTCAGGAATTCGAGACCAGCCCGGTCAACATGGTGAAACCCGCGTCTCTACTAAAGATACAAAAAATTAGCCAGGCGTGGTGGCACACGCCTGTAATCCCAGCTACACGGGAAGCTGAGGCAGGGGAATGGCTTGAACCCGGGAGGCGGAGGTTGCAGTGAGCCGAGATGGAGCCATTACACTACAGCCTGGGTGACAGGGCGAGACTCCGTCTCAAAAATAAAGTTAGATGTGTGGGTGGCACTTAAACTTTTTTTTTAAACTTATAATGGGAATAATTAACATTTATTGTGCAAGTATTATGTGCTAAGCAGTCAACTGATAGGATTTATTACTGTCCTTTTCCACAGTCCCAAGAGATGGACACCATTAATTTTTACAAATAAGGAACAGACTCACAGAGTTTGAGAAACTTTGGGATCACTCAACTAGTAGGAGTTCAGTCCGGATTTAGAACAAGGGACTATCTGCTTTTAGAGCCCAAGACCTTAACATCTCATTCCTCAACTCATTAAATGCGGAAGGTTCACTAACCACGTGCAGGGCGGGGTGCTAGCCCCTGGGGATACAAAATGATCAAGAAAAGGACGCCATCATACTAAATCAGTAAAGGAAACAGATAAAGAAATCCTCATAAAACAGCGGATTGGGTGGGACGATAACAATCTGTGCTTGGTACAGAGGTAGCTCCTGGGAAGGGAAGAACTCAGACCCAGAAATCAGAAACGCAAACTGGCAGTGGCAGGCGAACCTGACGCCTGCAGGGCTGCGGCGAAACCGCGTATGCCACACCGAGGGAATGGCAGCTGGAAAGAGAGGCACGCGACAGGCCTAAGGAGACCCGTGGCACGTAGCAGCTGCCCCCGGAACAGCGCCTGGGGGCTCTGCAGGCGCTGACCAGTTTCCCGGAGGCGGCGGCCGCGGACCCAGCACGGTCACCGTCGCCGCTGCCGAGAAGAGCCGTCGGGTCGCGATGGGTGGACAGGCCTTCCGG
Organism: Homo sapiens; assembly: GCF_000001405.40. Classification (NCBI taxonomy): domain Eukaryota; kingdom Metazoa; phylum Chordata; class Mammalia; order Primates; family Hominidae; genus Homo; species Homo sapiens. The sequence goes on along the minus strand of NC_000010.11, from coordinate 89,415,161 downwards.
GGGAGCGTCGCCCGGCACATACCCTGACAGTCCCGACCGCAGACGCCAGGGATGGGACAGGCTCCCGGGGAGCATCTCCTGTTCCTCCTCCCTGACCGGCCTTCTTAGGCGCTGGGGAGGGGCCGGACTCCCGAGAAGCGTCCACTCGGCCACCCTCCCCGGCAGGCCCGACTTCAGACGCCGCGCGCCGGGACAGAGCGCCCGGGGAGGGTCCCCAACGCAGATGCCCGGTTGCTGGGCGCGAGGGGCTCGGCCCCTGAAAAGGCCGCAGAACTGCGCTGGAAATGAATAAAAGCAGCCCGGTTTGAAACCAAGGCCGACGCAGGGCTTGGGAGGAGAGGCAAAGGAAAACCCTTACCTCATGATGGCAGCGCTCTGCAGGCCGTCCGGGCGGCGCAGTCCCTCGGATCGCTCTCTCCTCAGCACCGGGGACCGCGGGAAGCCGCGCGGTGGGCGTGCGCGTGCGCGTGCGCGCGCCAGGCCTCTGCAGCCCCTGGACTCGGCCGCGCGGCGTGTCTTTGTTAAAGGAGAGACCCCAGCCCCAGCAAGAACAGGAAACTGGAGATTGAATCAGATGCCGAGCGCTCAGAAACTGAAACTTAAGAAATCGAAACTAAACGTAAGCTTCAGAAACCGAAACTTAATAGAAGAGCTCAAGAGCCGCGGCCAGACGTTTGCGGAGTCCAGGGTCTTTCGGAGTTGAATTTGCAGCTGGGCTCCTTCACTTTGGTCTCGGCTTTTATCTGCCTCCCTGAGTACGCTGAGTTCGCATGCTGCCCGTGTAACTGTTTGTTTGTTTGTTTGTTTGTTTGAGATAGCGTCTCACTGTGTCACCCAGTCGTGATCTCAAGGGATGCGCCCGCCTCTGCCTCCCAAGGTGCTGGGATTACAGGCGGAAACTTAAGTCCCTGCTTCCACTCCAGTCTTTTGATTCAACAAGCAACACTGCAATGCTATACATCTATGCTGTTATTTCTGTTGGGTGTAAACTGAGAAATTTGGAGCTAAAATCTATATACATTTTAAGTTTTGACGGATATTGCCAAATAGCTTTAAAAATCCACTCTTACCCACAATTGTAGGAGACTGCTTCTCTTCCATACCTTCGCCAATGGTGCTTTGTAATAAGGACCCAATAAAGACAAGAGTGGTATTGGGGATCTAGGCAGAAAATGTCAAACACCCATACCTTAAACATTTTGTCCCCTTTGAATTCATTCAGCAAATATTGACAAACAACTGTAAGAGCCAGACTTTGTTCAAAGTACTGTCAATATAACAATAAAGAAAACAGACACGGGCCTTACCCTTATTGAGTTAATGTCTGTATTCAAAACCTCAATATCCTGTCCATAATTCATCTTTTGCATTGATTTTGGTTTTTTTTTTTTTTTTGAGACAGGGTCTCACTCTGTCACTCAGGTTGGAGTGCAGTGGTGAGATGACAGCTCACTGCAGCCTCAACCTTCATGGCTCAAGCGATCCTCCCACCTCAGCCTCCTGAGTGGCTGGGACTATATGCGTGCACCACTATGTCGGGCTAATTAATTTATTTTTTGTAGAGGCGGGGTTTTGCCATGTTGCCCAGGCTGGTCTCCAACACCTGGGCACAAATATTTTTCTAAACCTTAAATATTGTTCCGCCCATCGTGGCCTCCCAAAATGCTGGGATTACAGGCATGAGCCACTATGCTTGGCCTGATTTTGAATTTTTAAAAACATATTGCATTGAAATATTGTCTACCTTGATCACTGAGCTTCTGGCACCCCACCCCTCAAAACTTAGTGCCTGAAGCGAGTGCCTCATTTAAAGCAATCACTTCTAACAGTTGTACTGTCTTATACAGAAACTGCTGGTCACCTGTGGCTATTAAGAACCTGATTTTTAATTTAATATAAATTTAAAAACTGATAAGTTAATAGAAAACTTACATTTGGAATAACTTAGGTATACGAATCTGCTTTTTATAAGTTGCAAATTTTATGAACTCTAAATACAGAGCAAGTATTTCCAGTGATTATCCTCAGCAAACTAATGCAGGAACAGAAACCAAACACTGCATGTTCTCACTTGTAAGTGGGAGCTAAATGATGAGAACACACGGACACAGTGGGGAACAACACACACTGGGGCTTGTTGGAGTTGGGGGTGGTGGGAGGGAGAGCATCAAGAAGTATAGCTAAGTGATGCTGAGCTTAATACGTAGGTGATGGTGTGTCCGGAATTGGTTCCTTCCAGTAGGTTTTTGGTCTTGGTGACTTCAAGAATGAAGCTGCGGACTCTCGCTGTGAGTGCTACAGTTGTTAAAGATGGCGTGTCTGGAGTTTGTTCCTTTCGATGTTCAGATGTGTCTGGAGTTTCTTCCTTCTGGTGAGTTCGTGGTCTTGCTGACTTCAGGAGTGCAGCTGCAGACCTTCACAGTGAGTGTTACAGATCTTAAAGGTGGCGCGTCCGGAGTTGTTCGTTCCTCCCGGTGGGTTCGTGGTTTCACTGACTTCAGGAGTAAAGCCGTAGACCTTTGTGGTGAGTGTTACAGCTCATAAAGGCAGTGTGGACCCAAAGAGTGAGCAGCAGCAAGATTCGTTGCGAAGAGCGAAAGAACAAAACTTCCACGACGTGGAAGCAGACCCGAGCAGGTTGCCGCTGCTGGCTGGGGTGGCCTGCTTTTATTCCCTTATTTGGCTCCACCCATATCCTGCTGATTGGTCCATTTTACAGAGAGCTGATTGGTCCACTTTACAAAGTGCTGATTGGTCCATTTTACAGAGTGCTGATTGGTCCATTTTACAGAGTGCTGATTGGTCCATTTTGACAGAGTGCTGATTGGTGCGTTTACAAACTTTTAGCTACACACAGAGTGCTGATTGGTGCGTTTACAATCCTTTAGCTAGACAGAAAAGTTCTCTGAGTCCCCACCTGACCCAGAAGCCCAGCCAGCTTCACCTCTCAATCCCCCCTCTAAACAGGACACCCCAATTGCTGATGGGAATTTGGCTGATGACTGCTCTAGCTACTTTCTGCTGGATAGGGGCGAAGAAGGGGCCCTGTAGGTGTAGTGTCCTCCAGAGGGGAACTCTTTAGGCCAGTGGAAGGGCCAGCAGGTCAGTCCAGGGGTCCTCGGTAGAAGTTGTTAGTTGAACTCATTTGGGGTTCCATTTGTAAGACCATCTGTAGCTTGAGGGCCTCAATTCTAGAGGAAACAAATTTGACAAGAAGGTTAAAAACACAGGGCCCAAAGACAAGTAACAGCAAGATGGCTGCCACAGGACCTAGAAAGGGGAGAAGCCATGTTGCCCAACTCCAGAGGTTGGTATAAGAGTTTGAAAGGTGTTGTCTGATTTCAGAAGCCTTTTCCTGTAAACACCGGGTGGCATCTCGTGCTATCCCTGACTGGTTAGTGTAAAAACAACACTCTTCCCCTAAGAAGCTGCACAGTCCTCCTTTCTCAGCAGTGAGGAGGTCTAGGCCTTGGCGATTTTGGAGAGTCGCTGCTGCCAAAGAGTCTGTTTGGGATTGTAGAGTAAGGATAGATTTCATTATTTCATGCAAACTGTCTGAGAAATCCTTTGAGAGTGTATGGTAGTAGGATAATGCATGTTACACTGTTAACTTTTAGCAAACTTTACGTTAGTTGAAAACCTTGTAAGTTTGGGATTTCAATTATTCTTTGCTATTAGTAAGACCTCGTTCAGTCCATATTAACTTAGAATTGGTATAGATGGCTCCTTCCTGATTCTGTAAGTATTTTAAGGTTTGGCTGAGTGCAAACAGCTGACACATTTGAGCAGACCAATTATTAGGCAATTTTCCTAACACTGCTTCTACAAGAGTTTCCTTATTATTTACTGAATACCCATTGTGTTTTTTTTTTCCTTAATTGCCCAGGAGGAACCATCTATCCGTCCTGTCCTGAAGGGAGTTCCTCCTAGATCTGGTCAGACCTTTGTATGGGAATTAATTAAGATTTAGATCCCCTGTTAGGAAACCTGCTGGGTAAGGATTTTTGATAGGAAGGCTACTGGTTGTCAGTGGCCTCAGTGCTTTCAGGCTACGCCCTTGTTTACACTGACAGCAAGGTGGTATTGGAGTGTTATAGGGTTTCTGAGAAGACCTTCAGTTATCAATTATAGGTTTTAAATTTACCCTGGCTTTTAAAGGAATAGGGTACACTGTTTTTTCTTTACTACTTCTATCTCTCTCTTTGACTTCTTCGTCTCTCTCTTCCTCTCTCTGTCTCTCTCTCTCTGACTTTCTGTCTCTTTCTTGCTTTCCTTTCTGCTGGTGTTTCCCTGCCTCTGCCAGTGGCTTATGCTGCTGTTCTTCCCTCTCCTTCACCTTTTGATGGCTTCAGCAGTGTAAGACTGCCACCTCCTTGGGTTTTTGCACCGCGTGCAATAACTCCGTGGTTTCCCTGTGTTATTTAATGGGGGTTCCCCCAGAGGTTAGGAACTCCCTTTCTTTCCATATTGCAGCATGGGCATGTAGGATTAGATAAGCATGGTTGCTCTCTGTATACACATTTATTGCTTTTTCCTTTCCCAGTTCTAAGGCTCGGGTAAGTGCCACTAGTTCTCCTAACTGGGTGCTGGTCCCTGGGGGAAGAGGCTTACTTTCAAGTATGGTTACATCGCTAAATATGGCATAATCTGTCCTTTGTATCCCATTCTCCATAAATGAACTTCCATCGGTATATAGGTTAAGGTCAGGATTAGCTAAGGGGACTTCTAAGGGATCATCTCGGGCAGCATAAGTCTGGACTAATTTGTTGGCAGTCATGCTCAATTGGTTCCCCAACCTCTGGGAGAAAAGTGGCAGGGTTGAGGGCCACGCATATAGGTATTTGAAGCACTGGTCCCTCAAGGAGTAGCACCTGGTATCTAAGTAGGCAGTTGTCTGATAGCCATAAACTTCCTTTGGCACCTAGTATGCCATTTACATCATGAGTATCCAGACAGTGAGACCCTTTCCTTATATTATTTTGATAGCCTCTGACACTAAGATGGCCACTGCCACAACTACCCTTAAACAGTGAGGCCAGCCTTTTGCTACTATATCAGTTTCCTTACTTAGGTATGCCACTGGTCATGGGGTTGTCCCACGAGTCTGAGTAAGGACCCCAGGAGCTATTTCTGCTTTCTCTGTGATGTTTAAAGAAAAGTTTCATCCTTTGGGAAGGCTTAAGGCTAGAGCTTGAGTTTGTTTCTTCCAATGCCCAGACTTCAGGGTTGATTCCCCTCTCAAGTAGGGGACAACAAATGGGTAACTTATTCCTCATATTCGTTTAGATAATAGCTCCAGCTTTGGCTAATATATCCCTCCCTAATAAGGGTGTGGGACTTTCAGGCATAACAAGAAAGACATGTGAAAAGAGCAAAGTCTCCCAATTACATCTGAGGAGGTGGGAGAAACACCTGGTTACAGGCTGTCCCAGGATTCCTTGGATGGTAATGGAACTTGAGGACAGCTGTCCAGGACAGGAGATTAACACTGAGAAAGCTGCACCAGTGTCCAGGAGGAAGTCAATTTCCTGCCCCTCAATGGTTATACATACCTGGGGCTCAGTGAGAGTGATGACATGAGCTGGTGCTTGCCCCAGGCACCCTCAGTCCTGTTGTTGGATCATCTGGTTGGGGGCTTCTGTCCCAGAGAACCTTTGTCCTCTGGGGCAGTGTGCCTTCCAGTGATTGCTTTGGCATAGTGGACATGGGTGAGGGGGCAGCTTGTTTGGACAGTCTTTTTTAAAGCGTCCTTGTAAACCACACTGATAACAAGCCCTACCGGGTGATTGGCATGCTCCATTTTCTGTCCTCTCTGAACCACCAAGGTTTGTTTGTCTGAGGGCCACGACTAAGGCTGCGGTCTTTCTCTGATCTCGCTTTTCCTTTTCGGCCTGTTCCTCTTGGTCCCTATTATAGAACACCGAGGTTGCCAGGTTTAATAATGCCTCCAAATTTTGTTCAGGGCCCAGGGCTTGCTTTTGGAGCTTTCTCCTGATATCTGTGGCTGATTGGGTAATAAACTTATATTTTAGAATCAATTGACCCTCTAGTGATTCAGATGACAGGGGAGCATATTTTCTTAAGGCCTCCCGTAGCCGCTCAAGGACGGCAGAAGGATTTTCTTCCTTTCCCTTAGTTATGGTGGACATCACTGAATAATTCGTGGGCTTTTTCCTAATTCTCCTTAGTCCTTCTAGAACACAGGTCAACAGATGTTTACGACTCCAGTCCCCATGATCTGAGTTGAGGTCCCAGTGGGGATCCATAATGGGGATGGCTTGCTGACCAGTAAGGAATTTGTCCCTTTCTTGGGCTGTCATTCTATCATTTATCTGACTAAGATACCAGGTATCTCCAAACTCTCAGGCTGCAGCTAAAGCCACATTCTTTTCATTAAAGGCCAGGGTTTGATCTACCACTAGCATGACATCTCTCTAAGTGAGATGGAAGGTTTCCCCTAGGCCCTGTAGGACATCTGTGTACCTATCAGGATCATCTGAAAACTTCTCCAGGTCTGCCTTGATCTGCTTTAAATCAGAGAGGGAGCAGGGGACATGTACCCAGGTTGGGCCAAATTCCCCTCCCCCTACAGCTTGAAGGGTACATAACCAATAGCCCTGGGGTTTTTGTGGTCCTTTGGAGATTTCTTTGCTTATTTCCTTCTGGGCAGGGAAGATTAGAGGAGGCTTATCATTAATAGGAAGGGGAGCTATAGGAAGGCTAGGATATGGGGATAAGCTGAAAGGTCCTCCTGTGGGATGTAAATTGCAAGCTTTGCATAGTTGTGTATTTTCCTTCAATGAAAAGAAAGCTTGGACATAAGGTATTTCACTCCATTTGCCTTCCCTCTTACAGAAAATATCAAGCTGAAGGATAGTATTGTAATTTATACTTCCCTCAGGTGGCCATTTTTCCCCATCAGAGAGAGAATATTGGGGCCAGGCCATAGCACAGAAAAAAATGAGCCACCTCTTTTTCAGGGTTTGCAGGTCAAATTGGTCCCAATGGCTTAGGATGCATTTCAAGGGTGAGCCTGTTGATACCTGAGTGTTTTCCTTCTGAAAGACAAAACCACCCATGGTTTTGGTTTGTTTGTTTCTCCCCCTGCCCAAGAACCCGCAATGGTCTCTGGACCCTGCTGATCAGAATAGTTGCACTCACTGATGCAGCAGCAGAAACACCTCTTGCCCAAGAACCCGCAATGGTCCCTGGACCCTGCTGATTGGAATAGTTGCACTCACCAATGCAGCAGCAGAAACACTAGTTTTCCTCCTAGACCACAAGGAGGACTGAGGAAGGTTGGATTTAGTGGCCCTTACCTACACATTCTCGAAAACCTGCACCCTTGCCTGTCCTCCTAGACCACAAAGAGGACCGAGAAAAATCGGACTTAGCGGCCCTTACCGACGCATTCTCTAAAACCTGTTAGAGTCCTAAGCATTCTCCTGTTGGTATTGGGACCTTACCTGTGTCCTATAAAGATGTTATGCCCCAAAAATGAAGTAGAGGGCCATACCCTGAGGGAGGGAAGGGAGCTCCAGAGTTGGAAGCGTAATGCCTTTTGTCTTCATTTATATGAATAGGAAGGATACAATTTCTGAGGCTCCCCATATTCTAGCTTCAGGAATAGCTTTTGTTAGGCCTGCTTGTCTGAGGAGGGATCCTAAAATTCCAGATAGTCCCCCATACGATGGGGCTTTGGGCAAAAATTATGTCTTTCTCATTGGTGAGCCTGGGTGCCTAAAGATGGTAACAGAGTCCGGAAGTTTATACTAGAAATCATTCTTATAGGGGAAACTAGAAAAGCACCAGAGACAGGGAGTGGTTTTTAGAAGCGGGACTAGCCTCGGAGAAGAGAAGCAAGAGGAAGTTTGTCTGGCAGGCATTAGGACCCAGGAGGCAAGGGTTAGGGTAGATAGAATAGATAGGTGAGTCTCACTTGGGCGACATGACTTTGAGAGTTTCACTCATGGCCGCAGGGTCAATGAACTTGTTGTCAGGACCCCAGAGCTGAATGGCTTTCCTCCCTGTCAACCCTTGGTTCAGCCTGGAAGTACAGGAATAATGGAAGCTGGTTCCAGGCAAACCAACGCTCCCAACTCCAAAGAGTTGGGGGTTGTTAGAGAGCCCTTTCCCAGAAAGCCTGACACCCGTGTCTTTAGTCTGGCGGCCACACTAGTTGCTTTTAACTGGTCGACAGGTGCCCAGTATTTAGCCCCCGAATTCTAAGGAAAAATAGGATGAATAGCAAGTGAAAGGGGTCCGATGGTACTCACTGCTTGGCGATAGGTGATAGGCGATAGTCCCTTCGTGGTCACCAAAATTTGTCTGGAATTGGTTCCTTCCAGTGGGTTCTTGGTCTCGCTGACTTCAAGAATGAAGCTGCGGACCCTCACAGTGAGTGTTGCAGTTCTTAAAGGTGGTGTGTCCAGAGTTTGTTCCTTTCAATGTTCAGATGCATCCAGAGTTTCTTCCTTCTGGTGGGTTTGTGGTCTTGCTGACTTCAGGAGTGAAGCTGCAGACCTTTGCAGTGAGTGTTACAGGTCTTAAAGGTGGTGTGTCGGGAGTTGTTTGTTCCTCCTGGTGGGTTTGTGGTCTCGCTGGCTTCAGGAGTGAAGCCGTAGACCTTCGTGGTGAGTGTTACAGCTCATAAAAGCAGTGCAGACCCAAAGAGTGAGCAGCAGCAAGATTTATTGAAAGAGCGAAAGAACAAAACTTCCACAGCATGGAAGGGGACCCGAGCGGGTTGCCGCTGCCAGCTCGGGTGGCCTGCTTTTATTCCCTTACTTGGCCCCACCCACATCCTGCTGATTGGTCCATTTTACAGAGAGCTGATTGGTCCATTTTACAGAGTGTTGACTGGTCCATTTTACAATACTTTAGCTAGACAGAAAAGTTCTCCAAGTCCCCACCCAACCCAGAAGCCCAGCCGGCTTCACCTCTCAATGGGATGATCTGTTGGTGATGGGATGATCTGTTCAGCAAACCGCCATGGCACACGTTTACCTGTGTAACAAACCTGAACATCCTGCACATGTACCCTTGAATTTAAAATAAAAGTTGAAGCAAAAAATGTATTTCCAACGAAAATATAGCATTTAATGTGAGATGTGCCATAATCTCTGTCCTACCTTCTTAAGGGCAATGGATGAAATCAGTATCTACTGGAAGGAGTAAAAATATTAAATAATTGAAGCAAAATGGATTGGAAGCCCAAAATTTGGAGATTTTCTTGGGGTGCTCTGTGGTAAGAATAATGCCCCCCCCGCAATCGTATCCATGGCCAAGTCTCCAGAACCTGTGAACATGCTACTTTACATAGCAAAAGGGACTTTGCAGATGTTATTAAATTAAGGATTTGCGGATGGGGCAATTATTCTGGATTATGCAGGTGGACCTGGTGCGTCCTTAGAAGAAAGAGGCAAAAGAGTCAGAGGAGAGAAGGAGATGTGAAGAAGGAAGCAGAGAGAGAGATTTGAGGCTACTACACTGTTGGTTTTTAAGATGGATGAAAGAATTCAGGCAGCCTCTGGAAGCTGGAAAAGGCTATCTGCCTAGAGCCTCCGGAGGAGTGTAGCGTCATCAATACCTTGACTTTGGCTCATTGAAACCCATTTCAGACTTCTGACCTCCAGAACTGTAAGAAAGAGTAAATCTGTGAAATTTTAAGTCACCAAGTTTGTGGTAATTTGTTACAGCCACTAAAAGAAACTAGTATATTCCCCCCAAAACATATACAGAATGAAAGATCAATAACATTGCTTATTTATTTTTTCCTTCTTATTATTTGTTGTGCCTTGCCTTTCAATAAAATATGATTATTCATAATCAAAGGTGATTGTTACCCATGATCTCTGATTTAGCAACATTTTCATGTAATATTTCTTGATTTAACTAGATTAATATCAGCAAATGACTTAGTAAGTAGTGCTTCAAATAAAATGGCATAAAACAAGATAAACTCCTTGGAACCCTTTCACATTGAATTAAAATTAAAACATCTTCATGAAGAAAACTAACCTTTAATTGACTCTGTACTGCTATCTGTGTCTCTCACTAGATTGTAAACTGCATGAGGTTTGGGAAGAATATGTGCCTGTTTATTACAGTATTTTTGGTTTCTTGCACTGAAAGCTATTTATTGATAGTGTTGACATAAAATCACAAGCTATATACAATTGGAGAGAACTTTTTTTTTTTTTGAGATGGGGTCTCGTTCTATCATCCAGAATGGAGTGCAGTGGCAAGATCTCGACACTGCAGCCTCGAACTCCCTGGCTCCAGCAGTCCACTCACCTCAGCCTCCTGAGTAGCTGGAACTGAAGCTACAGGTGCATGCCACCACACCCAGCTAAGTTTTTGCATTTTTTGTAGAGACGGTTGGTTTTGCCATTGCCAAGGCTGCTCTCGAACTCCTGGGTTCAGGTGATCTGCCTGCCTCGTCCCATCGAAGTGCTGAGATTACAGGCGTGAGCCACTGCAGCCTCCTCTCCTGCAACCTGCAGCCTGGGAAGCAGAGCCTACCACAGCAACCAAAAGCAGGCTCTTGGAGGAAGGGAGGGTATTACAGAAGTTTTATGGTTGGTGGATTGGCTAGACACACATAGTTAACAGGTTATGGGGGGCTATGAATATTCATGAGGGGCAGTCACACAATAGTGGTATGTAAACATGTATGTCACATGCATTCTGTGTTCACTCTGTGGTGGAGACTTAACATTAAAATACAGCAAAATTAGCCTTTCTATATCAAAAGGTGAAACAAAGGACATAGAGGCACCCTGTGTGCAGCCTCCATGGACTGGCCAGAACCAGTCTGTGGGCAGTGGTCACTTATCAGGAGGGAAGGCTGATCAGTTGTCATGTGGAAACCGCAAGAGGGGAGGGGAGTCTGGCTGTGGCGCTACGTGGAGTGAGCTAGGTGAAGTCAGCCAAGGAGTGAGTCTTCTGTTCTTTGTTTTCCATGGGTTTCTGTTTAACTCAGTGGAAAAAGTCCAATGGCAGTTAGCAAGGGAGGGAATATAATGAGGTGTGAATGATCTCTCATCTTGTCATGGTTGGGAAACTTAGTTTTTAAGGTTTCTGGGGTCTCCTTGGCCAAGAGGGTCTGTTCAGTTGGTGGAGGAGCTAAGGATTTTATTTTTATTTCACAATAAAATGAATGAATTAAACATTTAGTGTAAGTCCAATGTTTTATTTCCTACAAAGTTAACTAACATTTTTTCTCTACTACATAGCACTCATACAAATGATTTCTCTTTCTTACATGCATACACACATTCTGTTTCACTAATTGTTGAACACAACTAATATTTTGTCAGATTTATTATTCAAGAATTACATCATTACAGTGAATTATAATGTTTCTGAAAACAGTAAGCAGAAAAGATGATTAGTAAATGTTAGCATAAAATGAAATGAAATGTGAAAGTGGCTGATATCTGGGTGCCTAAGGACCTTGTCTCACAGAGTTCTCAAAGTCAGCAGCCAGTCTCAGGGCCCGCTCATAGTACTCCAGGGCTTCATTCATATTTCCTTCCAATTTGTAGACGAACCCAAGGAGGCTCAAGCTTTCCAGATCTAATGCCTTTCTCCGAAGTTTCCTTAAAACCAATTTCTTCAAAGAATTGATACTTTTATCCCTTGTTAATGATGCCTGTTCTATTTTTATAGCTTTTAAATAATGGATAATTGCATTGACGTCAGATTTCTTTTGAAATTCCTGAAACCGACCATAGTGGAAATGTATGTCTTGCATTGTTTCTTCTACCACTGGTTTCATGCATAACAATTTTTGAAAATTCTCTTCAGCTTTTCTGTGATTGCCTGCTTCTATATACATTCTTGCCAGGTCTAGATGAGCCACCTCAAATGTGGGCTTTTTTTCCACTGCAGATTCAAAATGAAATATGGCTGATCTTATCATTTTGTCTAGCTTTTCTCTGTTCTGCCCTCTAGGCTGCCCTTTTGTAGCCTCCTTGATTTGGATCATTTGTGCCTTGTAGCAAAGCCCTATCTGGTGATGCAGTAAGACAGAAGTGGGTGTTTCCTGCAAGGCCTTTTTTAATAACTCAAGAGCTTTATCCACAGAGCCTTTTCTTCGGTAAAACTTGGCTGCATATCGAAAGACATAGGTCTGTGAGGACATGTTGGCTAGAGCTTCTTCAATGTACTTTTCTCCTTCAGCTTCCTGTCCTTCATCCTGAAGCTTCAGGGCAAGGAGAACCTTAATATATCCATTGTCTGGATTTAAGCGGACAGCCTGCCTTAGGGGAAGCAAAGAAAATGGCTTGTGATTTTTTGTGGCTAATTTAAAGCCATCCAGGCGATAGGCAGAGATCGCATACCCAGCGCTGGATTCAGGGTTTTCAGGGTCCACTTCAAGCACCTTTTCAAAGCAGGCCTTGGCCCGTTCATAATTTTTTCCTCCACACTTCAGCAAGGCCCATCCTTCCTCACAGTCTATTTCTGGACACTCCATTCTATAGCGGAAGGGATTTGAAAGCTTCTTGCAAATGTTCTCCACCTTGTCCAGGTAAGTCTGGGCTTCTGCCAGTCTGCCCATGTGGTAATACATCCAGGCAAAGTTGCCCCAGGTCACCAGACTCCTCACATTTGCTTGGTTGTCATGTTCTTCCTGCATTAAGTTTTCAGCTTCTTTTAAGCTCTTCAGGGCTTCCTCATTCTGGCCTTTCAGGTGTTTCACATAGGCTAGTAGGTTGTGTATTCCCACACTGTATTTGGTGTCTAGGAATTCAATCTGATCCAAGACTCTGTTTTCTAAATCAGGCATTTCATCGTCATCAATGGATAACTCCCATGTAAAGTGACATCTCAATTGCTCCAGACTATCCTTGACCTGATGATCATCACCATTTGTACTGTAAAAACAAAAACAGATTTTCTTTGTTAGGTGAGGAACAGCTAAAAGAAAAAAGTCAGATAAAATACCTTGTATTTTAGTGCTTATCCTTGAAAGGATCAACTTACTTAGGTTTCATTAAAGTTAATGTATTTTTAAGTTATTCATGGACTGTTGATATTGTTTGCTTGGCTTCATATGCTGGCTAGAGCAATTTCCAGCCAAGTAACTATTCTGTACTTATGAGTCCTATTTGTAGAATGGAGATAATGATAGTATTTATCACACTGGGTTTGGTGAGGATTAATAAACTTATATGTGTCAAGCACTTAGAGCATATTATATGCTATATAAGAGTTTCTTATTTTAATATTAAGATAATTAGGACAGAGGTCAGTTAGAAATGCAGAACCTTAGGAAACATTGACTTCAGGACCTTACTCTGCATGTAATGCAACAAATTAAGACCACATGAAACAGATAATATTTGACCCGGGTTTTTTTTTTTTCATTTTTTTTTTACTTGGAAATAATTACAGATTCACGGAAAGTTGCAAAGACAGTACAGAGATCCAGTGTATCCTTCACCCACTTTCTCCAATGATTATATCTTACACAACTATAATACAGTAGCTCAAAACTAGAAAATTGACATTGGTACAACAATGCTTTTGTATAGTGCTATGTCATTTTTTTCACGTAAGCCTATGAGACCACCACTTTGATAAAGAAACGAAACTCCTCTTCACTACCACATCTCCCTCATATTACCCCTTTATGGTCACATCTGTCACCTCCTCACCTGTACTCCCCTAACCCTTGGTAACCACTAATTTGTTCTTCATCTCTGTAATTTTGTCATTTCAAGAATGTCATATAGGCTGGGTGCGGTGGCTCACACCTGTAATCCCAGAACTTTGGGAGGCCGAGGCAGGTGGATCATTTGAGGTCAGGAGTTTGAGACCAGCTGACCAACATGGTGAAATCCTGTCTCTACTAAAAATACAAAAAAAAAATTAGGTGGGCATGGTGGTGCATGCCTGTAGTCCCAGCTACTTCGGAGGCTGAGGCAGGAGAATCGCTTGAGTCTGAGAGGCAGAGGTTGCAGTGAGCTGAGATCGCGCCACTGCACTCTGGCCTAGGTAACAGAGAGAAACTCAGTCTCAAAAAAAAAAAAAAAGTCATCTAAATGGAGACTTTCATATAAAAGGATAGTTCAATATACAAAAATTAATCAATGTAATATACCACATTAACAGAATGAAGGGAATAAATACATGACCATCTCAATTGATGCAGGAAAAGCATTTGACAAAATTCAACACCCTTTATGAAAAAAAAAACAGACTATAGACTACTAATACAGGGGAACTATCTCAGCACAATTAAAGCCATATATGAAAAACCTATAGCTAGTATCATATTCAATGGTGAAAAAGGGAAAGCTTTTCCTCCACGATCAGGAATGAGGTAAGATGCTCCTTTCACCACTTCTATTCAACATGGTACTGGAAATTCTAGTCAGAGCAATTAGGAATGAAAAAGAAATACAAGACATCCAAGTTGGAAAGGAAGAAGTAAGATTATCTCTGTTCACAAATGGCATAATTTTATATGTAGAAAATTCTAAGGATTCTACACATTAACAAATACATTCAGCAAAATTGCAGGATACAAAATCTACATGAAAAATCAGTCATATTTCTATATAGTAACAATTTAAAAATCCCAAAAGGAAATTAAGAAAACAATCCCATTTACAAAAATAGCATCAAAAAGAATATAATATTTAGCAATAAACTTAACCTAGGAGGCAAAAGACTTGTACACTGGAAACTATAAGACTGCTGAAAGAAATTAAAGAAGCAATAAATAAATGGAAGGACATCCTTTGTTCGTGGATTAGAAGACATAATATTAAGATGTCAATACTACCCAAAGTGATCTACAAATTCAATGCAATCCTAATAAAAATCCCAATGACATTTTTTGCAGAAATAGAAAAATTCAACCTAAAATTCATATGAAATGTCAAGGGATCTCAAATAGTCAAAGCAATCTTGAAAAAGAAGAACAAAGTTGGATGTCTCACACATTCTGATTTCAAAACTTACTACACAGCTACAGTAATCACAATATTACAACAATGGTATAAAGACAGATGTATAGACCAGTGAAATAGAATAGAAAGCCCTGAAAAAAACCCTTACTTATCTGACTGTATTAGTTAGCTCAGAATGTCATAACTCAATATAACAGAGTGGGTGTCTTAAACAACAGAAATTTATTTTCTTACAGTTCTCGAGGCTAGAAGTCCTAGATGAAGGTGACAACCAATTTGGTTCCTGGCAAGGAATTTCTTCCTGGATTGCAGATGGCTCCTTCTTGCTGCATCCTTAAGTGGCCTTTCCTCAGTGGCACAGAGAGAGAGAGAGTGAGCTTTGGTGTCTAAGGACACCAGCTCTGTTGGATTAAGGCCTCACTCTTACGATTTTATTTAACCTTTATTACCTCTTTTTAGACTCTATCTCCAAACAACAGTTCAACATAAGAGGGTTAAGGCTTCAACTTAAGAATTTTGGGCAGGGGTGGGTGGGAAGTGCACAATTCATTCCATAACAATGGTGGAATGATTTTCAATAAGAATGACAAGACCATCTAATGGGGAAAGGATGGTCTTTTCAACAAATGTGTGGGAAAGCTGGATATATGATGAAAAAGGGTAAAGTTGGACCCTTACTTTATGCCATATACAAAAATTAACTCAAAATGGATGAAAGACCTAAATGTAAGCCCTAAAATTATAAAACTCAGAAGAAAGGAAAAAGCTTTGTAACATTGGATTTGGCAATTGGCAGTGATTCATTAGATATGATACCAAAATCACAGGCAATAACAGTAAAAATAATTAAGCTGGACTCCACCAAAATTAAAAACTTTTATGCATGGAAGGATACTATCAACAGAGTGATAAGACAAATCACAGAATGAAGGAAAATATTTGCAAATCTTGTACCTGATAGGGGATTAATATACAGAATAGATAAAGAACCTCTACAACTCAGCAACAAAAAACAAACAACTGATTAAGAAATGGGCAAAGGACTTAAATAGACATTTCCCAAAAGAAAATATACAAATGGCCAATAAACATATGCAAAGATGCTCAATATCACTAATCATTAGTGAAATGCAAATAAAAACCACAATGAGATACCACTTCATGTCTGTTAGGTTGGCTATTATTTTAAAAAAAAAGCAGGATATAACAATTATTGGTGAGAATCTAGAGAAATGTGCACTGCTAGTAGGAATGTAAAAGGGGGCAAGTGCTGTGAAAAATGGTATGGTAATTCCTCAGAAAAATTAACCATAGAATTACCATTTGATCCAGCAATTCCACTTTTGGTTTTATACCCAAAAAGAAGTGAAAGCAGAGACTCAAGCAGATTATTTATTTGTCCATATTCATAGCAGCATTATTCACATAGCAAAAGGTAGGAGCAACTTAAGTGTCCATTGATGGATGAATGGATAAACAAAATGTGGTATATACATACAATGGAATATTCAGCCTTAAAAAAGAAAAGACATTCTGATACATGTTACAACATGGATAAACTTTGAAGGTATTATGTTAAGTGAAATAAGCCAGTCACAAAAGGACAATATTGTATGATTCAATTTATATAAGCTACCTAGAGTAGGCACATTCATAAAGACAGAAAGTAAAATAGTGATTAACAGGGACTAGGGTGCCGGGTCTGTCCCACAGACCCTGGCTGATGGATGAAATGAGTACTCAGACACAGGTATGCAATGTAAGAGCAGCTAGGTGACTGCCTGGCTCTAGTGGCCAGAGAACATCCCCGAGAAGCTGGAGCTGCTTACTTTTATTCAGTGCAGGCACAATGCCGAAAACCTGGAGCCAACACAACCTGTAGGGAATTAACATTTATTGTTCCCCTTTCAGGGAACATCACGCATGTGGATGATCAAAGGTCAGTTCCTGGTCAACATAAATAAACAAGCCTGTTTAAGATACATTCCCCCACACTCCCTTGTACCTACTCCTTGCCCTCTGCCTCAGAGTTATAGAACAGCTGCCTTCAGCTGTTCTCCCCCAGGGCTCTGCAGAACCTTCTGACCTTTCAGAAGGCTTGCATTCTTTCCCTATAGTTTTTCCCGTCACTCTGACTGATCCTCCACACTGGGGGAGGAGGGAATAGGAAATGATTGTTTAATGAGTACAGAATTTCAGTTTAGGAAGATGAAAAATTTCTGGAGATGGATGGTGGTCATGGTTGCACAATAAAGTGAATGTATTTAATGTCATAGAACTGTACACTTAAAAATGGTTAAAATGGTGGATTTTATGTTATATATGTTTTACCATAATAAAACAATTTGTGATTTATTTATGGCAAAGGTACTCCAAACAAAGTAAATAGAAAAATAACAAAAACGTGGAAAATGTTTGTAATACAGAGAAGACTCTCATCTGTAATATACAAAGTGTTTTTGTAAATTGGTATAGTTCAACAGACCACTGGAAATCTATGTGAATAGATAATTTGTAGAAAAGCCAATATAAATGGCCAATAAATATGAAAAAAAATGCTCTGGATCAAGACAATGACTCATGCCTATAATCTTAGCACTTTGGGAGGCCAAGGCAGGAGATTTGCTTGAGGCCAGAAGTTTAAGATCAGTCTGGGCAACATAGTAAGACCCTGTCTCTATAAAAAGAAAAAAGATGCCCTAAGCCTCTAGCCATTAGAGAAATGCAAATTAAAGAAGCAATAATTTATAACTTTATTCCACTCAGATTGGCAAGAGTTTAAATGGATGAGGACACAATTTCTGAAGCCATGTATTATTATGGCCTTCAAGATCAATCTGATGACAGCCATGAAAATTGATAGTAATTAAAATTAAAATTTTAATTTTAAAATCAAAATTAAAATTAATGGTGGTCATTAAAATTACATTTCCTTCAACAAAGTAATTCCACTCCTCAGAATCTATCTCCCAGAAAAAAATAACCAGTACATAAGGATGTATACTCAAGAATATTCATTACCAACACTGTATATATTAGCAACAAACTGGAAATATTAATAGGGAACGGTTAAATAAAGGTATATCTATACCATAGAATATTATGTAGCCACTAGACTACATGAATTAGATCAAAACTACTTGAGTTTGATGGACTTTCATATATATCAAGAAAAGTGAATTGTAAAGAAGTGTCCAAAACACGACCCTATTTTATAAAGAACCAAATCCTTATATATTTGTATGTATGTGATTACTCATGTATGGAGAAATATATGTAAGTATATTTACAGCTCATCAACAAAAAGATAAGCAACCCAATTTAAAAATGGGCAAAGGACTTGAGTAGACAATTCTCCAAAGAAGAATCACAAAGGACTAGCAAACACATGAAAAGATGCTCAACATCATTAGCTACTAGAAAAATGCTAACCAAAACCATGAGCTATCACTTCTCACCCAGTAAGTTGGCTACAATAATAATTTTAGAAAAGGAGAATAGGTGAACAAGTATTGACAAGTGCTATGGTTTGGATACAGTTTGATTGTCCCCACCAAATCTACGGAAATTTGATCTCTAGTGTCACAATTTTGGAGGTAGGGTCTAGTGGGATGTGTTTGGATCATAGAGGTAGGTCTCTCGTGAATGACCTGGTGCCATTCTAGTAGTAGTGAGTGAATTCTCATTCTTGTGAGACTGGATTGGTTCTTGGGGGAATGGATTAATCCTTTGAGAATGGGTTGTTATAATGTGAGGATGCCCCCTGGGTTTAGACCCTCTTTGTATGTGCTTCCCCTTTGACCTTCTCCAGTGTGTTTTGACACAGCACCAAAGCCCTCACCAGAAGCTGAGAAGATGCCAGCACCATACTTCTTGTATGGGCTGCGGAACTGTGAGCTAAATAAACCTTTTTTCTTTAGAAATTGCCCAGCCTTAGAAATTGTTGCTTATTCTTCTATAGCAACACAAAAAGGACTAAGGCAATAAGGATGTGGAGAAATTGAAACCCTCATACATTGCTGGTGGGAATGTAAAATGATGCAGCTGCTGTGGAAAACAATGTGGTGGTTCCTCAATAAGTTAAACATAATATTACCATATGACACATTCCTGGGTATACATTCCTGGATGTTCCACATCTGGATATATACTTAAGATACTTAAAAACAGGTGTTCAAATAAAAACTTGCACACAGATGTTGATAGCAGCACTATTCATAATGGCCAAAAAATGGAAACAACCCAAATGTTCACCAACTGATAGATAAAAAAATGTAATATATCCATAAAGTGGAATATTATGTAGCCATAAAAAGGAATGAAGTACTGATACATGACACAACATGGATAAACCTTGACAACACTACACTAAATGAAAAAAACTGATCCAAAAGGTCACTGTTGTATTTTTTTTTTTCCTAATTTTGTCTTGAGGTCTCTCCTGTGAGAGTGGCTACAATCTACAGCCCTGCCTTGAAAGAGCTTCAGGGTATTTGGTCATGGATATTTACAATGTGCCTTTCTTGGGATACTTCTTTATTTTGATGAACAGCCTAATGCCTAAGCGTCTGATCTATGTCTAGGTGTCCCCTTTTATAGGAAACTTGTTTATATCAGGCAGATGCCCTTGTGGTTCTTGCCTGACCTGTGTTTAGTTTATTTCTACTGAGACAGCCACTCTCTCGGAAAGCCATGACCAGTAAAGAAGAGTTTGAGTGTGTTGGTCAGGTGAAATACAAAGGAGGCAATTGAAAAAAATAGTATGTGAAATAACAGAAGCAGCTTATTACTTACAGATCCAGAGAGAAGAGGGTAATATGCCTTGCAGGGCCAATGGGAAAGGGGGAGCCATTGAGGACATGCCTGCTCAACCAGCGAGTGGGGAATGTGGGCCCAAGCCTTTATGGGAGGCCAGGGCGTTACCTAGGTGGGTTTCCTGTGGAGAGTTCTATTTGGTGGGTTTAGAGCAAGCAGGTGCAATTTTGCCAAGGGGTCATGCTGTGACTGAGAGGTGGTCACTGCAGCACATCTGCCTGGTCCATGTGGGGTGGGGGTGGGGTCAGTGGGGGCAAGTCAAATAGGTCATACCCTGCTATGCTATAGGGAAGTGGTCACCAGGAGGTAGTTATATAAAGCAGATATCTGGATCAATCACATTGAGGAACTGGAAAAAGGTGGAGAACTAGAAATTGTCTCAAGGGTGACTGAGCCCTGCTTCTGGAATGAGAAAGTCCAACTTAATATTCAAAAAGGGATGCTTAGGAAATATAAAATTATAAAAATTCAATATAACCACATAGTATGTGTTTCCATTTATATGAAATACCCACAATAGGCAAATCCATAGAGACAGAAAGCAGATTAACAGTTGCTGGGGCCTGGGGAAAGAGGCAAGTAGGGAGTGACTGCTTAATGGCTATGCAGTTTCTCCACATAGCGAGAAAAATGTTCTTGAACTAGATAGTGATGATGATTGCACAGTAGTATCATGAATATACTAAATACTACTAAATTGTATACTTTAAAGTAATTAAAATGATAAATTTTATTTTACATGTATTTTATCACAATAAAAAATCACATTGCTAACCTGAATAAAATTCAAGTTTTATATATATATATATATATATATATATATATATATATATATATATATATATTTTCCTGTAGTACATATTGACATAAACATAAAAGCAGGAAAACATAAAAGCAAATGAGTTTGCCATCTGAAATAATCACATGAGCCCCCACTGACACCCTTTGGGAAACATTGATTTAAAGGTTTAATGAAATATCATTGAATGTAGAGATCCTGATCCATATCTCAAAGCTACCACTTATTGTCTGTGTGATCTTAACATTTCTAAATCTAAGATTCCTTATTGTAAAATCAGGATCATACAGCCATGCACTGCATAATGATATTTTAGTCCACAAAGGACCACATATTTGGTGGTGGTCCTATAAGATTTTAATGCCACAATTTTGCTGTACTCTATGTTTAAATATGTTTAGATAAACAAATACTTGCCATTGTATTGCAGTTGCCTACAGTATTCAGTACAGTAACATGCTGCACAGGTTTATAGCCTAGGTGTGTAGTAGGCTATACCGTCTAGGTTTGATGTTTGCATAATGATGAAATTGCCTAACAGCTGCATTTCTCAGAGTGTATCCCCATTGTTACACGATGCATGACTGTGTAAGTACCTGCCTTATAAGTATCTTTTGAGAATTAAATGGAATAATTTACATAACACTTTTAGAAGCCAGGCTGTCACTTAATACGAATTCAAGAAGTGATAACTACCTTTATAACATTTAATATTATTATTATTTTAATTATCAGTACCAACTCCATCTGTTTACAGAGGAGGGTTCATCATAGGCCTGTAATGTGCATTTTCTGGAATTTTTACCTCTTCAAAATTTTGCCAACTGGAGCACTGAGGGGAAAATTTACAAATCAGTATTAAGTAATGGATTTTTTGTTTGTTTGTTTGTTTTTGAGACGGAGTCTCGCTCTGTTGCCCAGGCTGGAGTGCAGTGGTACAATCTCAGCTCACTGCAACTTACGCCTCCCAGGTTCAAGTGATTCTCCTGCCTCAGCCTCCCAAGTAGCTGGGACTACAGGCATGTGCCACCATGCCCAAATTTTTGTATTTTTAGTAGAGATGGGGTTTCACCATGTTGGCCAGGATGGGCTCCAACTCCTGACCTCAGGCGATCTGCTCACCTTGGCCTCCCAAAGTGCTGGGATTACAAGCATGAGCCCCCTTGCCCGGCCTAAGTAATGGTTTTTAAATCAGCTGAGAAATTCCCACATTAGGCCCTTTAGGTAAGGAAGATACGGATCTTCCCAAGCAGATGTGGATCATCTTCAGTCAAGGACGTACCAAGAGCCTAGATTTTCCAGGGAGGAGGCAATCTGTTTATCTTAAGCTCAGCCTGATTGCGAAAACCTGTTGTAAGAGGCCAGCAGTGCAGAAAGTGAGACCAGAAGCCTATGGAGGAAGGCTGTGAGCTTTTCCTACCACATCTCCACTGTATTACCCACAAGACATCAGAGAGGCTGCAAGACTGAGGCTTTCACATTCTTGTGGGTCCTGCTTTTTCTCTGTGGTAAAGAACCTGCAGAAAGCAATGCCTCTACTCAGACAAGCTGTCCATTCCTTCCCCATATCAGACAGAAGTGAATCTGATGGGAAAGAATCTCTCAGATTGGGATCATTTTCTCCCTTCCTGCAAAACTCTTTTCCCATTTCCCTCCCCTTCTTTGGGCTATAGCATGAGGTAAGCTTCCTCAAGTTCATGCTAACAAACATAAAAATGCATTAAACAATTTATGTATGTGTGAACGTGCACACACATGCATGCACACATTCAGTCCATAAGCAGATACTCAAATCGAGGAATTAGAAAACCTGACCTCACTGAGATCTAACCTGTTGAAATAGTATTTAATTACCATTTTTTCAAAAACTTTAGACATTATGGCAGAGGAGCAAAGAAATCCTTACCTCATGGTTGCTGTAAATTAGGCAGCCGTTCTGCAGGGTTTTGCTTAGCCAGGCTCCTCTGAGATCTGGCTATTCTGTCTTGTGGATTTTCAGTTACGTTTAAACCCCAAGACAGTGTTATATAAGGGAGCTAAACAGCAGCCAATGGTGTAAGCTGTGGGTGTGTCCTTGCAAGTTGGAAACCTAGGGAAACCGAAAGGGGAAAGTGAAACTAAAGCTAGCGGAATTCCTGCTGACGGGGGGGGGTGGGGAATGAAACTTTGTTTCTATTTTAAAACAGATAAACTGCAGACCTGCAACCATAGATGTTTCTAGTGCTGCAGAAACCCAATGACTGGCCAGCATTTGGAACGAGATTCACGTCCTCCCTAAAGAACATCAGTCCATTGCTGCCTATTGTGGCAGTTGGTGGCTGGATTCTGGATGAATACACAGAAAAAGGAGAATTGAAGGAGATAGCTCTATTTTCAGTTTCTATATTTAGAAGGAACCTACTATCAAATATAAAAATCTACTCTTAATTAATTGAGTAACAAGGCTTTTGGTTGCTGGTTGCTTTTTGGTTGCTTACTTTTGGTTTCAGCTTGACGGAAATAAGCAACCAATCTGGTTTAGGAATGAAGGAAAGAGACCAATACCTAGAAAGCCTTCTAACCCCTGATGACTTAGGCAGGAGGTAAAAGCAAGGAGGTATGGTTTGAAATAGAGAGCCCTCTATTGCTCCATCATGGACACTGTCATTCTGAATCAAATTCCAGTACAACCTCCACTACAGTTCATGGAATTTGAGTTTAAATAGTTAGCAACTACCTGGCACATAGAAGCATGCAAATAAGTGGTAACTATTATTATTATTATTTTCAGTCATCAAGTTAAAAATAATGATTCTTGGCTGGGTGCGGTGGCTCATGCCTGTAGTCCCAGCACTTTGGGAGGCCAAGGTGGGCGGATGACAAGGTCAGGAGATGGAGACCATCGTGGCCAACATGGTGAAACCCCCTCTCTACTAAAATACAAAAAATTAGCTGGGTGTGGTGGTGTGCACCTGTAGTCCCACCTACTCGAGAGGCTGAGGCAGGGGAATTGCTTGAACCTGGGAGGCAGAGGTTGCAGTGAGCCGAGATCACACCACTGTACTCCAGTCTGGTGACAGAGCGAGACTCCGTCTAAAAAAATAAATAAATAAAAAATAAAAAATTGTTGTCCGGGTGCATTGGCTCAGGCCTGTAAGTCCCAGTATTTTGGAAGGCAAGGCGGGAGGATCACTTGAGCCCAGGAATTGTAGACCAGCCTGGACAACATAGGGAGACCCCAACTCTACAAAAAAACTGAAAAAAAAAGCTGGGTGTGGTGGTGTGTGTCTGTGGTCTCAGCTACTCAGGAGGCTGAGGTGGGAGGCTCACTTGAGCCCAGGAGGTAGAGGCTGCAGTGAGCCATGGTCACACCACTGCACTCCAGCCTGGGCAACAGAGTGAGCCCCTGTCTCAAATAATCATAACAATATATAAAAACAATGTTTCCTTTAAAAAAACCTACCTACTTTGTCTTTTAACATAAGAAGCAGAAGAGGAGCAGGTGCAAGAGTATTTTCCTTTTGGAAACACTTAACTGGGCACACTGCCAGATCTAAACAGTTTCTGCTCAACTCCCTGCCAGACTCATCTCCCATGTCAGCTCTCACCAATTCTGTAAGCTTCCACAGAGAGTTCAACAACTAGTTAGAAAGTTCTACACAAATAAGAATTTCTGAATTAATAGGACAGGTTTTGTCTTGCACTCAGATACATGATCAGGCCATAAGCAAATGCTGAAACAGATGAATTAGAAAACATCTTTTGGGGAGCAAGATGTCTTTGGAATTCTTATGGGAAAAAATGGGTTTTCAATTTGCCAATGCACTAGATAGCATGCAGAGATATGAACAAAAAGTTTATCTTGCCATTGCTGTGAATTTGGCAGCAGTCTTGGTTCTACGGGGCTATGGCCCAGGCTGATTAGGTATTCAGAATCTTGCTTAGTGTCTCTTTGGGCTAAACAAACCCATGAGGGACACAGGATAGAACAGCATTAAGGAAAGAAAAGCCAATCGCGCGCGTGTGTGTGTGTGTTTACAGATAAAAAAGAAAATGGGAACCAGAGAGGATCAAACATTTAGAAAATGAAATTTCAGCACTAGGTTGTGAGTTCATTCCCAGGAGTCTAAGCTGGGCTCTGCAAGGGACTGACCAGTTATGATAAACTGCTTCACCTCTATGAATCTCAATTTCCTCAGCTGAGAAGTCATTTGGAATAGGTTGGCAGATCTCAACCCTCACTGCACATTAGAATCAGCCAGGTAAATCTCAAAAATAATGCTAACTATGCCCATTCCAGAACAATTGAACATATACTTAGGTACAGGCCTCTGGCTCAGTATTAAAAAGAAATCTTCAGCCTGGGCACAGTGGCTCACGCCTGTAATCCCAGCATTTTGGGAGGACAAGACGGGCGGATCACCTGAGGTTGGGAGTTCGAGACCAGCCTGACTAACATGGAGAAACCCCGTCTCTACTAAAAATACATAATTAGCCGGGCGTGGTGGCACATGCCTGTAATCCCAGCTACTCGGGAGGCTGAGGCAGGAGAATCGCTTGAACCCGGGAGGTGGAGGTTGTGGTGAGCCGAGATCGTGCCATTTCATTGCACTCCAGCCTGGGCAACAAGAGTGAAACTCCATCTCAAAAAAAAAAAAAAAAAAAAAAAGAAAGAAATCTTCAGGTGATTTTGATGTAGACCTGCGCCCTGAGCCGGGAACCAGGGCCTCAATTATCCCTAATGTCTATTGTATGTCTGAAATTCTCTGACTGAGAGATATGGGACTCAATCCCTGGACCCACTTCCTGTTCTGTGAGGCCCAGATTCAGTATTTTACGACTCAATGCCTTGTTTCCTCACCTACACAATGGGTAATGAATTCCTTAGTCTCTTCTTCATTCACAGGATGATATGGAAAAAGAATGTTATTCTGAGTGTATTTTTTAAAAATTATAATATGATAATATGGACAAATGCTAAGCCATTTCTGCTGAAGGGTCTCAAATATCCAATCACAACTTATTAAGGAATGGGCTCCATAGAAATTTCCCCTGTCTTTTCCAGGGTCATCTCTTGTAGTCTAAAATCTCTTATCAGCTTGCTAATGGCCAGGTAGAATAGGATCTAGTGATCTGGTTACCTAATGAAAAGCTGATTTCTTGTTAGAAACAAATTCAGCCCCTAGGTGGTACTACTTCCTTGGGCTTCTCTGTCTCCTCAGCAGTCCTTTCCATCAGTTTGTACTGCAGAAGTTGCTACTGTACTTGTTTTTTGGTAATCATAGTTAAATGAAGGCATTGTAGTGACATGAAAGACACACAAGATGCTTTCATGCTAGAATCATAAAAACCAAAGGCTTGACTGAATCGATCAATCCATTTCCATGTTCCTGCATCTTTGATTTTCCTCACGTTTTTCATTTAATTATAAAAGTCAGGTTTCTAGATATTTCTCTTTTTAATTTATAATTTAACATTTAACAATTGGAATATCTCTGCTAATTACATGTTATATACTCTTTTGAATGTATTCAATCACAAAGATATTTTTAGCTATAGCCTATTTTCTGAGGAATGTAATTCTCAGTGTTCTGACCACTGTATGAAAACTATTTTCTTGGCTTCTGAGATTTTTCCTAAACTACTTCCAGTCGCATCCATGGAGAGAGGACTTGGACTCCAGAAATTCTTCGTTGCAAATGATTTGATGATTTACATATCTTCTCATGAAACTTCAAGAGACCTCTCAGCCCATGATATCACTCAGCCCACCTTGACCCACAGTTTGGTTTACTGCAACCTATTCAAGTACTACTAGAATTTTTATTAGCTCATTTTTTTTTTTTTTTTACATTTCAGGCATATTTTGAAACAACTATAGACACAAGAAATTTCAGAAAAGATCCTGTGTACTTTTCATCCAAATTCCCCAAATAGTGACATCTTATATAGCTGTAGTACAATATTAAAACCAGGAAGATGACATGGATACTGTGTATATATTTTGAAGATAAAATATGACATGAATCTTACAAACCCAGGTACACTGGATTTTTTTACTTAACATAAAAAATCTTACGTACATATTTTTCCTCCCAAACTAAACATTCCTTTTCTAAGTGATGCCAGTTTAATTATTCATGTGATCTATTATATAATACACCAACAACCGTCTCTGAATAACAAAATTAACAAAACACCTCCAGAATGGTGCTAAGTAGAGTTTAAGAATTTTTTTCGGCCAGGCGCGGTGATTCACACCTGTAATCCCAGCACTGTGGGAGGCCAAGATGGGCGGATCACCTGAGGTCAGGGGTTCGAGACCATGCTGGCCAACATGGCAAAACCCTGTCTCTACTGAAAATACAAAAATTAGCTGGGTGTGGTGGCACCCACCTGTAATCCCAGCTACTCAGGAGGCGGAGGCAGGAGAATCACTTGAACCCAGGAGGCGGAGATTGCAGTGAGCTGAGATCATGCCACTGCACTCCAGCCTGGGTGACAGAGCGAGACACTGTCTCAAAAAAAAAAGAATTTTTTTCCATGTTAGTTTTGTTTATAAGCTATATCCTATTAAAAATGTAGAGTCAAATTACAGCGCACTTAAAAATCACTTGGAATCCTTCCTTCCTATGTGATTTTATCCACCATTCCCTACATATTTTGGATAATTTGTCTCAGTTTGCTGTACTTTTTAGATACTGCTATTTGCCCTTTTTATCCAAACATTTTATTATTATACATGGTCAAGCAGAGAGAAAAGTTGAGAGTATTTTACAATGAACACTTGTATAACTAGATTCTACAGTTAACATTTTACTATATTTACCTTATTACATATCTATTCATCCACTCATTTCTCTATCCACCCATCCATTTATTTTATATTTTCTTTTGCATAAAAGGGCCTTCAGTACAATTAATTGATAAAACATTTAGCTTACATATGTGGATTGCTTTTCTAAATATAAATTTGGTTTTATAATTAGGCAAAATATTGACATGGTTGCAAAAACAAACACAGAGAAGTCTGGCTCCTATTGCTGTCCCTTTCCTTTTCCTCTCTTTCTTATTGGTAACCATTACAAAATTTCATTTATCCATCCACTGTTTTCATTTTAATACAAGCAGGTAGATAAGTTTTATATACCCTCCAATTTTTTCTCTCTTCTTCGCTGGCCCATATTGCATGTAGAAGCCACTGATAAAAGCAGCACTTTAGATGATATTCAGCCAATGAATCCATAATTGTTTATTGATTCCCTCTTATGTTCCCAGGGTATGGTGAATTGATGTTGTTAAAATAGATTTTTTTTTTTTTTTTTTTGAGACGGAGTCTTGCTCTGTCACCCAGACTGGAGTACAGTGGCGGGATCTCTCGGCTCACTGCAAGCTCCACCTCCTGGGTTCACGCCATTGTCCTGCCTCAGCCTCCCGAGTAGCTGGGACTATAGGCGCCCGCCACCACGCCCGGCTAATTTTTTGTATTTTTAGTAGAGGCGGGGTTTCACTGTGTTAGCCAGGATGGTCTCGATCTCCTGACCCCATGATCTGCCCACCTCGGCCTCCCAAAGTGCTGGGATTACAGGCGTGAGCCACGGCGCCCAGCCTAAAATAGTTTTAAGACTTACTTGGTGCTTATCCAAACACACACACACTCTCTCTCTCTCTCACACACACACACACACACACACACACTCATATACCCACAGACTCATAAACTCTATTAAGTAGATGCAGTTGCAAAAGGTTTTGGTTCCAGTACCTGGAGTGGTGGGAAGGTTTCAATATTAATTAATGAATGAATTTGATTCAATAAAACCTAATTTCCTGACAACTTACTAACTAGCTGAGTAATTTTATTTTATTTGTGATGAATTCAGCCAAGAGGACTGTAAATCTCTTGTTACTTCTTTTTGCCAAGAGTAACCAGTAGCTAAGGAGCAAATAGTTGTCAGTTTACTAACAATTACAGAACTGAGCCAAACCAAAAGCTTAGAGTTGTCCAGTTAGAAGAACATTGTCTCTGTGTTTTCTAATTAGTAGAGATATGTCCTCAGATGTCTCATTTAGATTAATTCCATGAATGGAGGCAAATCTCCCCTACAAGAAGCTCTGTGGCAGTTACAAGTAAGGAATTCAGAGGCCAGGTGAGCCTGAATCACACCTTGTTTACAGGGAAAAGTCAATAGTAGTTTCCTCTGGTTAAATTGAATAAGTACGTTCTTTGTTTACTATCAACAAAGTTGAAAAAGGTGTTACTCCTGTGCTTTCCAGGTGTCATCTAAATGACTCCACTCCCCTGCCTCCCCACTCTCCCAAATCTCCATCATTGGTCACTCCCCGCTTTCAAGGATCCAAGTAACATAAGTCAATCTTAAAATTCCATGGCCTGTAGTAGTAAATGCCTCCCTAGTTTTTTGAAAAATTCTTGGTAGGAAGTGGTACATGGTGGCATGCACTTATGGTTTTGGCTACTCAGGTGGCTGAGGAGGGAAGATCTCTTGAGGCCAGGAGTTTAAGGCTGCAGCGTGCTATGACTGTGCTTGTAAATAGCCACTGAACTCCAGCCTGAGCAACATCACAAGACCCTGCCTCTAATAAATAAATAAAAATTATAAAAATTCTTGGTCAGGTTTCTATTCCATCACTTCCTCTGCTTCAGGCCTTCTAATGCTGTGTAAGTTGGTTCTACATTTTTCTATTTGAAATAAAACACAAAATACACTTGTTTTTGAATATCACTAATAAAATACACTCCAAGAATTTGTGATCTTAGCAAAGCTCTTAGGTGTAATCTTAGATGTGTGATTTTAGGTGTGATCTCAGGTGTGAATAAATGTCCAGCAGTGTGTTTGGGTCACGTAGATCCCTTGTGATTGCCAGCAGCTGGACACATGTAAACAAAAATTTGAATTTATTATAAGGCTTGGCTCACTGACCAGCAGGTCCCAGCTACAGTAGGGCCTTGGGAAATAGAACTCCAGCTAGAATGCTGTAGAACTCCTGAAATTCCCTCCTTTCTAACTCTTGTCTTTGCTCATTTATTTTACTCTTAGGTTTTGTTGCAGGTCAGTGACCCTGGCCACATGGAACAGAAACCTTCCCTGTTTAGGTCTCCTTTG